>NC_000002.12:92271080-92571080 GCF_000001405.40 Homo sapiens
TGATATATGCTACCGCATGGGCGAACGTTGAGGACATTGTGCTAAGTGAAATATGTCAGCCACATAAGGACAAATATTTTATGATTCTACTTATATGAAGTAGGTAGAGTGGTGGCATTCAGAGAAAGTAGAATGATGGTTGCCAGGGGCTGGGAGGAGGGAAAATGGGGAGTTATTGTTTAATAGATGCAGAGTTTCCATTGGAGAATATTTTTAAAGTTCTGGGCCGAGGCACGGTGGCCCTTTCATATAGCAGGTTTGAAACACTCTTTTTGTATTATCTCGATGTGGACATTTGGAGCGCTTTCAGGCCTATGGTGAAAAAGGAAATATCTTCTCCTGAAAACTAGACAGAAGAGCATTCTCAGAAACTTATTTGTGATGTGCGCCCTCAACTAACAGTGTTGAACCTTTCTTTTGATAGAGCAGTTTTGAAACACTCTTTTTGTAATATCTGCAAGAGGATATTTGGATAGCTTTGAGGATTTCGTTGGAAACGGGATTGTCTTCATATAAACTGCTAGACAGAAGCATTCTCAGAAGCTTCATTGGGATGTTTCAATTGAAGTCACAGTGTTGAACAGTCCCTTTCATAGAGCAGGTTTGAAACACTCTTTTTGTAGTATCTGGAAGTGGACATTTGGAGCGCTCTCAGGACTACGGTGAAAAAGGAAGTATCTTCCAATAAAAGCTAGATAGAAGCAATGTCAGAAACTTTTTCATGATGTATCTACTCAGCAAACAGAGTTGAACCTTTCTTTTGAGAGAGCAGTTTTGAAACACTCTTTTTGTGGAATCTGCAAGTGGATATTTGTCTAGCTTTGAGGATTTCGTTGGAAACGGGATTACATATAAAAAGCAGACAGCAGCATTCCCAGAAACTTCTTTGTGATGTTTGCATTCAAGTCACACAGTTGAACATTCCCTTTCATAGAGCAGGTTTGAAACACTCTTTTTGTAGTATCTGTATGTGGACATTTGGAGCGCTTTCAGGTCTATGGTGAAAAAGGAAATATCTTCCCCTGAAAACTAGACAGAAGCATTCTCAGAAACTTATTTGTGATGTGCGCCCTCAACTAACACTGTTGAACCTTTCTTTTGATAGAGCAGTTTTGAAACACTCTTTTTGTAATATCTGCAAGAGGATATTTGGATAGCTTTGAGGATTTCGTTGGAAACGGGATTGTCTTCATATAAACTCTAGACAGAAGCATTCTCAGAAGCTTCATTGGGATGTTTCAATTGAAGTCACAGTGTTGAACAGTCCCTTTCATAGAGCAGGTTTGAAACACTCTTTTTGTAGTATCTGGATGTGGACATTTGGAGCGCTTTCAGGCCTATGGTGAAAAAGGAAATATCTTCCCCTGAAAACTAGACAGAAGCAATGTCAGAAACACTTTCATGATGTATCTACTCAGCTAACAGAGTTGAACCTTTCTTTTGGGAGAGCAGTTTTGAAACACTCTTTTTGTGGAATCTGCAAGTGGATATTTGTCTAGCTTTGAGGATTGCGTTGGAAACGGGATTACATATAAAAAGCAGACAGCAGCATTCCCAGAAACTTCTTTGTGATGTTTGCATTCAAGTCACAGACTTGAACATTCCCTTTCATAGAGCAGGTTTGAAACACTCTTTTTGTAGTATCTGGATGTGGACATTTGGAGCGCTTTCAGGCCTATGGTGAAAAAGGAAATATCTTCCCCTGAAAACTAGACAGAAGCATTCTCAGAATCTTATTTGTGATGTGCACCCTCAACTAACAGTGTTGAAGCTTTCTTTTGATAGAGCAGTTTTGAAACACTCTTTTCGTAAAATCTGCAAGAGGACATTTGGATAGATTTGAGGATTTCGTTGGAAACGGGATTGTCTTCATATAAACTCTAGACAGAAGCATTCTCAGAAGCTTCATTGGGATGTTTCAATTGAAGTCACAGTGTTGAACAGTCCCTTTCATAGAGCAGGTTTGAAACACTCTTTTTTTAGTATCTGGAAGTGGACATTTGGAGAGATCTCAGGAATACGGTGACAAAGGAAATATCTTCCAATAAAAGCTAGATAGAAGCATTCTCAGAAACTTATTTGTGATGTGCGCCCTCAACTAACAGTGTTGAAGCTTTCTTTTGATAGAGCAGTTTTGAAACACTCTTTTTGTGGAATCTGCAAGTGGATATTTGTCTAGCTTTGAGGATTTCGTTGGAAACGGGATTACATATAAAAAGCAGACAGCAGCATTCCCAGAATCTTGTTTGTGATGTTTGCATTCAAGTCACAGAGTTGAACATTCCCTTTCAGAGAGCAGGTTTGAAACACTCTTTTTATAGTATCTGGATGTGGACATTTGGAGCGCTTTCAGGCCTATGGTGAAAAAGGAAATATCTTCTCCTGAAATCTAGACAGAAGCATTCTCAGAATCTTATTTGTGATGTGCACCCTCAACTAACAGTGTTGAAGCTTTCTTTTGATAGAGCAGTTTTGAAACACTCTTTTCGTAAAATCTGCAAGAGGATATTTGGATAGCTTTGAGGATTTCGTTGGAAACGGGATTGTCTTCATATAAACTCTAGACAGAAGCATTCTCAGAAGCTTCATTGGGATGTTTCAACTGAAGTCACAGTGTTGAACAGTCCATTTCATAGAGCAGGTTTGAAACACTCTTTTTGTAGTATCTGGAAGTGGACATTTGGAGCGCTCTCAGGACTGCGGTGAAAAAGGAAATATCTTCCAATAAAAGCTAGATAGAAGCAATGTCAGAAACTTTTTCATGATGTATCTACTCAGCTAACAGAGTTGAACCTTCCTTTGAGAGAGCAGTTTTGAAACACTCTTTTTGTGGAATCTGCAAGTGGATATTTGTCTAGCTTTGAGGATTTCGTTGGAAACGGGATTACATATAAAAAGCAGACAGCAGCATTCCCAGAAACTTCTTTGTGATGTTTGCATTCAAGTCACAGAGTTGAACACTCCCTTTCATAGAGCAGGTTTGAAACACTCTTTTTGTAGTATCTGGATGTGGACATTTGCAGCGATTTCAGGCCTAAGGTGAAAAAGGAAATATCTTCCCCTGAAAACTAGACAGAAGCATTCTCAGAAACTTATTTGTGATGTGCGCCCTCAACTAACAGTGTTGAAGCTTTCTTTTGATAGAGCAGTTTTGAAACACTCTTTTTGTAAAATCTGCAAGAGGATATTTGGATAGCTTTCAGGATTTCGTTGGAAACGGGATTGTCTTCATATAAACTCTAGACAGAAGCATTCTCAGAAGCTTCATTGGGATGTTTCAATTGAAGTCACAGTGTTGAACAGTTCCTTTCATAGAACAGGTTTGAAACACTCTTTTTGTAGTATCTGGAAGTGGACATTTGGAGCGCTCTCAGGACTACGGTGAAAATGGAAATATCTTCCAATAAAAGCTACATAGAAGCAATGTCAGAAACTTTTTCATGATGTATCTACTCAGCTAACAGAGTTGAACCTTTCTTTTGAGAGAGCAGTTTTGAAACACTCTTTTTGTGGAATCTGCAAGTGGATATTTGTCTAGCATTGAGGATTTCGTTGGAAACGGGATTACATATAAAAAGCAGACAGCAGCATTCCCAGAATCTTGTTTGTGATGTTTGCATTCAAGTCACAGAGTTGAACATTCCCTTTCATAGAGCAGGTTTGAAACACTCTTTTTATAGTATCTGGATGTGCACATTTGGAGCGCTTTCAGGCCTATGGTGAAAAAGGAAATATCTTCTCCTGAAAACTAGACAGAAGCATTCTCAGAAATTTATTTGTGATGTGCGCCCTCAACTAACAGTGTTGAACCTTTCTTTTGATAGAGCAGTTTTGAAACACTCTTTTTGTAAAATCTGCAAGAACATATTTGGACAGCTTTGAGGATTTCGTTGGAAACGGGATTGTCTTCATATAAACTCTAGACAGAAGCATTCTCAGAAGCTTCATTGGGATGTTTCAATTGAAGTCACAGTGTTGAACAGTCCCTTTCATAGAGCAGGTTTGAAACACTCTTTTTGTAGTATCTGGAAGTGGACATTTGGAGAGATCTCAGGAATACGGTGATAAAGGAAATGTCTTCCAATAAAAGCTAGATAAAAGCAATGTCAGAAACTTTTTCATGATGTATCTACTCAGCTAACAGAGTTGAACCTTTCTTTTGAGAGAGCAGTTTTGAAACACTCTTTTTGTGGAATCTGCAAGTGGATATTTGTCTAGCTTTGAGGATTTCGTTGGAAACGGGATTACATATAAAAAGCAGACAGTAGCATTCCCAGAAAATTTTTGTGATGTTTGCATTCAAGTCACAGAGTTGAACATTCCCTTTCATAGAGCAGGTTTGAAACACTCTTTTTGTAGTATCTGTATGTGGACATTTGGAGCGCTTTCAGGCCTATGGTGAAAAAGGAAATATCTTCCCCTGAAAACTAGACAGAAGCATTCTCAGAAACTTATTTGTGATGTGCGCCCTCAACTAACAGTGTTGAAGCTTTCTTTTGATAGAGCAGTTTTGAAACACTCTTTTTGTAATATCTGCAAGAGGATATTTGGATAGCTTTGAGGATTTCGTTGGAAACGGGATTGTCTTCATATAAACTCTAGACAGAAGCATTCTCAGAAGCTTCATTGGGATGTTTCAATTGAAGTCACAGTGTTGAACAGTTCCTTTCATAGAACAGGTTTGAAACACTCTTTTTGTAGTATCTGGAAGTGGACATTTGGAGCGCTCTCAGGACTACGGTGAAAATGGAAATATCTTCCAATAAAAGCTACATAGAAGCAATGTCAGAAACTTTTTCATGATGTATCTACTCAGCTAACAGAGTTGAACCTTTCTTTTCAGAGAGCAGTTTTGAAACACTCTTTTTGTGGAATCTGCAAGTGGATATTTGTCTAGCTTTGAGGATTTCGTTGGAAACGGGATTACATATAAAAAGGAGACAGCAGCATTCCCAGAAACTTCTTTGTGATGGTTGCATTCAAGTCACACAGTTGAACATTCCCTTTCATAGAGCAGGTTTGAAACACTCTTTTTGTAGTATCTGGATGTGGACATTTGGAGCGCTTTCAGGCCTATGGTGAAAAAGGAAATATCTTCCCCTGAAAAGTAGACAGAAGCATTCTCAGAAACTTATTTGTGATGTGCGCCCTCAACTAACAGTGTTGAACCTTTCTTTTGATAGAGCAGTTTTGAAACACTCTTTTTGTAAAATCTGCAAGAGGATATTTGGATAGCTTTGAGGATTTCGTTGGAAACGGGATTGTCTTCATATAAACTCTAGACAGAAGCATTCTCAGAAGCTACATTGGGATGTTTCAACTGAAGTCACAGTGTTGAACAGTCCCTTTCATAGAGCAGGTTTGAAACACTCTTTTTGTAGTATCTGGAAGTGGACATTTGGAGCGCTCTCAGGACTACGGTGAAAAAGGAAATATCTTCCAATAAAAGCTAGATAGAAGCAATGTCAGAAACTTTTTCATGACGTATCTACTCAGCTAACAGAGTTGAACCTTTCTTTTGAGAGAGCAGTTTTGAAACACTCTTTTTGTGGAATCTGCAAGTGGATATTTGTCTAGCTTTGAGGATTTCGTTGGAAACGGGATTACATATAAAAAGCAGACAGCAGCATTCCCAGAAACTTCTTTGTGAAGTTTGCATTGAAGTCACAGAGTTGAACATTCCCTTTCATAGAGCAGGTTTGAAACACTCTTTTTGTAGTATCTGTATGTGGACATTTGGAGCGCTTTCAGGCCTATGGTGAAAAAGGAAATATCTTCCCCTGAAAACTAGACAGAAGCATTCTCAGAAACTTATTTGTGATGTGCGCCCTCAACTAACAGTGTTGAAGCTTTCTTTTGATAGAGCAGTTTTGAAACACTCTTTTTGTAATATCTGCAAGAGGATATTTGGATAGCTTTGAGGATTTCGTTGGAAACGGGATTGTCTTCATATAAACTCTAGACAGAAGCATTCTCAGAAGCTTCATTGGGGTGTTTCAATTGAAGTCACAGTGTTGAACAGTCCCTTTCATAGAGCAGGTTTGAAACACTGTTTTTGTAGTATCTGGAAGTGGACATTTGGAGCGCTCTCAGGACTACGGTGATAAAGGAAATATCTTCCAATAAAAGCTAGATAGAAGCAATGTCAGAAACTTTTTCATGATGTATCTACTCAGCTAACAGAGTTGAACCTTTCTTTTGAGAGAGCAGTTTTGAAACACTCTTTTTGTGGAATCTGCAAGTGGATATTTGTCTAGCATTGAGGATTTCGTTGGAAACGGGATTACATATAAAAAGCAGACAGCAGCATTCCCAGAAACTTCTTTGTGAAGTTAGCATTCAAGTCACAGAGTTGAACATTCCCTTTCATAGAGCAGGTTTGAAACACTCTTTTTGTAGTATCTGGATATGGACATTTGGAGCGCTTTCAGGCCTATGGTGAAAAAGGAAATATCTTCCCCTGAAAACTAGACAGAAGCATTCTCAGAATCTTATTTGTGATGTGCGCCCTCAACTAACAGTGTTGAAGCTTTCTTTTGATAGAGCAGTTTTGAAACACTCTTTTTGTAAAATCTGCAAGAGGATATTTGGATAGCTTTGAGGATTTCGTTGTAAACGGAATTGTCTTCATATAAACTCTAGACAGAAGCATTCTCAGAAGCCTCATTGGGATGTTTCAATTGAAGTCACAGTGTTGAACAGTCCCTTTCATAGAGCAGGTTTGAAACACTCTTTTTGTAGTATCTGGAAGTGGACATTTGGAGCGCTCTCAGGACTGCAGTGAAAAAGGAAGTATCTTCCAATAAAAGCTACATAGAAAGCAATGTCAGAAACTTTTTCATGATGTATCTACTCAGCTAACAGAGTTGAACCTTTCCTTTGAGAGAGCAGTTTTGAAACACTCTTTTTGTGGAATCTGCAAGTGGATATTTGTCTAGCTTTGAGGATTTCGTTGGAAACGGGATTACATATAAAAAGCAGACAGCAGCATTCCCACTAACTTCTTTGTGATGTTTTCATTCAAGTCACAGAGTTGAACATTCCCTTTCATAGAGCAGGTTTGAAACACTCTTTTTGAAGTATCTGGATGTGGACATTTGGAGCGCTTTCAGGCCTATGGTGAAAAAGGAAATATCTTCCCCTGAAAACTAGACAGAAGCATTCTCAGAAACCTATTTGTGATGTGCGCCCTCAACTAACAGTGTTGAAGCTTTCTTTTGATAGAGCAGTTTTGAAACACTCTTTTTGTAATATCTGCAAGAGGATATTAGGATAGCTTTGAGGATTTCGTTGGAAACGGGATTGTCTTCATATAAACTCTAGACAGAAGCATTCTCAGAAGCTTCATTGGGATGTTTCAATTGAAGTCACAGTGTTGAACAGTTCCTTTCATAGAACAGGTTTGAAACACTCTTTTTGTAGTATCTGGAAGTGGACATTTGGAGCGCTCTCAGGACTATGGTGAAAAAGGAAATATCTTCCAATAAAAGCTACATAGAAGCAATGTCAGAAACTTTTTCATGATGTATCTACTCAGCTAACAGAGTTGCACCTTTCCTTTGAGAGAGCAGTTTTGAAACACTCTTTTTGTGGAATCTGCAAGTGGATATTTGTCGAGCTTTGAGGATTTCGTTGGAAACGGGATTACATATAAAAAGCAGACAGCAGCATTCCCAGTAACTTCTTTGTGATGTTTGCATTCAAGTCACAGAGTTGAACATTCACTTTCATAGAGCAGGTTTGAAACACTCTTTTTGTAGTATCTGGATGTGGACATTTGGAGCGCTTTCAGGCCTATGGTGAAAAAGGAAATATCTTCCCCTGAAAACTAGACAGAAGCATTCTCAGAAACTTATTTGTGATGTGCGCCCTCAACTAACAGTGTTGAACCTTTCTTTTGATAGAGCAGTTTTGAAACACTCTTTTTGTAATATCTGCAAGAGGATATTTGGATAGCTTTGAGGATTTCGTTGGAAACGGGATTACATATAAAAAGCAGACAGCAGCATTCCGAAAATCTTGTTTGTGATGTTTGCATTCAAGTCACAGAGTTCAACATTCCCTTTTAGAGAGCAGGTTTGAAACACTCTTTTTATAGTATCTGGATGTGGACCTTTGGAGTGCTTTCAGGCCTATGGTGAAAAGGGAAATATCTTCTCCTGAAAACTAGACAGAAGCATTCTCAGAAACTTATTTGTGATGTGCGCCCTCAACTAACAGTGTTGAACCTTTCTTTTGATAGAGCAGTTTTGATACACTCTTTTTGTAAAATCCGCAAGAGGATATTTGGATAGCTTTGAGGATTTCGTTGGAAACGGGATTGTCTTCATATAGAATCTAGACAGAATCATTCTCAGAAGCTTCATTGGGATGTTTCAATTGAAGTCACAGTGTTGAACAGTCCCTTTCATAGAGCAGATTTGAAACACTCTTTTTGTAGTATCTGGAAGTGGACATTTGGAGCGTTCTCAGGACTACCGTGAAAAAGGAAATATCTTCCAATAAAAGCTAGATAGAAGCAATGTCAGAAACTTTTTCATGATGTATCTACTCAGCTAACAGAGTTGAACTGAACCTTCCTTTGAGAGAGCAGTTTTGAAACACTCTTTTTGTGGAATCTGCAAGTGGATATTTGTCTAGCTTTGAGGATTTCGTTGGAAACGGGATTGTCTTCATATAAACTCTAGACAGAAGCATTCCCAGAAACTTCTTTGTGATATTTGCATTCAAGTCACAGAGTTGAACATTCCCTTTCATAGAGCAGGTTTGAAACACTCTTTTTGTAGTATCTGGATGTGGACATTTGGAGCGCTTTCAGGCCTATGGTGAAAAAGGAAATATCTTCCCCTGAAAAGTAGACAGAAGCAATGTCAGAAACTTTTTCATGATGTATCTACTCAGCTAACAGAGTTGAACCTTTCCTTTCAGAGAGCAGTTTTGAAACACTCTTTTTGTGGAATCTGCAAGTGGATATTTGTCTAGCTTTGAGGATTTCGTTGGAAACGGGATTACATATAAAAAGCAGACAGCAGCATTCCCAGAATCTTCTTTGTGATGTTTGCATTCAAGTCACAGAGTTGAACATTCCCTTTCATAGAGCAGGTTTCAAACACTCTTTTTGTAGTATCTGGATGTGGACATTTGGAGCGCTTTCAGGCCTATGGTGAAAAAGGAAATATCTTCCCCTGAAAACTAGACAGAAGCATTCTCAGAATCTTATTGGTGCTGTGCGCCCTCAACTAACAGTGTTGAAGCTTTCTTTTGATAGAGCAGTTTTGAAACACTCTTTTCGTAAAATCTGCAAGAGGATATTTGGATAGCTTTGAGGATTTCGTTGGAAACGGGATTGTCTTCATATAAACTCTAGACAGAAGCATTCTCAGAAGCTTCATTGGGATGTTTCAATTGAAGTCATAGTGTTGAACAGTCCCTTTCATAGAGCAGGTTTGAAACACTCTTTTTGTAGTATCTGGAAGTGGACATTTGGAGAGATCTCAGGAATACGGTGATAAAGGAAATATCTTCCAATAAAAGCTAGATAGAAGCAATGTCAGAAACTTTTTCATGATGTATCTACTCAGCTGACAGAGTTGAACCTTTCTTTTGAGATAGCAGTTTTGAAACACTCTTTTTGTGGAATCTGCAAGTGGATATTTGTCTAGCTTTGAAGATTTCGTTGGAAACGGGATTACATATAAAAAGCAGACAGCAGCATTCCCAGAATCTTCTTTGTGATGTTTGCATTCAAGTCACAGAGTTGAACATTCCCTTTCATAGAGCAGGTTTGAAACACTCTTTTTGTAATATCTGGATGTGGACATTTGGAGCGCTTTCAGGCCTATGGTGAAAAAGGAAATATCTTCCCCTGAAAACTAGACAGAAGCATTCTCAGAGTCTTATTTGTGATGTGCGCCCTCAACGAACAGTGTTGAAGCTTTCTTTTGATAGAGCAGTTTTGAAACACTCTTTTTGTAATATCTGCAAGAGGATATTTGGATAGCTTTGAGGATTTCGTTGGAAACGGGATTGTCTTCATATAAACTCTAGACAGAAGCATTCTCAGAAGCTTCATTGGGATGTTTCAGTTGAAGTCACAGTGTTGAACGGTCCCTTTCATAGAGCAGGTTTGAAACACTCTTTTTGTAGTATCTGGAAGTGGACATTTGGAGCGCTCTCAGGACTGCGGTGAAAAAGGAAATATCTTCCAATAAAAGCTACATAGAAGCAATATCAGAAACTTTTTCATGATGTATCTACTCAGCTAACAGAGTTGAACCTTTCTTTTGAGAGAGCAGTTTTGAAACACTCTTTTTGTGGAATCTGCAAGTGGATATTTGTCTAGCTTTGAGGATTTCGTTGGAAACGGGATTACATATAAAAAGCAGACAGCAGCATTCCCAGAAATTTCTTTGTGATGTTTGCATTCAAGTCACAGAGTTGAACATTCCCTTTCATAGAGCAGGTTTGAAACACTCTTTTTGTAGTATCTGGATGTGGACATTTGGAGCGCTTTCAGGCCAATGGTGAAAAAGGAAATATCTTCCCCTGAAAACTAGACAGAAACATTCTCAGAATCTTATTTGTGATGTGCGCCCTCAACTAACAGTGTTGAAGCTTTCTTTTGATAGAGCAGTTTTGAAACACTCTTTTTGTAAAATCTGCAAGAGGATATTTGGATGGCTTTGAGGATTTCGTTGGAAACGGGATTGTCTTCATATAAACTCTAGACAGAAGCATTCTCAGAAGCTTCATTGGGATGTTTCAATTAAAGTCACAGTGTTGAACAGTCCCTTTCATAGAGCAGGTTTGAAACACTCTTTTTGTAGTATCTGGAAGTGGACATTTGGAGCGCTCTCAGGACTGCGGTGAAAAAGGAAATATCTTGCAATAAAAGCTAGATAGAAGCAATGTGAGAAACTATTTCATGATGTATCTACTCAGCTAAAAGAGTTGAACCTTTCTTTTGAGAGAGCAGTTTTGAAACACTCTTTTTGTGGGATCTGCAAGTGGATATTTGTCTAGCTTTGAGGATTTCTTTGGAAACGGGATTACATATAAAAAGCAGACAGCAGCATTCCCAGAAACTTCTTTGTGAAGTTTGCATTCAAGTCACAGAGTTGAACATTCCCTTTCATAGAGCAGGTTTGAAACACTCTTTTTGTAGTATCTGTATGTGGACATTTGGAGCGCTTTCAGGCCTATGGTGAAAAAGGAAATATCTTCCCCTGAAAACTAGACAGAAGCATTCTCAGAATCTTATTTGTGATGTGGGCCCTCAACTAACAGTGTAGAAGCTTTCTTTTGATAGAGCAGTTTTGAAACACTCTTTTTGTAAAATCTGCAAGTGGATATTTGGATAGCTTTGAGGATTTCGTTGGAAACGGGATTGTCTTCATATAAACTCTAGACAGAAGCATTCTCAGAAGCTTCATTGGGATGTTTCAATTGAAGTCACAGTGTTGAACAGTCCCTTTCATAGAGCAGGTTTGAAACACTCTTTTTGTAGTATCTGGAAGTGGACTTTTGGAGAGATCTCAGGAATACCGTGATAAAGGAAATATCTTCCAATAAAAGCTAGATAGAAGCAATGTCAGAAACTTTTTCATGATGTATCCACTCAGCTAACAGAGTTGAACCTTTCTTTTGAGAGAGCAGTTTTGAAACACTCTTTTTGTGGAATCTGCAAGTGGATATTTGTCTAGCTTTGAGGATTTCGTTGGAAACGGGATTACATATAAAAAGCAGACAGCAGCATTCCCAGAAACTTCTTTGTGAAATTTGCATTCAAGTCACAGAGTTGAACATTCCCTTTCATAGAGCAGGTTTGAAACACTCTTTTTGTAGTATCTGGATGTGGACATTTGGAGCGCTTTCAGGCCTATGGTGAAAAAGGAAATATCTTCTCCTGAAAACTAGACAGAAGCATTCTCAGAAACTTATTTGTGATGTGCGCCCTCAACTAACAGTGTTGAAGCTTTCTTTTGATAGAGCAGTTTTCAAACACTCTTTTTGTAAAATCTGCAAGAGGATATTTGGATAGTTTTGAGGATTTCATTGGAAACGGGATTGTCTTCATATAAACTCTAGACAGTAGCATTCTCAGAAGCTTCATTGGGATGTTTCAATTGAAGTCACAGTGTTGAACAGTCCCTTTCATAGAGCAGGTTTGAAACACTCTTTTTGTAGTATCTGGATGTGGACATTTGGAGCGCTTTCAGGCCTATGGTTTAAAAGGAAATATCTTCCCCTGAAAAATAGACAGAAGCATTCTCAGAAACTTATTTGTGATGTGCGCCCTCAACTAACAGTGTTGAAGCATTCTTTTGATAGAGCAGTTTTGAAACACTCTTTTTGTGGAATCTGCAAGTGGATATTTGTCTAGCTTTGAGGATTTCGTTGGAAACGGGATTACATATAAAAAGCAGACAGCAGCATTCCCAGAAACTTCCTTGTGATGTTTGCATTCAAGTCACAGAGTTGAACATTCCCTTTCATAGAGCAGGTTTGAAACACTCTTTTTGTAGTATCTGGATGTGGACATTTGGAGCGCTTTCAGGCCTATGGTTTAAAAGGAAATATCTTCCCCTGAAAACTAGACAGAAGCATTCTCAGAAACTTATTTGTGATGTGCGCCCTCAACTAACAGTGTTGAAGCTTTCTTTTGATAGAGCAGTTTTGAAACACTCTTTTTGTAATATCTGCAAGAGGATATTTGGATAGCTTTGAGGATTTCGTTGGAAACGGGATTGTCTTCATATAAACTCTAGACAGAAGCATTCTCAGAAGCTTCATTGGGATGTTTCAATTGAAGTCACAGTGTTGAACAGTCCCTTTCATAGAGCAGGTTTGAAACACTCTTTTTGTAGTATCTGGATGTGGACATTTGGAGCGCTTTCAGGCCTACGGTTTAAAAGGAAATATCTTCCCCTGAAAACTAGACAGAAGCATTCTCAGAAACTTATTTGTGATGTGCGCCCTCAACTAACAGTGTTGAACCTTCCTTTGAGAGAGCAGTTTTGAAACACTCTTTTTGTGGAATCTGCAAGTGGATATTTGTCTAGCTTTGAGGATTTCGTTGGAAACGGGATTACATATAAAAAGCAGACAGCAGCATTCTCAGAAACTTATTTGTGATGTGCGCCCTCAACTAACAGTGTTGAAGCTTTATTTTGATAGAGCAGTTTTGAAACACTCTTTTTGTAATATCTGCAAGAGAATATTTGGATAGCTTTGAGGATTTCGTTGGAAACGGGATTGTCTTCATATAAACTCTAGAAAGAAGCATTCTCAGAAGCTTCATTGGGATGTTTCAATTGAAGTCACAGTGTTGAACAGTCCCTTTCATAGAGCAGGTTTGAAACACTCTTTTTGTAGTATCTGGAAGTGGACATTTTGAGAGATCTCAGGAATACGGTGATAAAGGAAATATCTTCCAATAAAAGCTAGATAGAAGCAATGTCAGAAACTTTTTCATGATGTATCTACTCAGCTAACAGAGTTGAACCTTTCCTTTGAGAGAGCAGTTTTGAAACAGTCTTTTTGTGGAATCTGCAAGTGGATATTTGTCTAGCTTTGAGGATTTCGTTGGAAACGGGATTACATATAAAAAGCAGACAGCAGCATTCTCAGAAGCTTCATTGGGATGTTTCAATTGAAGTCACAGTGTTGAACAGTCCCTTTCATAGAGCAAGTTTGAAACACTCTTTTTGTAGTATCTGGAAGTGGACATTTGGAGCGCTCTCAGGACTACGGTGAAAAAGGAAGTATCTTCCAATAAAAGCTAGATAGAAAGCAATGTCAGAAACTTTTTCATGATGTATCTACTCAGCTAACAGAGTTGAACCTTTCTTTTGAGAGAGCAGTTTTGAAACACTCTTTTTGTGTAATCTGAAAGTGGATATTTGTCTAGCTTTGAGGATTTCGTTGGAAACGGGATTACATATAAAAAGCAGACAGCAGCATTCCCAGTAACTTCTTTGTGATGTTTGCATTCAAGTCACAGAGTTGAACATTCCCTTTCATAGAGCAGGTTTGAAACACTCTTTTTGTAGTATCTGGATGTGGACATTTGGAGCGCTTTCAGGCCTATTGTGAAAAAGGAAATATCTTCCCCTGAAAACTAGACAGAAGCATTCCCAGAATCTTATTTGTGATGTGCGCACTCAACTAACAGTGTTGAAGCTTTCTTTTGATAGAGCAGTTTTGAAACACTCTTTTTGTAAAATCTGCAAGAGGATATTTGGATAGATTTGAGGATTTCGTTGGAAACGGGATTGTCTTCATATAAACTCTAGACAGAAGCATTCTCAGAAGCTTCATTGGGATGTTTCAATTGAAGTCACAGTGTTGAACAGTCCCTTTCATAGAGCATGTTTGAAACAATCTTTTTGTAGTATCTGGAAGTGGACATTTGGAGCGTTCTCAGGACTACGGTGAAAAAGGAAATATCTTCCAAATAAAGCTAGAAAGAAGCAATGTCAGAAAATTTTTCATGATGTTTCTACTCAGCTAACAGAGTTGAACCTTCCTTTTGAGAGAGCAGTTTTGAAACACTCTTTTTGTGGAATCTGCAAGTGGATATTTGTCTAGCTTTGAGGATTTCGTTGGAAACGGGATTACATATAAAAAGCAGACAGCAGCATTCCCAGAAACTTCTTTGTGATGTTTGCATTCAAGTCACAGAGTTGAACATTCCCTTTCATAGAGCAGGTTTGAAACACTCTTTTTGTAGTATCTGGATGTGGACATTTGGAGCGCTTTCAGGCCTATGGTGAAAAAGGAAATATCTTCAACTGAAAACTAGACAGAAGCATTCTCAGAAACTTATTTGTGATGTGCGCCCTCAACTAACAATGTTGAACCTTTCTTTTGATAGAGCAGTTTTGAAACACTCTTTTTGTAAAATCTGCAAGAGGATATTTGGATAGCTTTGAGGATTTCGTTGGAAACGGGATTGTCTTCATATAGAATCTAGACAGAAGCATTCTCAGAAGCTTCATTGGGATGTTTCAATTGAAGTCACAGTGTTGAACAGTCCCTTTGATAGAGCAGGTTTGAAACACTCTTTTTGTAGTATCTGGAAGTGGACATTTGGAGCGTTCTCAGGACTACAGTGAAAAAGGAAATATCTTCCAACAAAAGCTAGATAGAAGCATTCTCAGAATCTTATTTGTGATGTGCACCCTCAACTAACAGTGTTGAAGCTTTCTTTTGATAGAGCAGTTTTGAAACACTCTTTTCGTAAAATCTGCAAGAGGATATTTGGATAGCTTTGAGGATTTCGTTGGAAACGGGATTGTCTTCATATAAACTCTAGACAGAAGCATTCTCAGAAGCTTCATTGGGATGTTTCAATTGAAGTCACAGTGTTGAACAGTCCCTTTCATAGAGCAGGTTTGAAACACTCTTTTTGTAGTATCTGGATGTGGACATTTGGAGCGCTTTCAGGCCTATGGTGAAAAAGGAAATATCTTCCCCTGAAAACTAGACAGAAGCATTCTCAGAAACTTATTTGTGATGTGCGCCTTCAACTAACAGTGTTGAAGCATTCTTTTGATAGAGCAGTTTTGAAACACTCTTTTTGTGGAATCTGCAAGTGGATATTTGTCTAGCTTTGAGGATTTCGTTGGAAACGGGATTACATATAAAAAGCAGACAGCAGCATTCCCAGAAACTTCTTTGTGATGTTTGCATTCAAGTCACAGAGTTGAACATTCCCTTTCAGAGAGCAGGTTTGAAACACTCTTTTTGTAGTATCTGGATGTGGACATTTGGAGCGCTTTCAGCCCTATGGTGAAAAAGGAAATATCTTCCCCTGAAAACTAGACAGAAGCATTCTCAGAATCTTATTTGTGATGTGCGCCCTCAACTAACAGTGTTGAAGCTTTCTTTTGATAGAGCAGTTTTGAAACACTCTTTTTGTAAAATCTGCAAGAGGATATTTGGATAGCTTTGAGGATTTCGTTGCAAACGGGATTGTCTTCATATAAACTCTAGACAGAAGCATTCTCAGAAGCTTCATTGGGATGTTTCAATTGAAGTCACAGTGTTGAACAGTCCCTTTCATAGAGCAGGTTTGAAACACTCTTTTTGTAGTATCTGGAAGTGGACATTTGGAGCGCTCTCAGGACTGCGGTGAAAAAGGAACTATCTTCCAATAAAAGCTAGATAGAAGCAATGTCAGAAACTTTTTCATGATGTATCTACTCAGCTAACAGAGTTGAACCTTCCTTTGAGAGAGCAGTTTTGAAACACTCTTTTTGTGGAATCTGCAAGTGGATATTTGTCTAGCTTTGAGGATTTCGTTGGAAACGGGATTACATATAAAAAGCAGACAGCAGCATTCCCAGAAACTTCTTTGTGATGTTTGCATTCAAGTCACAGAGTTGAACATTCCCTTTCATAGAGCAGGTTTGAAACACTCTTTTTGTAGTATCTTGATGTGGACATTTGCAGCGCTTTCAGGCCTAAGGTGAAAAAGGAAATATCTTCCCCTGAAAACTAGACAGAAGCATTCTCAGAAACTTATTTGTGATGTGCGCCCTCAACTAACAGTGTTGAAGCTTTCTTTTGATAGAGCAGTTTTGAAACACTCTTTTTGTAATATCTGCAAGAGGATATTTGGATAGCTTTGAGGATTTCGTTGGAAACGGGATTGTCTTCATATAAACTCTAGACAGAAGCATTCTCAGAAGCTTCATTGGGATGTTTCAATTGAAGTCACAGTGTTGAACAGTCCCTTTCATAGAGCAGGTTTGAAACACTCTTTTTGTAGTATCTGGAAGTGGACATTTGGAACGCTCTCAGGACTGCGGTGAAAAAGGAAATATCTTCCAATAAAAGCTAGATAGAAGCAATGTCAGAAACTTTTTCATGATGTATCTACTCAGCTAACAGAGTTGAACCTTTCCTTTGAGAGAGCAGTTTTGAAACACTCTTTTTGTGGAATCTGCAAGTGGATATTTGTCTAGCTTTGAGGATTTCGTTGGAAACGGGATTACATATAAAAAGCAGACAGCAGCATTCCCAGTAACTTCTTTGTGATGTTTGCATTCAAGTCACAGAGTTGAACATTCCCTTTCATAGAGCAGGTTTGAAACACTTTTTTTGTAGTATCTGGATGTGGACATTTGGAGCGCTTTCAGGCCTATGGTGAAAAAGGAAATATCTTCCAATAAAAGCTACATAGAGGCAATGTCAGAAACTTTTTCATGATGTATCTACTCAGCTAACAGAGTTGAACCTTTCTTTTGAGAGAGCAGTTTTGAAACACTCTTTTTGTAAAATCTGCAAGAGGATATTTGGATAGCTTTGAGGATTTCGTTGGAAACGGGATTGTCTTCATATAAACTCTAGACAGAAGCATTCCCAGTAACTTCTTTGTGATGTTTGCATTCAAGTCACAGAGTTGAACATTCCCTTTCATAGAGCAGGTTTGAAACACTCTTTTTGTAGTATCTGGATGTGGACATTTGGAGCGCTTTCAGGCCTATGGTGAAAAAGGAAATATCTTCCCCAGAAAACTAGACAGAAGCATTCTCAGAAACTTATTTGTGATGTGCGCCCTCAACTAACAGTGTTGAAGCTTTCTTTTGATAGAGCAGTTTTGAAACACTCTTTTTGTAATATCTGCAAGAGGATATTTGGATAGCTTTGAGGATTTCGTTGGAAACGGGATTGTCTTCATATAAACTCTAGACAGAAGCATTCCCAGAAACTTCTTTGTGATGTTTGCATTCAAGTCACAGAGTTGAACATTCCCTTTCAGAGAGCAGGTTTGAAACACTCTTTATGTAGTATCTGGATGTGGACATTTGGAGCGCTTTCAGGCCTAAGGTGAAAAAGGAAATATCTTCCCCTGAAAACTAGACAGAAGCATTCTCAGAAACTTATTTGTGATGTGCGCCCTCAACTAACAGTGTTGAAGCTTTCTTTTGATAGAGCAGTTTTGAAACACTCTTTTTGTGGAATCTGCAAGTGGATATTTGTCTAGCTTTGAGGATTTCGTTGGAAACGGGATTACATATAAAAAGCAGACAGCAGCATTCCCAGAATCTTGTTTGTGATGTTTGCATTCAAGTCACAGAGTTGAACATTCCCTTTCAGAGAGCAGGTTTGAAACACTCTTTTTATAGTATCTGGATGTGGACATTTGGAGCGCTTTCAGGCCTATGATGAAAAAGGAAATATCTTCTCCTGAAAACTAGACAGAAGCATTCTCAGAAACATATTTGTGATGTACGCCCTCAACTAACAGTGTTGAAGCTTTCTTTTGATAGAGCAGTTTTGAAACACTCTTTTTGTAAAATCTGGAAGAGGATATTTGGATAGCTTTGAGGATTTCGTTGGAAACGGGATTGTCTTCATATAAAATCTAGACAGAAGCATTCTCAGAAGCTTCATTGGGATGTTTCAATTGAAGTCACAGTGTTGAACAGTCCCTTTCATAGAGCAGGTTTGAAACACTCTTTTTGTAGTATCTGGAAGTGGACAGTTGGAGCGCTCTCAGGACTGCGGTGAAAAAGGAAATATCTTCCAATAAAAGCTACATAGAAAGCAATGTCAGAAACTTTTTCATGATGTATCTACTCAGCTAACAGAGTTGAACCTTCCTTTGAGAGAGCAGTTTTGAAACACTCTTTTTGTGGAATCTGCAAGTGGATATTTGTCTAGCTTTGAGGATTTCGTTGGAAACGGGATTACATATAAAAAGCAGACAGCAGCATTCCCAGAAACTTCTTTGTGACGTTTGCATTCAAGTCACAGAGTTGAACATTCCCTTTCATAGAGCAGGTTTGAAACACTCTTTTTGTAGTATCTGGATGTGGACATTTGGAGCGCTTTCAGGCCTATGGTGAAAAAGGAAATATCTTCCCCTGAAAACTAGACAGAAGCATTCTCAGAATCTTATTTGTGATGTGCGCCCTCAACTAACAGTGTTGAACCTTTCTTTTGATAGAGCAGTTTTGAAACACTCTTTTTGTAAAATCTGCAAGAGGATATTTGGATAGCTCTGAGGATTTCGTTGGAAACGGGATTGTCTTCATATAAACTCTAGACAGAAGCATTCTCAGAAGCGTCATTGGGATGTTTCAATTGAAGTCACAGTGTTGAACATTCCCTTTCATAGAGCAGGTTTGAAACACTCTTTTTGTAGTATCTGGATGTGGACATTTGGAGCGCTTTCAGGCCTATGGTTTAAAAGGAAATATCTTCCCCTGAAAACTAGACAGAAGCATTCTCAGAAACTTATTTGTGATGTGCGCCCTCAACTAACAGTGTTGAAGCATTCTTTTGATAGAGCAGTTTTGAAACACTCTTTTTGTGGAATCTGCAAGTGGATATTTGTCTAGCTTTGAGGATTTCGTTGGAAACGGGATTACATATAAAAAGCAGACAGCAGCATTCCCAGTAACTTCTTTGTGATGTTTGCATTCAAGTCAGAGAGTTGAACATTCCCTTTCATAGAGCAGGTTTGAAACACTCTTTTTGAAGTATCTGGTTGTGGACATTTGGAGCGCTTTCAGGCCTATGGTGAAAAAGGAAATATCTTCCCCTGAAAACTGGACAGAAGCATTCTCAGAAACTTATTTGTGATGTGCGCCCTCAACTAACAGTGTTGAACCTTTCTTTTGATAGAGCAGTTTTGAAACACTCTTTTTGTAATATCTGCAAGAGGATATTTGGATAGCTTTGAGGATTTCGTTGGTAACGGGATTGTCTTCATATAAACTCTAGACAGAAGCATTCTCAGAAGCTTCATTGGGATGTTTCAATTGAAGTCACAGTGTTGAACAGTCCCTTTCATAGAGCAGGTTTGAAACACTCTTTTTGTAGTATCTGGAAGTGGACATTTGGAGCGCTCTCAGGACTACGATGATAAAGGAAATATCTTCCAATAAAAGCTAGATAGAAGCAATGTCAGAAACTTTTTCATGATGTATCTACTCAGCTAACAGAGTTGAACCTTTCTTTTGAGAGAGCAGTTTTGAAACATTCTTTTTGTGGAATCTGCAAGTGGATATTTGTCTAGCTTTGAGGATTTCGTTGGAAACGGGATTACATATAAAAAGCAGACAGCAGCATTCCCAGAATCTTCTTTGTGATGTTTGCATTCAAGTCACAGAGTTGAACATTCCCTTTCATAGAGCAGGTTTGAAACACTCTTTTTGTAGTATCTGGATGTGGACATTTGGAGCGCTTTCAGGCCTATGGTGAAAAAGGAAATATCTTCCCCTGAAAACTAGACAGAAGCATTCTCAGAATCTTATTTGTGATGTGCGCCCTCAACAAACAGTGTTGAAGCTTTCTTTTGATAGAGCAGTTTTGAAACACTCTTTTTGTAAAATCTGCAAGAGGATATTTGGATAGCTTTGAGGATTTCGTTGGAAACGGGATTGTCTTCATATAAACTCTAGACAGAAGCATTCTCAGAAGCTTCATTGGGATGTTTCAATTGAAGTCACAGTGTTGAACAGTCCCTTTCATAGAGCAGGTTTGAAACACTCTTTTTGTAGTATCTGGAAGTGGACATTTGGAGCGCTCTCAGGACTGCGGTGAAAAAGGAAATATCTTCCAATAAAAGCTAGATAGAAGCAATGTCAGAAACTTTTTCATGATGTATCTACTCAGCTAACAGAGTTGAACCTTCGTTTGAGAGAGCAGTTTTGAAACACTCGTTTTGTGGAATCTGCAAGTGGATATTTGTCTAGCTTTGAGGATTTCGTTGGAAACGGGATTACATATAAAAAGCAGACAGCAGCATTCCCAGTAACTTCTTTGTGATGTTTGCATTCAAGTCACAGAGTTGAACATTCCCTTTCATAGAGCAGGTTTGAAACACTTTTTTTGTAGTATCTGGATGTGGACATTTGGAGCGCTTTCAGGCCTATGGTGAAAAAGGAAATATCTTCCAATAAAAGCTAGATAGAAGCAATGTCAGAAACTTTTTCATGATGTATCTACTCAGCTAACAGAGTTGAACCTTTCTTTTTAGAGAGCAGTTTTGAAACACTCTTTTTGTAAAATCTGCAAGAGGATATTTGGATAGCTTTGAGGATTTCGTTGGAAACGAGATTGTCTTCATATAAACTCTAGACAGAAGCATTCTCAGAAGCGTCATTGGGATGTTTCAATTGAAGTCACAGTGTTGAACAGTCCCTTTCATAGAGCAGGTTTGAAACACTCTTTTTGTAGTATCTGGATGTGGACATTTGGAGCGCTTTCAGGCCTATGGTTTAAAAGGAAATATCTTCCCCTGAAAACTAGACAGAAGCATTCTCAGAAACTTATTTGTGATGTGCGCCTTCAACTAACAGTGTTGAAGCATTCTTTTGATAGAGCAGTTTTGAAACACTCTTTTTGTGGAATCTGCAAGTGGATATTTGTCTAGCTTTGAGGATTTCGTTGGAAACGGGATTACATATAAAAAGCAGACAGCAGCATTCCCAGAAACTTCTTTGTGATGTTTGCATTCAAGTCACAGAGTTGAACATTCCCTTTCAGAGAGCAGGTTTGAAACACTCTTTTTGTAGTATCTGGATGTGGACATTTGGAGCGCTTTCAGGCCTATGGTGAAAAAGGAAATATCTTCCCCTGAAAACTAGACAGAAGCATTCTCAGAATCTTATTTGTGATGTGCGCCCTCAACTAACAGTGTTGAAGCTTTCTTTTGATAGAGCAGTTTTGAAACACTCTTTTTGTAAAATCTGCAAGAGGATATTTGGATAGCTTTGAGGATTTCGTTGGAAACGGGATTGTCTTCATACAAAATCTAGACAGAAGCATTCTCAGAAGCTTCATTGGGATGTTTCAATTGAAGTCACAGTGTTGAACAGTCCCTTTCATAGAGCAGGTTTGAAACACTCTTTTTGTAGTATCTGGAAGTGGACGTTTGGAGAGTTCTCAGGAATACGGTGATAAAGGAAATATCTTCCAATAAAAGCTAGATAGAAGCAATGTCAGAAACTTTTTCATGATGTATCTACTCAGCTAACAGAGTTGAACCTTTCCTTTGAGAGAGCAGTTTTGAAACACTCTTTTTGTGGAATCTGCAAGTGGATATTTGTCTAGCTTTGAGGATTTCGTTGGAAACGGGATTACATATAAAAAGCAGACAGCAGCATTCCCAGAAACTTCTTTGTGATGTTTGCATTCAAGTCACAGAGTTGAACATTCCCTTTCATAGAGCAGGTTTGAAACACTCTTTTTGTAGTATCTGGATGTGGACATTTGGAGTGCTTTCAAGCCTATGGTGAAAAAGGAAATATCTTCCCCTGAAAACTAGACAGAAGAATTCTCAGAATCTTATTTGTGATGTGCGCCCTCAACTAACAGTGTTGAAGCTTTCTTTTGATAGAGCAGTTTTGAAACACTCTTTTTGTAAAATCTGCAAGAGGATATTTGGATAGCTTTGAGGATTTCGTTGGAAACGGGATTGTCTTCATATAAACTCTACACAGAAGCATTCTCAGAAGCGTCATTGGGATGTTTCAATTGAAGTCACAGTGTTGAACAGTCCCTTTCATAGAGCAGGTTTGAAACACTCTTTTTGTAGTATCTGGATGTGGACATTTGGAGCGCTTTCAGGCCTATGGTTTAAAAGGAAATATCTTCCCCTGAAAACTAGACAGAAGCATTCTCAGAAACTTATTTGTGATGTGCGCCTTCAACTAACAGTGTTGAAGCATTCTTTTGATAGAGCAGTTTTGAAACACTCTTTTTGTGGAATCTGCAAGTGGATATTTGTCTAGCTTTGAGGATTTCGTTGGAAACGGGATTACATATAAAAAGCAGACAGCGGCATTCCCAGAAACTTCTTTGTGATATTTGCATTCAAGTCACAGAGTTGAACATTCCCTTTCATAGAGCAGGTTTGAAACACTCTTTTTGTAGTATCTGGATGTGGACATTTGGAGCGCTTTCAGGCCTATGGTGAAAACGGAAATATCTTCCCCTGAAAACTAGACAGAAGCATTCTCAGAATCTTATTTGTGATGTGCGCCCTCAACTAACAGTGTTGAAGCTTTCTTTTGATAGAGCAGTTTTGAAACACTCTTTTTGTAAAATCTGCAGGAGGATATTTGGATAGCTTTGAGGATTTCGTTGGAAACGGGATTGTCTTCATATAAACTCTAGACAGAAGCATTCTCAGAAGCTTCATTGGGATGATTCAGTGGAAGTCACAGTGTTGAACAGTCCCTTTCATAGAGCAGGTTTGAAACACTCTTTTTGTAGTATCTGGAAGTGGACATTTGGAGTGCTCTCAGGACTGCGGTGAAAAAGGAAGTATCTTCCAATAAAAGCTACATAGAAGCAATGTCAGAAACTTTTTCATGATGTATCTACTCAGCTAACAGAGTTGAACCTTCCTTTGAGAGAGCAGTTTTGAAACACTCTTTTTGTGGAATCTGCAAGGGGATATTTGCCTAGCTTTGAGGATTTCGTTGGAAACGGGATTACATATAAAAAGCAGACAGCAGCATTCCCAGTAACTTCTTTGTGATGTTTGCATTCAAGTCAGAGAGTTGAACATTCCCTTTCATAGAGCAGGTTTGAAACACTCTTTTTGTAGTATCTGGATGTGGACATTTGCAGCGCTTTCAGGCCTAAGGTGAAAAAGGAAATATCTTCCCCTGAAAACTAGACAGAAGCATTCTCAGAAACTTATTTGTGATGTGCGCCCTCAACTAACAGTGTTGAACCTTTCTTTTGATAGAGCAGTTTTAAAACACTCTTTTTGTAATATCTGCAAGAGGATATTTGGATAGCTTTGAGGATTTCGTTGGAAACGGGATTAATTATAAAAAGCAGACAGCAGCATTCCCAGAATCTTCTTTGTGATGTTTGCATTCAAGTCACAGAGTTGAACATTCCCTTTCATAGAGCAGGTTTGAAACACTCTTTTTGTAGTATCTGGATGTGGACATTTGGAGCGCTTTCAGGCCTATGGTGAAAAAGGAAATATCTTCCCCTGAGAACTAGACAGAAGCATTCTCAGAATCTTATTTGTGATGTGCGCCCTCAACTAACAGTGTTGAAGCTTTCTTTTGATAGAGCAGTTTTGAAACACTCTTTTTGTAAAATCTGCAAGAGGATATTTGGATAGCTTTGAGGATTTCGTTGGAAACGGTATTGTCTTCATATAAACTCTAGACAGAAGCATTCTCAGAAGGTTCATTGGGATGTTTCAATTGAAGTCACAGTGTTGAACAATCACTTTCATAGAGCAGGTTTGAAACACTCTTTTTGTAGCATCTGGAAGTGGACATTTGGAGCGCTCTCAGGACTACGGTGAAAAAGGAAATATCTTCCAATAAAAGCTAGATAGAAGCAATGTCAGAAACTTTTTCATGATGTATCTACTCAGCTAAAAGAGTTGAACCTTTCTTTTGAGAGAGCAGTTTTGAAACACTATTTTTGTGGAATCTGCAAGTGGATATTTGTCTAGCTTTGAGGATTTCGTTGGAAACGGGATTACATATAAAAAGCAGACAGCAGCATTCCCAGAAAGTTCTTTTTGAAATTTGCATTCAAGTCACAGACTTGAACATTCCCTTTCATAGAGCAGGTTTGAAACACTCTTTTTGTAGTATCTGGATGCGGACATTTGGAGCGCTTTCAGGCCTATGGTGAAAAAGGAAATATCTTCCCCTGAAAACAAGACAGAAGCATTCTCAGAATCTTATTTGTGATGTGCGCCCTCAACTAACAGTGTTGAAGCTTTCTTTTGATAGAGCAGTTTTTAAACACTCTTTTTGTAAAATCTGCAAGAGGATATTTGGATAGCTTTGAGGATTTCGTTGGAAACGGGATTGTCTTCATATAGAATCTAGACAGAAGCATTCTCAGAAGCTTCATTGGGATGTTTCAATTGAAGTCACAGTGTTGAACAGTCCCTTTCATAGAGCAGGTTTGAAACACTCTTTTTGTAGTATCTGGATGTGGACATTTGGAGCGCTTTCAGGCCTATGGTGAAAAAGGAAATATCTTCCCCTGAAAACTAGACAGAAGCATTCTCAGAAACTTATTTGTGATGTGCGCCCTCAACTAACAGTGTTGAAGCTTTCTTTTGATAGAGCAGTTTTGAAACACTCTTTTTGTGGAATCTGCAAGTGGATATTTGTCTAGCTTTGAGGATTTCGTTGGAAACGGGATTACATATAAAAAGCAGACAGCAGCATTCCCAGAAACTTCTTTGTGATGTTTGCATTCAAGTCACAGAGTTGAACATTCCCTTTCAGAGAGCAGGTTTGAAACACTCTTTTTGTAGTATCTGGATGTGGACATTTGGAGCGCTTTCAGGCCTATGGTGAAAAAGGAAATATCTTCCCCTGAAAACTAGACAGAAGCATTCTCAGAAACTTATTTGTGATGTGCGCCCTCAACTAACAGTGTTGAAGCTTTCTTTTGATAGAGCAGTTTTGAAACACTCTTTTTGTAATATCTGCAAGAGGATATTTGGATAGCTTTGAGGATTTCGTTGGAAACGGGATTGTCTTCATATAAACTCTAGACAGAAGCATTCTCAGAAGCTTCATTGGGATGTTTCAATTGAAGTCACAGTGTTGAACAGTCCCTTTCATAGAGCAGGTTTGAAACACTCTTTTTGTAGTATCTGGAAGTGGACATTTGGAGCGCTCTCAGGACTACGGTGATAAAGGAAATATCTTCCAATAAAAGCTAGATAGAAGCAATGTCAGAAACTTTTTCATGATGTATCTACTCAGCTAACAGAGTTGAACCTTTCTTTTGAGAGAGCAGTTTTGAAACACTCTTCTTGTGGAATCTGCAAGTGGATATTTGTCTAGCTTTGAGGATTTCGTTGGAAACGGGATTACATATAAAAAGCAGACAGCAGCATTCCCAGAATCTTCTTTGTGATGTTTGCATTCAAGTCACAGAGTTGAACATTCCCTTTCATAGAGCAGGTTTGAAACACTCTTTTTGTAGTATCTGGATGTGGACATTTGGAGCGCTTTCAGGCCTATGGTGAAAAAGGAAATATCTTCCCCTGAAAACTAGACAGAAGCATTCTCAGAAACTTATTTGTGATGTGCACCCTCAACTAACAGTGTTGAAGCTTTCTTTTGATAGAGCAGTTTTGAAACACTCTTTTTGTAAAATCTGCAAGAGGATATTTGGATAGCTTTGAGGATTTCGTTGGAAACGGGATTGTCTTCATATAAACTCTAGACAGAAGCATTCTCAGAAGCTTCATTGGGATGTTTCAATTGAAGTCACAGTGTTGAACAGTCCCTTTCATAGAGCAGGTTTGAAACACTCTTTTTGTAGTATCTGGAAGTGGACATTTGGAACGCTCTCAGGACTGCGGTGAAAAAGGAAATATCTTCCAATAAAAGCTAGATAGAAGCAATGTCAGAAACTTTTTCATGATGTATCTACTCAGCTAACAGAGTTGAACCTTCCTTTGAGAGAGCAGTTTTGAAACACTCTTTTTGTGGAATCTGCAAGTGGATATTTGTCTAGCTTTGAGGATTTCGTTGGAAACGGGATTACATATAAAAAGCAGACAGCAGCATTCCCAGAAACTTCTTTGTGATGTTTGCATTCAAGTCACAGAGTTGAACATTTCCTTTCATAGAGCAGGTTTGAAACACTCTTTTTGTAGTATCTGGATGTGGACATTTGCAGCGCTTTCAGGCCTAAGGTGAAAAAGGAAATATCTTCCCCTGAAAACTAGACAGAAGCATTCTCAGAATCTTATTTGTGATGTGCGCACTCAACTAACAGTGTTGAAGCTTTCTTTCGATAGAGCAGTTTTGAAACACTCTTTTTGTAAAATCTGCAAGAGGATATTTGGATAGCTTTGAGGATTTCGTTGGAAACGGGATTGTCTTCATATAAACTCTAGACAGAAGCATTCTCAGAAGCTTCATTGGGATGTTTCAATTGAAGTCACAGTGTTGAACAGTCCCTTTCATAGAGCAGGTTTGAAACACTCTTTTTGTAGTATCTGGAAGTGGACATTTGGAGCGCTCTCAGGACTACGGTGAAAAAGGAAATATCTTCCAATAAAAGCTAGATAGAAGCAATGTCAGAAACATTTTCATGATGCATCTACTCAGCTAATAGAGTTGAACCTTTCTTTTGAGAGAGCAGTTTTGAAACACTCTTTTTGTGGAATCTGCAAGTGGATATTTGTCTAGCTTTGAGGATTTCGTTGGAAACGGGATTACATATAAAAAGCAGACAGCAGCATTACCAGAAAGTTCTTTGTGAAATTTGCATTCAAGTCACAGACTTGAACATTTCCTTTCATAGAGCAGGTTTGAAACACTCTTTTTGTAGTATCTGGATGTGGACATTTGGAGCGCTTTCAGGCCTATGGTGAAAAAGGAAATATCTTCCCCTGAAAACTAGACAGAAGCATTCTCAGAAACTTATTTGTGATGTGCGCCCTCAACTAACAGTGTTGAAGCTTTCTTTTGATAGAGCAGTTTTGAAACACTCTTTTTGTAAAATCTGCAAGAGGATATTTGGATAGCTTGGAGGATTTCGTTGGAAACGGGATTGTCTTCATATTAACCCTAGACAGTTGCATTCTCAGAAGCTTCATTGGGATGTTTCAATTGAAGTCACAGTGTTGAACAGTCCCTTTCATAGAGCAGGTTTGAAACCCTCTTTTTGTAGCATCTGGAAGTGGACATTTGGAGCGTTCTCAGGACTACGGTGAAAAAGGAAATATCTTCCAATAAAAGCTAGATAGAAGCAATGTCAGAAACTTTTTCATGATGTATCTACTCATCTAACAGAGTTGAACCTTTCCTTTGAGAGAGCAGTTTTGAAACACTCTTTTTGTGGAATCTGCAAGTGGATATTTGTCTAGCTTTGAGGATTTCGTTGGAAACGGGATTACATATAAAAAGCAGACAGCAGCATTCCCAGAATCTTGTTTGTGATGTTTGCATTCAAGTCACAGAGTTGAACATTCCCTTTCAGAGAGCAGGTTTGAAACTCTCTTTTTATAGTATCTGGATGTGGACATTTGGAGCGCTTTCAGGCCTATGGTGAAAAAGGAAATATCTTCTCCTGAAAACTAGACAGAAGCATTCTCAGAATCTTATTTGTGATGTGCGCCCTCAACTAACAGTGTTGAAGCTTTCTTTTGATAGAGCAGTTTTGAAACACTCTTTTTGTAAAATCTGCAGGAGGATATTTGGATAGCTTGAGGATTTCGTTGGAAACGGGATTGTCTTCATATAAACTCTAGACAGAAGCATTCTCAGAAGCTTCATTGGGATGATTCAGTTGAAGTCACAGTGTTGAACAGTCCCTTTCATAGAGCAGGTTTGAAACACTCTTTTTGTAGTATCTGGAAGTGGACATTTGGAGTGCTCTCAGGACTGCGGTGAAAAAGGAAGTATCTTCCAATAAAAGCTACATAGAAGCAATGTCAGAAACTTTTTCGTGAAGTATCTACTAAGCTAACAGAGTTGAACCTTTCTTTTGAGAGAGCAGTTTTGAAACACTCTTTTTGTGGAATCTGCAAGTGGATATTTGTCTAGCTTTGAGGATTTCGTTGGAAACGGGATTACATATAAAAAGCAGACAGCAGCATTCCCAGAAACTTCTTTGTGATGTTTGCATTCAAGTCACACAGTTGAACATTCCCTTTCATAGAGCAGGTTTGAAACACTCTTTTTGTAGTATCTGGATGTGGACATTTGGAGCGCTTTCAGCCCTATGGTGAAAAAGGAAATATCTTCTCCTGAAAACTAGACAGAAGCATTCTCAGAAACTTATTTGTGATGTGCGCCCTCAACTAACAGTGTTGAACCTTTCTTTTGATAGAGCAGTTTTGAAACACTCTTTTTGTAATATCTGCAAGAGGATATTTGGATAGCTTTGAGGATTTCGTTGGAAACGGGTTTGTCTTCATATAAACTCTAGACAGAAGCATTCTCAGAAGCTTCATTGGGATGTTTCAATTGAAGTCACAGTGTTGAACAGTCCCTTTGATAGAGCAGGTTTGAAACACTCTTTTTGTAGTATCTGGATGTGGACATTTGCAGCGCTTTCAGGCATAAGGTGAAAAAGGAAATATCTTCCCCTGAAAACTAGACAGAAGCATTCTCAGAAACTTATTTGTGATGTGCGCCCTCAACTAACAGTGTTGAAGATTTCTTTTGATAGAGCAGTTTTGAAACACTCTTTTTGTAATATCTGCAAGAGGATATTTGGATAGCTTTGAGGATTTCGTTGGAAACGGGATTGTCTTCATATAAACTCTAGACAGAAGCATTCCCAGAAGCTTCATTGGGATGTTTCAATTGAAGTCACAGTGTTGAACAGTTCCTTTCATAGAACAGGTTTGAAACACTCTTTTTGTAGTATCTGGAAGTGGACATTTGGAGCGCTCTCAGGACTGTGGTGAAAAAGGAAATATCTTCCAATAAAAGCTACATAGAAGCAATGTCAGAAACTTTTTCATGATGTATCTACTCAGCTAACAGAATTGAACCTTTCCTTTGAGAGAGCAGTTTTGAAACACTCTTTTTGTGGAATCTGCAAGTGGATATTTGTCTAGCTTTGAGGATTTCGTTGGAAACGGGATTACATATAAAAAGCAGACAGCAGCATTCCCAGTAACTTCTTTCTGATGTTTGCATTCAAGTCACAGAGTTGAACATTCCCTTTCATAGAGCAGGTTTGAAACACTCTTTTTGTAGTATCTGGATGTGGACATTTGGAGCGCTTTCAGGCCTATGGTGAAAAAGGAAATATCTTCCCCTGAAAACTAGACAGAAGCATTCTCAGAAACTTATTTGTGATGTGCGCCCTCAACTAACAGTGTTGAACCTTTCTTTTGATAGAGCAGTTTTGAAACACTCTTTTTGTAATATCTGCAAGAGGATATTTGGATAGCTTTGAGGATTTCGTTGGAAACGGGATTACATATAAAAAGCAGACAGCAGCATTCCCAGAATCTTGTTTGTGATGTTTGCATTCAAGTCACAGAGTTGAACATTCCCTTTCAGAGAGCAGGTTTGAAACACTCTTTTTATAGTGTCTGGATGTGGACATTTGGAGCGCTTTCAGGCCTATGGTGAAAAAGGAAATATCTTCTCCTGTAAACTAGACAGAAGCATTCTCAGAAACTTATTTGTGATGTGTGCCCTCAACTAACAGTGTTGAAGCTTTCTTTTGATAGAGCAGTTTTGAAACACTCTTTTTGTAAAATCTGCAAGAGGATATTTGGATAGCTTTGAGGATTTCGTTGGAAACGGGATTGTCTTCATATAAACTCTAGACAGAAGCATTCTCAGAAGCTTCATTGGGATGTTTCAATTGAAGTCACAGTGTTGAACAGTCCCTTTCATAGAGCAGGTTTGAAACACTCTTTTTGTAGTATCTGGAAGTGGACATTTGGAACGCTCTCAGGACTGCGGTGAAAAAGGAAATATCTTCCAATAAAAGCTAGATAGAAGCAATGTCAGAAACTTTTTCATGATGTATCTACTCAGCTAACAGAGTTGAACCTTCCTTTGAGAGAGCAGTTTTGAAACACTCTTTTTGTGGAATCTGCAAGTGGATATTTGTCTAGCTTTGAGGATTTCGTTGGAAACGGGATTACATATAAAAAGCAGACAGCAGCATTCCCACAAACTTCTTTGTGATGTTTGCATTCAAGTCACAGAGTTGAACATTCCCTTTCATAGAGCAGGTTTGAAACACTCTTTTTGTAGTATCTGGATGTGGACATTTGGAGCGCTTTCAGGCCTATGGTGAAAAAGGAAATATCTTCCCCTGAAAACTAGACAGAAGCATTCTCAGAAACTTATTTGTGATGTGCGCCCTCAACTAACAGTGTTGAACCTTTCTTTTGATAGAGCAGTTTTGAAACACTCTTTTTGTAAAATCTGCAAGAGGATATTTGGATAGCTTTGAGGATTTCGTTGGAAACGGGATTGTCTTCATATAAACTCTAGACAGAAGCATTCTCAGAAGCTTCATTGGGATGTTTCAATTGAAGTCACAGTGTTGAACAGTCCCTTTCATAGAGCAGGTTTGAAACACTCTTTTTGTAGTATCTGGATGTGGACATTTGGAGCGCTTTCAGGCCTATGGTTTAAAAGGAAATATCTTCCCCTGAAAACTAGACAGAAGCATTCTCAGAAACTTATTTGTGATGTGCGCCCTCAACTAACAGTGTTGAAGCTTTCTTTTGATAGAGCAGTTTTGAAACACTCTTTTTGTGGAATCTGCAAGTGGATATTTGTCTAGCTTTGAGGATTTCGTTGGAAACGGGATTACATATAAAAAGCAGACAGCAGGATTCCCAGAAATTTCTTTGTGATGTTTGCATTCAAGTCACAGAATTGAACATTCCCTTTCATAGAGCAGGTTTGAAACACTCTTTTTGTAGTATCTGGATGTGGACATTTGGAGCGCTTTCAGGCCTATGGTGAAAAAGGAAGTATCTTCCCCTGAAAACTAGACAGAAGCATTCTCAGAAACTTATTTGTGATGTGCGCCCTCAACTAACAGTGTTGAAGCTTTCTTTTGATAGAGCAGTTTTGAAACACTCTTTTTGTAATATCTGCAAGAGGATATTTGGATAGCTTTGAGGATTTCGTTGGAAACGGGATTAATTATAAAAAGCAGACAGCAGCATTCCCAGAATCTTGTTTGTGATGTTTGCATTCAAGTCACAGAGTTGAACATTCCCTTTCAGAGAGCAGGTTTGAAACACTCTTTTTATAGTATCTGGATGTGGACATTTGGAGCGCTTTCAGGCCTATGGTGAAAAAGGAAATATCTTCTCCTGAAAACTAGACAGAAGCATTCTCAGAATCTTATTTGTGATGTGCGCCCTCAACTAACAGTGTTGAAGCTTTCTTTTGATAGAGCAGTTTTGAAACACTCTTTTCGTAAAATCTGCAAGAGGATATTTTGATAGCTTTCAGGATTTCGTTGGAAACGGGATTGTCTTCATATAAAATCTAGACAGAAGCATTCTGAGAAGCTTCATTGGGATGTTTCAATTGAAGTCACAGTGTTGAACAGTCCCTTTCATAGAGCAGGTTTGAAACACTCTTTTTGTAGTATCTGGAAGTGGACATTTGGAGAGATCTCAGGAATACGGTGATAAAGGAAATATCTTCCAATGAAAGCTACATAGAAGCAATGTCAGAAACTTTTTCATGATGTATCTACTCAGCTAACAGAGTTGAACCTTTCCTTTGAGAGAGCAGTTTTGAAACACTCTTTTTGTGGAATCTGCAAGTGGATATTTGTCTAGCTTTGAGGATTTCGTTGGAAACGGGATTATCTTCATATAAACTCTAGACAGAAGCATTCCCAGAATCTTGTTTGTGATGTTTGCATTCAAGTCACAGAGTTGAATATTCCCTTTCAGAGAGCAGGTTTGAAACACTCTTTTTATAGTATCTGGATGTGGACATTTGGAGCGCTTTCAGGCCTATGGTGAAAAAGGAAATATCTTCTCCTGAAATCTAGACAGAAGCATTCTCAGAAACTTATTTGTGATGTGCGCCCTCAACTAACAGTGTTGAAGCATTCTTTTGATAGAGCAGTTTTGAAACACTCGTTTTGTGGAATCTGCAAGTGGATATTTGTCTAGCTTTGAGGATTTCGTTGGAAACGGGATTACATATAAAAAGCAGACAGCAGCATTCCCAGAAACTTCTTTGTGATGTTTGCATTCAAGTCACAGAGTTGAACATTCCCTTTCATAGAGCAGGTTTGAAATACTCTTTTTGTAGTATCTGGATGTGTACATTTGCAGCGCTTTCAGGCCTAAGGTGAAAAAGGAAATATCTTCCCCTGAAAACTAGACAGAAGCATTCTCAGAAACTTATTTGTGATGTGCGCCCTCAACTAACAGTGTTGAAGCTTTCTTTTGATAGAGCAGTTTTGAAACACTCTTTTTGTAATATCTGCAAGAGGATATTTGGATAGCTTTGAGGATTTCGTTGGAAACGGGATTGTCTTCATATAAACTCTAGACAGAAGCATTCTCAGAAGCTTCATTGGGATGTTTCAATTGAAGTCACAGTGTTGAACAGTTCCTTTCATAGAACAGGTTTGAAACACTCTTTTTGTAGTATCTGGAAGTGGACATTTGGAGCGCTCTCAGGACTATGGTGAAAAAGGAAATATCTTCCAATAAAAGCTACATAGAAGCAATGTCAGAAACTTTTTCATGATGTATCTACTCAGCTAAGAGAGTTGAACCTTTCTTTTGAGAGAGCAGTTTTGAAACACTCTTTTTGTGGAATCTGGAAGTGGATATTTGTCTAGCTTTGAGGATTCCGTTGGAAACGGGATTACATATAAAAAGCAGACAGCAGCATTCCCAGTAACTTCTTTGTGATGTTTGCATTCAAGTCACAGAGTTGAACATTCCCTTTCATAGAGCAGGTTTGAAACACTCTTTTTGTAGTATCTGGATGTGGACATTTGGAGCGCTTTCAGGCCTATGGTGAAAAAGGAAATATCTTCCCCTGAAAACTAGACAGAAGCATTCTCAGAAACTTATTTGTGATGTGCGCCCTCAACTAACAGTGTTGAACCTTTCTTTTGATAGAGCAGTTTTGAAACACTCTTTTTGTAATATCTGCAAGAGGATATTTGGATAGCTTTGAGGATTTCGTTGGAAACGGGATTACATATAAAAAGCAGACAGCAGCATTCCCAGAAATTTCTTTGTGTTGTTTGCATTCAAGTCACAGAGTTGAACATTCCCTTTCATAGAGCAGGTTTGAAACACTCTTTTTGTAGTATCTGGATGTGGACATTTGCAGCGCTTTCAGGCCTAAGGTGAAAAAGGAAATATCTTCCCCTGAAAACTAGACAGAAGCATTCTCAGAAACTTATTTGTGATGTGCGCCCTCAACTAACAGTGTTGAAGCTTTCTTTTGATAGAGCAGTTTTGAAACACTCTTTTTGTAATATCTGCAAGAGGATATTTGGATAGCTTTGAGGATTTCGTTGGAAACGGGATTGTCTTCATATAAACTCTAGACAGAAGCATTCTCAGAAGCGTCATTGGGATGTTTCAATTGAAGTCACAGTGTTGAACAGTCCCTTTCATAGAGCAGGTTTGAAACACTCTTTTTGTAGTATCTGGAAGTGGACATTTGGAGCGCTCTCAGGACTCCGGTGATAAAGGAAATATCTTCCAATAAAAGCTAGATAGAAGCAATGTCAGAAACTTTTTCATGATGTATCTACACAGCTAAGAGAGTTGAACCTTTCTTTTGAGAGAGCAGTTTTGAAACACTCTTTTTGTGGAATCTGCAAGTGGATATTTGTCTAGCTTTGAGGATTTCGTTGGAAACGGGATTACATATAAAAAGCAGACAGCAGCATTCCCAGTAACTTCTTTGTGATGTTTGCATTCAAGTCACAGAGTTGAACATTCCCTTTCATAGAGCAGGTTTGAAACACTTTTTTTGTAGTATCTGGATGTGGACATTTGGAGCGCTTTCAGGCCTATGGTGAAAAAGGAAATATCTTCCAATAAAAGCTACATAAAAGCAAGGTCAGAAACTTTTTCATGATGTATCTACTCAGCTAACAGAGTTGAACCTTTCTTTTCAGAGAGCAGTTTTGAAACACTCTTTTTGTGGAATCTGCAAGTGGATATTTGTCTAGCTTTGGGGATTTCGTTGGAAACGGGATTACATATAAAAAGCAGACAGCAGCATTCCCAGAAACTTCTTTGTGATATTTGCATTCAAGTCACAGACTTGAACATTCCCTTTCATAGAGCAGGTTTGAAACACTCTTTTTGTAGTATCTGGATGTGGACGTTTGGAGCGCTTTCAGGCCTATGGTGAAAAAGGAAATATCTTCCCCTGAAAACTAGACAGAAGCATTCTCAGAAACTTATTTGTGATGTGCGCCCTCAACTAACAGTGTTGAACTTTTCTTTTGATAGAGCAGTTTTGAAACACTCTTTTTGTAAAATCTGCAAGAGGATATTTGGATAGCTTTGAGGATTTCGTTGGAAACGGGATTGTCTTCATATAAAATCTAGACAGAAGCATTCTCAGAAGCTTCATTGGGATGTTTCAATTGAAGTCACAGTGTTGAACAGTCCCTTTCATAGAGCATGTTTGAAACAATCTTTTTGTAGTATCTGGAAGTGGACATTTGGAGCGCTCTCAGGACTACGGTGAAAAAGGAAATATCTTCCAAATAAAGCTAGATAGAAGCAATGTCAGAGAATTTTTCATGATGTATCTACTCAGCTAACAGAGTTGAACCTTTCTTTTGAGAGAGCCGTTTTGAAACACTCTTTTTGTGGAATCTGCAAGTGGATATTGGTCTAGCTTTGAGGATTTCGTTGGAAACGGGATTACATAGAAAAAGCAGACAGCAGCATTCCCAGAAACTTCTTTGTGATATTTGCATTCAAGTCACAGACTTGAACATTCCCTTTCATAGAGCAGGTTTGAAACACTCTTTTTGTAGTATCTGGATGTGGACATTTGGAGCGCTTTCAGGCCTATGGTGAAAAAGGAAATATCTTCCCCTGAAAACTAGACAGAAGCATTCTCAGAAACTTATTTGTGATGTGCGCCCTCAACTAATAGTGTTGAAGCTTTCTTTTGATAGAGCAGTTTTGAAACACTCTTTTTGTAAAATCTGCAAGAGGATATTTGGATAGCTTTGAGGATTTCGTTGGAAACGGGATTGTCTTCATATACAATCTAGACAGAAGCATTCTCAGAAGCTTCATTGGGATGTTTCAATTGAAGTCACAGTGTTGAACAGTCCCTTTCGTAGAGCAGGTTTGAAACACTCTTTTTGTAATATCTGGAAGTGGACATTTGGAGCGTTCTCAGGACTATGGTGAAAAAGGAAATATCTTCCAATAAAAGCTAGATAGAAGCAATGTCAGAAACTTTTTCATGATGTATCTACTCAGCTAACAGAGTTGAACCTTTCTTTTGAGAGAGCAGTTTTGAAACACTCTTTTTGTGGAATCTGCAAGTGGATATTTGTCTAGCATTGAGGATTTCGTTGGAAACGGGATTACATATAAAAAGCAGACAGCAGCATTCCCAGAAACTTCTTTGTGACGTTTGCATTCAAGTCACAGAGTTGAACATTCCCTTTCATAGAGCAGGTTTGAAACACTCTTTTTGTAGTATCTGGATGTGGACATTTGGAGCGCTTTCAGGCCTATGGTGAAAAAGGAAATATCTTCCCCTGAAAACTAGACAGAAGCATTCTCAGAATCTTATTTGTGATGTGCGCCCTCAACTAACAGTGTTGAAGCTTTCTTTTGATAGAGCAGTTTTGAAACACTCTTTTTGTGAAATCTGCAAGAGGATATTTGGATAGATTTGAGGATTTCTTTGGAAACGGTATTGTCTTCATATAAACTCTAGACAGAAGCATTCTCAGAAGCTTCATTGGGATGTTTCAATTGAAGTCACAGTGTTGAACAGTCCCTTTCATAGAGCAGGTTTGAAACACTCTTTTTGTAGTATCTGGATGTGGACATTTAGAGCGCTTTCAGGCCTATGGTGAAAAAGGAAATATCTTCCCCTGAAAACTAGACAGAAGCATTCTCAGAAACTTATTTGTGATGTGCGCCCTCAACTAACAGTGTTGAAGCTTTCTTTTGATAGAGCAGTTTTGAAACACTCTTTTTGTGGAATCTGCAAGTGGATATTTGTCTAGCTTTGAGGATTTCTTTGGAAACGGGATTACATATAAAAAGCAGACAGCAGCATTCTCAGAAACTTATTTGTGATGTGCGCCCTCAACTAACAGTGTTGAAGCTTTCTTTTGATAGAGCAGTTTTGAAACACTCTTTTTGTAATATCTGCAAGAGGATATTTGGATAGCTTTGAGGATTTCGTTGGAAACGGGATTAATTATACAAAGCAGACAGCAGCATTCTCAGAAGCTTCATTGGGATGTTTCAATTGAAGTCACAGTGTTGAACATTCCCTTTCATAGAGCAGGTTTGAAACACTCTTTTTGTAGTATCTGGAAGTGGACATTTGGAGCGCTCTCAGGACTACGGTGAAAAAGGAAGTATCTTCCAATAAAAGCTAGATAGAAGCAATGTCAGAAACTTTTTCATGATGTATCTACTCAGCTAACAGAGTTGAACCTTTCTTTTGAGAGAGCAGTTTTGAAACACTCTTTTTGTGGAATCTGCAAGTGGATATTTGTCTAGCTTTGAGGATTTCGTTGGAAACGGGATTACATATAAAAAGTACACAGCAGCATTCCCAGAAACTTCTTTGTGAAGTTTGCATTCAAGTCACAGAGTTGAACATTCCCTTTCATAGAGCAGGTTTGAAACACTCTTTTTGTAGTATCTGGATGTGGACATTTGGAGCGCTTTCAGGCCTATGGTGAAAAAGGAAATATCTTCCCCTGAAAACTAGACAGAAGCATTCTCAGAATCTTATTTGTGATGTGCGCCCTCAACTAACAGTGTTGAAGCTTTCTTTTGATAGAGCAGTTTTGAAACAGTCTTTTCGAAAAATCTGCAAGAGGATATTTTGATAGCTTTGAGGATTTCGTTGGAAACGGGATTGTCTTCATATAAACTCTAGACAGAAGCATTCTCAGAAGCTTCATTGGGATGTTTCAATTGAAGTCACAGTGTTGAACAGTCCCTTTCATAGAGCAGGTTTGAAACACTCTTTTTGTAGTATCTGGAAGTGGACATTTGGAGCGTTCTCAGGACTACGGTGAAAAAGGAAATATCTTCCAATAAAAGCTAGATAGAAGCAATGTCAGAAAATTTTTCATGATGTGTCTACTCAGCTAACAGAGTTGAACCTTTCTTGTGAGAGAGCCGTTTTGAAACACTCTTTTTGTGGAATCTGCAAGTGGATATTTGTCTAGCTTTGAGGATTTCGTTGGAAACGGGATTACATATAAAAAGCAGACAGCAGCATTCCCAGAAACTTCTTTGTGACGTTTGCATTCAAGTCACAGAGTTGAACATTCCCTTTCATAGAGCAGGTTTGAAACACTCTTTTTGTAGTATCTGGATGTGGACATTTGGAGCGCTTTCAGGCCTATGGTGAAAAAGGAAATATCTTCCCCTGAAAACTAGACAGAAGCATTCTCAGAATCTTATTTGTGATGTGCGCCCTCAACTAACAGTGTTGAAGCTTTCTTTTGATAGAGCAGTTTTGAAACACTCTTTTTGTAAAATCTGCAAGAGGATATTTGGATAGCTTTGAGGATTTCGTTGGAAACGGGATTGTCTTCATATAAACTCCAGACAGAAGCATTCTCAGAAGCTTCATTGGGATGTTTCAATTGAAGTCACAGTGTTGAACAGTCCCTTTCATAGAGCAGGTTTGAAACACTCTTTTTGTAGTATCTGGAAGTGGACATTTGGAGCGTTCTCAGGACTGCGGTTAAAAAGGAAATATCTTCCAATAAAAGCTAGATAGAAGCAATGTCAGAAACTTTTTCATGATGTATCTACTCAGCTAACAGAGTTGAACCTTCCTTTGAGAGAGCAGTTTTGAAACACTCTTTTTGTGGAATCTGCAAGTGGATATTTGTCTAGCTTTGAGGATTGCGTTGGAAACGGGATTACATATAAAAAGCAGACAGCAGCATTCCCAGAATCTTGTTTGTGATGTTTGCATTCAAGTCACAAAGTTGAACATTCCCTTTCAGAGAGCAGGTTTGAAACACTCTTTTTATAGTATCTGGATGTGGACATTTGGAGCGCTTTCAGGCCTATGGTGAAAAAGGAAACATCTTCTCCTGAAAACTAGACAGAAGCATTCTCAGAATCTTATTTGTGATGTGCGCCCTCAACTAACAGTGTTGAAGCTTTCTTTTGATAGAGCAGTTTTGAAACACTCTTTTCGTAAAATCTGCAAGAGGATATTTTGATAGCTTTGAGGATTTCGTTGGAAACGGGATTGTCTTCATATAAACTCTAGACAGAAGCATTCTCAGAAGCTTCATTGGGATGTATCAACTGAAGTCACAGTGTTGAACAGTCCCTTTCATAGAGCAGGTTTGAAACACTCTTTTTGTAGTATCTGGAAGTGGACATTTGGAGCGTTCTCAGGACTACGGTGAAAAAGGAAGTATCTTCCAATAAAAGCTAGATAGAAGCAATGTCAGAAAATTTTTCATGATGTATCTACTCAGCTAAAAGAGTTGAACCTTTCTTTTGAGAGAGCAGTTTTGAAACACTATTTTTGTGTAATCTGCAAGTGGATATTTGTCTAGTATTGAGGATTGCGTTGCAAACGGGATTACATATAAAAAGCAGACAGCAGCATTCCCAGAAACTTCTTTGCGATATTTGCATTCAAGTCACAGACTTGAACATTCCCTTTCATAGAGCAGGTTTGAAACACTCTTTTTGTAGTATGTGGATGTGGACATTTGGAGCGCTTTCAGGCCTATGGTGAAAAAGGAAATATCTTCCCCTGCAAACTAGATAGAAGCATTCTCAGAAACTTATTTGTGATGTGCGCCCTCAACTAACAGTGTTAAACCTTTCTTTTGATAGAGTAGTTTTGAAACACTCTTTTTGTAAAATCTGCAAGAGGATATTTGGATAGCTTTGAGGATTTCGTTGGAAACGGGATTGTCTTCATATAAAATCTAGACAGAAGCATTCTCAGAAGCTTCATTGGGATGTTTCAATTGAAGTCACAGTGTTGAACAGTCCCTTTCATAGAGCAGGTTTGAAACACTCTTTTTGTAGTATCTGGAAGTGGACATTTGGAGCGCTCTCAGGACTACGGTGAAAAAGGAAATATCTTCCAATAAAAGCTAGATAGAAGGAATGTCAGAAAATTGTTCATGATGTATCTACTCAGCTAACAGAGTTGAACCTTTCTTTTGAGACAGCAGTTTTGAAACACTCTTTTGGTGGAATCTGCAAGTGGATATTTGTCTAGCTTTGAGGATTTCGTTGCAAACGGGATTACATATAAAAAGCAGACAGCTGCATTCCCAGAAACTTCTTTGTGATGTTTGCATTCAAATCACAGAGTTGAACATTCACTTTCATAGAGCAGGTTTGAAACACTCTTTTTGTAGTATCTGGATGTGGACATTTGGAGCGCTTTCAGGCCTATGGTGAAAAAGGAAATATCTTCCCCTGAAAACTAGACAGAAGCATTCTCAGAAACTTATTTGTGATGTGCGCCCTCAACTAACAGTGTTGAACCTTTCTTTTGATAGAGCAGTTTTGAAACACTCTTTTTGTAAAATCTGCAAGAGGATATTTGGATAGCTTTGAGGATTTCGTTGGAAACGGGATTGTCTTCATATAGAATCTAGACAGAAGCATTCTCAGAAGCTTCATTGGGATGTTTCAGTTGAAGTCACAGTGTTGAACAGTCCCTTTCATAGAGCAGGTTTGAAACACTCTTTTTGTAGTATCTGGAAGTGGACATTTGGAGCGTTCTCAGGACTACAGTGAAAAAGGAAATATCTACCAATAAAAGCTAGATAGAAGCAATGTCAGAAACTTTTTCATGATGTATCTACTCAGCTAACAGAGTTGAACCTTTCTTTTGAGAGAGCCGTTTTGAAACACTCTTTTTGTGGAATCTGCAAGTGGATATTTGTCTACCTTTGAGGATTTCGTTGGAAACGGGATTACACATAAAAAGCAGACAGCAGCATTCCCAGAAACTTCTTTGTGATGTTTGCATTCAAGTCACAGAGTTGAATATTCCCTTTCATAGAGCAGGTTTGAAACACTCTTTTTGTAGTATCTGGATGTGGACATTTGGAGCGCTTTCAGGCCTACGGTGAAAAAGGAAATATCTTCCCCTGAAAACTAGACAGAAGCATTCTCAGAATCTTATTTGTGATGTGCGCCCTCAACTAACACTGTTGAACTTTTCTTTTGATAGAGCTGTTTTGAAACACTCTTTTTGTAAAATCTGCAAGAGGATATTTGGATAGCTTTGAGGATTTCGTTTGAAACGGGATTGTCTTCATATAAACTCTAGACAGAAGCATTCTCAGAAGCTTCATTGGGATGTTTCAATTGAAGTCACTGTGTTGAACAGTCCCTTTCATAGAGTATGTTTGAAACACTCTTTTTGTAGTATCTGGAAGTTGACATTTGGAGCGTTTTCAGGACTACGGTGAAACAGGAAATATCTTCCAAATAAAGCTAGGTAGAAGCAATGTCAGAAAATTTTTCATGATGTATCTACTCAGCTAACAGAATTGAACCTTTCTTTTGAGAGAGCAGTTTTGAAACACTCTTTTTGTGGAATCTGCAAGTGGATATTTGTCTAGCTTTGAGGATTTCGTTGGAAACGGGATTACATATAAAAAGCAGACAGCAGCATTCCCAGAAACTTTTTTGTGATGTTTGCATTCAAGTCACAGAGTTGAACATTCCCTTTCATAGAGCAGGTTTGAAACACTCTTTTTGTAGAATCTGGATGTGGATATTTGGATCGCTTTCAGGCCTATGGTGAATAAGGAAATATCTTCCCCTGAAAACAAGACAGAAGTATTCTCAGAAACTTATTTGTGATGTGCGCCCTCAACTAACAGTGTTGAAGTTTTCTTTTGATATAGCAGTTTTGAAACATTCTTTTTGTAAAATCTGCAAGAGGATACTTGGATAGCTTTGAGGATTTCGTTGGAAACGGGATTGTCTTCATATTAACCCTAGACAGTAGCATTCTCAGAAGCTTCATTGGGATGTTTCAATTGAAGTCACAGTGTTGAACAGTCCCTTTCATAGAGCAGGTTTGAAACACTCTTTTTGTAGTATCTGGATGTGGACATTTGGAGCGCTTTCAGGCCTATGGTGAAAAAGGAAATATCTTCCCCTGAAAACTAGACAGAAGCATTCTCAGAAACTTATTTGTGATGTGCGCCCTCAACTAACAGTGTTGAAGCTTTCTTTTGATAGAGCAGTTTTGAAACACTCTTTTTGTGGAATCTGCAAGTGGATATTTGTCTAGCTTTGAGGATTTCGTTGGAAACGGGATTACATATAAAAAGCAGACAGCAGCATTCCCAGAAACTTCTTTGTGATGTTTGCATTGAAGTCACAGAGTTGAACATTCCCTTTCATAGAGCAGGTTTGAAACACTCTTTTTGTAGTATCTGTATTTGGACATTTGGAGCGCTTTCAGGCCTATGGTGAAAAAGGAAATATCTTCCACTGAAAACTAGACAGAAACATTCTCAAAATCTTATTTGTGATGTGCGCCCTCAACTAACAGTGTTGAAGCTTTCTTTTGATAGAGCAGTTTTGAAACACTCTTTTTGTAAAATCTGCAAGAGGATATTTGGATAGCTTTGAGGATTTCGTTGGAAACGGGATTGTCTTCATATAAACTCTAGACAGAAGCATTCTCAGAAGCTTCATTGGGATGTTTCAATTGAAGTCACAGTGTTGAACAGTCCCTTTCATAGAGCAGGTTTGAAACACTCTTTTTGTAGTATCTGGAAGTGGACATTTGGAGCGCTCTCAGGACTACGGTGAAAAAGGAAATATCTTCCAATAAAAGCTACATAGAAGCAATGTCAGAAACTTTTTCATGATGTATCTACTCAGCTAACAGAGTTGAACCTTTCCTTTGAGAGAGCAGTTTTGAAACACTCTTTTTGTGGAATCTGCAAGTGGATATTTGTCTAGCTTTGAGGATTTCGTTGGAAACGGGATTACATATAAAAAGCAGACAGCAGCATTCCCAGAAACTTCTTTGTGATGTTTGCATTCAAGTCACAGAGTTGAACATTCCCTTTCATAGAGCAGGTTTGAAACACTCTTTTTGTAGTATCTGGATGTGGACATTTGGAGCGCTTTCAGGCCTATGGTGAAAAAGGAAATATCTTCCCCTGAGAACTAGACAGAAGCATTCTCAGAAACTTATTTGTGATGTGTGCCCTCAACTAACAATGTTGAACCTTTCTTTTGATAGAGCAGTTTTGAAACACTATTTTGTTAAATCTGCAAGAGGATATTTGGATAGCTTTGAGGATTTCGTTGGAAACGGGATTGTCTTCATATAAACTCTAGACAGAAGCATTCTCAGAAGCTTCATTGGGATGTTTCAGTTGAAGTCACAGTGTTGAACAGTCCCTTTCATAGAGCAGGTTTGAAACACTCTTTTTGTAGTATCTGGAAGTGGACATTTGCAGCGCTCTCAGGACTGCGGTGAAAAAGGAAATATCTTCCAATAAAAGCTAGATAGAAGCAATGTCAGAATCTTTTTCATGATGTGTCTACTCAGCTAACAGAGTTGAACCTTCCTTTGAGAGAGCAGTTTTGAAACACTCTTTTTGTGGAATCTGCAAGTGGATATTTGTCTAGCTTTGAGGATTTCGTTGGAAACGGGATTACATATAAAAAGCAGACAGCAGCATTCCCAGAAACTTCTTTGTGATGTTTGCATTCAAGTCACAGAGTTGAACATTCCCTTTCAGAGAGCAGGTTTGAAACACTCTTTTTGTAGTATCTGTATGTGGACATTTGGAGCGCTTTCAGGCCTATGGTGAAAAAGGAAATATACTTCCCCTGAAAACTAGACAGAAGCATTCTCAGAATCTTATTTGTGATGTGCGCCCTCAACTAACAGTGTTGAAGCTTTCTTTTGATAGAGCAGTTTTGAAACACTCTTTTTGTAAAATCTGCAAGAGGATATTTGGATAGCTTTGAGGATTTCGTTGGAAACGGGATTGTCTTCATATAAACTCTAGACAGAAGCATTCTCAGAAGCTTCATTGGGATGTTTCAATTGAAGTCACAGTGTTGAACAGTCCCTTTCATAGAGCAGGTTTGAAACACTCTTTTTGTAGTATCTGGAAGTGGACATTTGGAGCGCTCTCAGGACTGCGGTGAAAAAGGAAATATCTTCCAATAAAAGCTACATAGAAGCAATGTCAGAAACTTTTTCATGATGTATCTACTCAGCTAACAGAGTTGAACCTTTCCTTTGAGAGAGCAGTTTTGAAACACTCTTTTTGTGGAATCTGCAAGTGGATGTTTGTCTAGCTTTGAGGATTTCGTTGGAAACGGGATTACATATAAAAAGCAGACAGCAGCATTCCCAGAAACTTCTTTGTGATGTTTGCATTCAAGTCACACAGTTGAACATTCCCTTTCATAGAGCAGGTTTGAAACACTCTTTTTGTAGTATCTGGATGTGGACATTTGGAGCGCTTTCAGGCCTATGGTGAAAAAGGAAATATCTTCCCCTGAAAACTAGACAGAAGCATTCTCAGAATCTTATTTGTGATGTGCGCCCTCAACTAACAGTGTTGAAGCTTTCTTTTGATAGAGCAGTTTTGAAACACTCTTTTTGTGAAATCTGCAAGAGGATATTTGGATAGCTTTGAGGATTTCGTTGGAAACGGGATTGTCTACATATAAACTCTAGACAGAAGCATTCTCAGAAGCTTCATTGGGATGTTTCAATTGAAGTCACAGTGTTGAACAGTCCCTTTCATAGAGCAGGTTTGAAACACTCTTTTTGTAGTATCTGGAAGTGGACATTTGGAGCGCTCTCAGGACTGCGGTGAAAAAGGAAATATCTTCCAATAAAAGCTACATAGAAGCAATGTCAGAATCTTTTTCATGATGTGTCTACTCAGCTAACAGAGTTGAACCTTCCTTTGAGAGAGCAGTTTTGAAACACTCTTTTTGTGGAATCTGCAAGTGGATATTTGTCTAGCTTTGAGGATTTCGTTGGAAACGGGATTACATATAAAAAGCAGACAGCAGCATTCCCAGAAACTTCTTTGTGATATTTGCATTCAAGTCACAGAGTTGAACATTCCCTTTCATAGAGCAGGTTTGAAACACTCTTTTTGTAGTATCTGGATGTGGACATTTGGAGCGCTTTCAGGCCTATGGTGAAAATGGAAATATCTTCCCCTGAAAACTAGACAGAAGCATTCTCAGAATCTTATTTGTGATGTGCGCCCTCAACTAACAGTGTTGAAGCTTTCTTTTGATAGAGCAGTTTTGAAACACTCTTTTTGTAAAATCTGCAAGAGGATATTTGGATAGCTTTGAGGATTTCGTTGGAAACGGGATTGTCTTCATATAAACTCTAGACAGAAGCATTCTCAGAAGCTTCATTGGGATGTTTCAATTGAAGTCACAGTGTTGAACAGTCCCTTTCATAGAGCAGGTTTGAAACACTCTTTTTGTAGTATCTGGAAGTGGACATTTGGAGAGATCTCAGGACTACGGTGAAAAAGGAAATATCTTCCAATAAAAGCTAGATAGAAGCAATGTCAGAAACTTTTTCATGATGTATCTACTTAGCTAACAGAGTTGAAACTTTCTTTTGAGAGAGCAGTTCTGAAACACTCTTTTTGTGGAATCTGCAAGTGGATATTTGTCTAGCTTTGAGGATTTTGTTGGAAACGGGATTAAATATAAAAAGCAGACAGCAGCATTCTCAGAAGCTTCATTGGGATGTTTCAATTGAAGTCACAGCGTTGAACAGTCCCTTTCATAGAGCAGGTTTGAAACACTCTTTTTGTAGTACCTGGAAGTGGGCATTTGGAGCGCTCTCAGGACTACGGTGAAAAAGGAAATATCTTCCAATAAAAGCTACATAGAAGCAATGTCAGAAACTTTTTCATGATGTATCTACTCAGCTAACAGAGTTGAACCTTTCTTTTGAGAGAGCAGTTTTGAAACACTCTTTTTGTGGAATCTGGAAGTGGATATTTGTCTAGCTTTGAGGATTTCGTTGGAAACGGGATTACATATAAAAAGCAGACAGCAGCATTCCCAGTAACTTCTTTGTGATGTTTGCATTCAAGTCACAGAGTTGAACATTCCCTTTCATAGAGCAGGTTTGAAACACTCTTTTTGTAGTATCTGGATGTGGACATTTGGAGCGCTTTCAGGCCTATGGTGAAAAAGGAAATATCTTCCCCTGAAAACTAGACAGAAGCATTCTCAGAATCTTATTTGTGATGTGCGCCCTCAACTAACAGTGTTGAAGCTTTCTTTTGATAGAGCAGTTTTGAAACACTCTTTTTGTAAAATCTGCAAGAGGATATTTGGATAGCTTTGAGGATTTCGTTGGAAACGGGATTGTCTTCATATAAACTCTAGACAGAAGCATTCTCAGAAGCTTCATTGGGATGTTTCAATTGAAGTCACAGTGTTGAACAGTCCCTTTCATAGAGCAGGTTTGAAACACTCTTTTTGTAGTATCTGGAAGTGGACATTTGGAACGCTCTCAGGACTGCGGTGAAAAAGGAAATATCTTCCAATAAAAGCTAGATAGAAGCAATGTCAGAAACTTTTTCATGATGTATCTACTCAACTAACAGAGTTGAACCTTCATTTGAGAGAGCAGTTTTGAAACACTCGTTTTGTGGAATCTGCAAGTGGATATTTGTCTAGCTTTGAGGATTTCGTTGGAAACGGGATTACATATAAAAAGCAGACAGCAGCATTCCCAGAAACTTCTTTGTGATGTTTGCATTCAAGTCACAGAGTTGAACATTCCCTTTCATAGAGCAGGTTTGAAACACTCTTTTTGTAGTATCTGGATGTGGACATTTGCAGCGCTTTTAGGCCTAAGGTGAAAAAGGAAATATCTTCCCCTGAAAACTAGACAGAAGCATTCTCAGAAACTTATTTGTGATGTGCGCCCTCAACTAACAGTGTTGAAGCTTTCTTTTGATAGAGCAGTTTTGAAACACTCTTTTTGTAATATCTGCAAGAGGATATTTGGATAGCTTTGAGGATTTCGTTGGAAACGGGATTGTCTTCATATAAACTCTAGACAGAAGCATTCTCAGAAGCTTCATTGGGATGTTTCAATTGAAGTCACAGTGTTGAACAGTCCCTTTCATAGAACAGGTTTGAAACACTCTTTTTGTAGTATCTGGAAGTGGACATTTGGAGCGCTCTCAGGACTACGGTGAAAATGGAAATATCTTACAATAAAAGCTACATAGAAGCAATGTCAGAAACTTTTTCATGATGTATCTACTCAGCTAACAGAGTTGAACCTTTCCTTTGAGAGAGCAGTTTTGAAACACTCTTTTTGTGGAATCTGCAAGTGGATATTTGTCTAGCTTTGAGGATTTCGTTGGAAACGGGATTACATATAAAAAGCAGACAGCAGCATTCCCAGTAACTTCTTTGTGATGTTTGCATTCAAGTCACAGAGTTGAACATTCCCTTTCATAGAGCAGGTTTGAAACACTCTTTTTGAAGTATCTGGATGTGGACATTTGGAGCGCTTTCAGGCCTATGGTGAAAAAGGAAATATCTTCCCCTGAACACCAGACAGAAGCATTCTCAGAAACTTATTTGTGATGTGCGCCCTCAACTAACAGTGTTGAAGCTTTCTTTTGATAGAGCAGTTTTGAAACACTCTTTTTGTAATATCTGCAAGAGGATATTTGGATAGCTTTGAGGATTTCGTTGGAAACGGGATTGTCTTCATATAAACTCTAGACAGAAGCATTCTCAGAAGCTTCATTGGGATGTTTCAATTGAAGTCACAGTGTTGAACAGTCCCTTTCATAGAGCAGGTTTGAAACACTCTTTTTGTAGTATCTGGAAGTGGACATTTGGAGCGCTCTCAGGACTGCGGTGAAAAAGGAAATATCTTCCAATAAAAGCTAGATAGAAGCAATGTCAGAAACTTTTTCATGATGTATCTACTCAGCGAACAGAGTTGAACCTTTCTTTTGAGAGAGCAGTTCTGAAACACTCTTTTTGTGGAATCTGCAAGTGGATATTTGTCTAGATTTGAGGATTTCGTTGGAAACGGGATTCCATATAAAAAGCAGACAGCAGCATTCCCAGTAACTTCTTTGTGAGGTTTGCATTCAAGTGACAGAGTTGAACATTCCCTTTCATAGAGCAGGTTTGAAACACTCTTTTTGTAGTATCTGGATGTGGACATTTGGAGCGCTTTCAGGCCTATGGTGAAAAAGGAAATATCTTCCAATAAAAGCTACATAGAAGCAATGTCAGAAACTTTTTCATGATGTATCTACTCAGCTAACAGAGTTGAACCTTTCTTTTGAGAGAGCAGTTTTGAAACACTCTTTTTGTGGAATCTGGAAGTGGATATTTGTCTAGCTTTGAGGATTTCGTTGGAAACGGGATTACATATAAAAAGCAGACAGCAGCATTCCCAGTAACTTCTTTGTGACGTTTGCATTCAAGTCACAGAGTTGAACATTCCCTTTCATAGAGCAGGTTTGAAACACTCTTTTTGTAGTATCTGGAAGTGGACATTTGGAGCGCTCTCAGGACTGCGGTGAAAAAGGAACTATCTTCCAATAAAAGCTAGATAGAAGCAATGTCAGAAACTTTTTCATGATGTATCTACTCAGCTAACAGAGTTGAACCTTCCTTTGAGAGAGCAGTTTTGAAACACTCTTTTTGTGGAATCTGCAAGTGGATATTTGTCTAGCTTTGAGGATTTCGTTGGAAACGGGATTACATATAAAAAGCAGACAGCAGCATTCCCAGAATCTCCTTTGTGATGTTTGCATTCAAGTCACAGAGTTGAACATTCCCTTTCATAGAGCAGGTTTGAAACACTCTTTTTATAGTATCTGGATGTGGACATTTGGAGCGCTTTCAGGCCTATGGTGAAAAAGGAAATATCTTCTCCTGAAAACTAGACAGAAGCATTCTCAGAAACTTATTTGTGATGTGCGCCCTCAACTAACAGTGTTGAAGCTTTCTTTTGATAGAGCAGTTTTGAAACACTCTTTTTGTAAAATCTGCAAGAGGATATTTGGATAGCTTTGAGGATTTCGTTGGAAACGGGATTGTCTTCATATAAACTCTAGACAGAAGCATTCTCAGAAGCTTCATTGGGATGTTTCAATTGAAGTCACAGTGTTGAACACTCCCTTTCATAGACCAGGTTTGAATCACTCTTTTTGTAGTATCTGGAAGTGGACATTTGGAGCGCTCTCAGGACTACGGTGAAAAAGGAAATATCTTCCAATAAAAGCTACATAGAAGCAATGTCAGAAACTTTTTCATGATGTATCTACTCAGCTAACAGAGTTGAACCTTTCCTTTGAGAGAGCAGTTTTGAAACACTCTTTTTGTGGAATCTGCAAGTGGATATTTGTCTAGCTTTGAGGATTTCGTTGGAAACGGGATTACATATAAAAAGCAGACAGCAGCATTCCCAGAAAATTCTTTGTGATGTTTGCATTCAAGTCACAGAGTTGAACATTCCCTTTCATAGAGCAGGTTTGAAACACTCTTTTTGTAGTATCTGGATGTGGACATTTGGAGCGCTTTCAGGCCTATGGTGAAAAAGGAAATATCTTCCCCTGAAAACTAGACAGAAGCATTCTCAGAATCTTATTTGTGATGTGCGCCCTCAACTAACAGTGTTGAAGCTTTCTTTTGATAGAGCAGTTTTGAAACACTCTTTTTGTAAAATCTGCAAGAGGATATTTGGATAGCTTTGAGGATTTCGTTGGAAACGGGATTGTCTTCATATAAACTCTAGACAGAAGCATTCTCAGAAGCTTCATTGGGATGTTTCAATTGAAGTCACAGTGTTGAACAGTCCCTTTCATAGAGCAGGTTTGAAACACTCTTTTTGTAGTATCTGGAAGTGCACATTTGGAGAGATCTCAGGAATACGGTGATAAAGGAAATATCTTCCAATAAAAGCTAGATAGAAACAATGTCAGAAAATTTTTCATGATGTATCTACTCAGCTAACAGAGTTGAACCTTTCTTTGGAGAGAGTAGTTTTGAAACACTCTTTTTGTGGAATCTGCAAGTGGATATTTGTCTAGTTTTGAGGATTGCGTTGGAAACGGTATTACATATAAAAAGCAGACAGCAGCATTCCCAGTAACTTCTTTGTGATGTTTGCATTCAAGTCACAGAGTTGAACATTCCCTTTCATAGAGCAGGTTTGAAACACTTATTTTGTAGTATCTGGATGTGGACATTTGGAGCGCTTTCAGGCCTATGGTGAAAAAGGAAATATCTTCCAATAAAAGCTACATAGAAGCATTCTCAGAAACTTATTTGTGATGTGCGCCCTCAACTAACAGTGTTGAAGCTTTCTTTTGATAGAGCAGTTTTGAAACACTCTTTTTGTAATATCTGCAAGAGGATATTTGGATAGCTTTGAGGATTTCGTTGGAAACGGGATTGTCTTCATATAAACTCTAGACAGAAGCATTCTCAGAAGCTTCATTGGGATGTTTCAATTGAAGTCACAGTGTTGAACAGTTCCTTTCATAGAACAGGTTTGAAACACACTTTTTGTAGTATCTGGAAGTGGACATTTGGAGCGTTCTCAGGACTACGGTGAAAAAGGAAATATCTTCCAATAAAAGCTACATAGAAGCAATGTCAGAAACTTTTTCATGATGTATCTACTCAGCTAACAGAGTTGAACCTTTCCTTTGAGAGAGCAGTTTTGAAACACTCTTTTTGTGGAATCTGCAAGTGGATATTTGTCTAGCTTTGAGGATTTCGTTGGAAACGGGATTACATATAAAAAGCAGACAGCAGCATTCCCAGAAACTTCTTTGTGACGTTTGCATTCAAGTCACAGAGTTGAACATTCCCTTTCATAGAGCAGGTTTGAAACACTCTTTTTGTAGTATCTGGATGTGGACATTTGGAGCGCTTTCAGGCCTATGGTGAAAAAGGAAATATCTTCCCCTGAAAACTAGACAGAAGCATTCTCAGAATCTTATTTGTGATGTGCGCCCTCAACTAACAGTGTTGAAGCTTTCTTTTGATAGAGCAGTTTTGAAACACTCTTTTTGTAAAATCTGCAAGAGGATATTTGGATAGCTTTGAGGATTTCGTTGGAAACGGGATTGTCTTCATATAAACTCTAGACAGAAGCATTCTCAGAAGCTTCATTGGGATGTTTCAATTGAAGTCACAGTGTTGAACAGTCCCTTTCATAGAGCAGGTTTGAAACACTCTTTTTGTAGTATCTGGAAGTGGACATTTGGAGCGCTCTCAGGACTGCGGTGAAAAAGGAAATATCTTCCAATAAAAGCTAGATAGAAGCAATGTCAGAAACTTTTTCATGATGTATCTACTCAGCTAACAGAGTTGAACCTTCATTTGAGAGAGCAGTTTTGAAACACTCGTTTTGTGGAATCTGCAAGTGGATATTTGTCCAGCTTTGAGGATTTCGTTGGAAACGGGATTACATATAAATATCAGACAGCAGCATTCCCAGAAACTTCTTTGTGATGTTTGCATTCAAGTCACAGAGTTGAACATTCCCTTTCATAGAGCAGGTTTGAAACACTCTTTTTGTAGTATCTGGATGTGGACATTTGCAGCGCTTTCAGGCCTAAGGTGAAAAAGGAAATATCTTCCCCTGAAAACTAGACAGAAGCATTCTCAGAATCTTATTTGTGATGTGCGCCCTCAACTAACAGTGTTGAAGCTTTCTTTTGATGGAGCAGTTTTGAGACACTCTTTTTGTAAAATCTGCAAGAGGATATTTGGATAGCTTTGAGGATTTCGTTGGAAACGGGATTGTCTTCATATAAACTCTAGACAGAAGCATTCTCAGAAGCTTCATTGGGATGTTTCAATTGAAGTCACAGTGTTGAACAGTTCCTTTCATAGAACAGGTTTGAAACACTCTTTTTGTAGTATCTGGAAGTGGACATTTGGAGCGCTCTCAGGACTACGGTGAAAATGGAAATATCTTCCAATAAAAGCTACATAGAAGCAATGTCAGAAACTTTTTCATGATGTATCTACTCAGCTAAAAGAGTTGAAACTTTCTTTTGAGAGAGCAGTTTTGAAACACTATTTTTGTGGAATCTGCAAGTCGATATTTGTCTAGCTTTGAGGATTTCGTTGGAAACGGGATTACATATAAAAAGCAGACAGCAGCATTCCCAGAATCTTCTTTGTGATGTTTGCATTCAAGTCACAGAGTTGAACATTCCCTTTCATAGAGCAGGTTTGAAACACTCTTTTTGTAGTATCTGGATGTGGACATTTGGAGCGCTTTCAGGCCTATGGTGAAAAAGGAAATATCTTCCCCTGAAAACTAGACAGAAGCATTCTCAGAATCTTATTTGTGATGTGCGCCCTCAACTAACAGTGTTGAAGCTTTCTTTTGATAGAGCAGTTTTGAAACACTCTTTTTGTAAAATCTGCAAGAGGATATTTGGATAGCTTTGAGGATTTCGTTGGAAACGGGATTGTCTTCATATAAACTCTAGACAGAAGCATTCTCAGAAGCTTCATTGGGATGTTTCAATTGAAGTCACAGTGTTGAACAGTCCCTTTCATAGAGCAGGTTTGAAACACTCTTTTTGTAGTATCTGGAAGTGGACATTTGGAGCGCTCTCAGGACTACGGTGAAAAAGGAAATATCTTCCAATAAAAGCTACATAGAAGCAATGTCAGAAACTTTTTCATGATGTATCTACTCAGCTAACAGAGTTGAACCTTTCCTTTGAGAGAGCAGTTTTGAAACACTCTTTTTGTGGAATCTGCAAGTGGATATTTGTCTAGCTTTGAGGATTTCGTTGGAAACGGGATTACATATAAAAAGCAGACAGCAGCATTCCCAGAAACTTCTTTGTGATGTTTGCATTCAAGTCACAGAGTTGAACATTCCCTTTCATAGAGCAGGTTTGAAACACTCTTTTTGTAGTATCTGGATGTGGACATTTGGAGCGCTTTTAGGCCTATGGTGAAAAAGGAAATATCTTCCCCTGAAAACTAGACAGAAGCATTCTCAGAAACTTATTTGTGATGTGCGCCCTCAACTAACAGTGTTGAAGCTTTCTTTTGATAGAGCAGTTTTGAAACACTCTTTTTGTAATATCTGCAAGAGGATATTTGGATAGCTTTGAGGATTTCGTTGGAAACGGGATTGTCTTCATATAAACTCTAGACAGAAGCATTCTCAGAAGCTTCATTGGGATGTTTCAATTGAAGTCACAGTGTTGAACAGTCCCTTTCATAGAGCAGGTTTGAAACACTCTTTTTGTAGTATCTGGAAGTGGACATTTGGAGCGCTCTCAGGACTGCGGTGAAAAAGGAAATATCTTCCAATAAAAGCTACATAGAAGCAATGTCAGAATCTTTTTCATGATGTGTCTACTCAGCTAACAGAGTTGAACCTTCCTTTGAGAGAGCAGTTTTGAAACACTCTTTTTGTGGAATCTGCAAGTGGATATTTGTCTAGCTTTGAGGATTTCGTTGGAAACGGGATTACATATAAAAAGCAGACAGCAGCATTCCCAGAAACTTCTTTGTGATATTTGCATTCAAGTCACAGAGTTGAACATTCCCTTTCATAGAGCAGGTTTGAAACACTCTTTTTGTAGTATCTGGATGTGGACATTTGGAGCGCTTTCAGGCCTATGGTGAAAACGGAAATATCTTCCCCTGAAAACTAGACAGAAGCATTCTCAGAATCTTATTTGTGATGTGCGCCCTCAACTAACAGTGTTGAAGCTTTCTTTTGATAGAGCAGTTTTGAAACACTCTTTTTGTAAAATCTGCAAGAGGATATTTGGATAGCTTTGAGGATTTCGTTGGAAACGGGATTGTCTTCATATAAACTCTAGACAGAAGCATTCTCAGAAGCTTCATTGGGATGTTTCAATTGAAGTCACAGTGTTGGACAGTCCCTTTCATAGAGCAGGTTTGAAACACTCTTTTTGTAGTATCTGGAAGTGGACATTTGGAGCGATCTCAGGTCTACGGTGAAAAAGGAAATATCTTCCAATAAAAGCTACATAGAAGCAATGTCAGAAACTTTTTCATGATGTATCTACTCAGCTAACAGAGTTGAACCTTTCTTCTGAGAGAGCAGTTTTGAAACACTCTTTTTGTGGAATCTGGAAGTGGATATTTTTCTAGCTTTGAGGATTTCGTTGGAAACGGGATTACATATAAAAAGCAGACAGCAGCATTCCCAGAAACTACTTTGTGGTGTTTGCATTCAAGTCACAGAGTTGAAAATTCCCTTTCATAGAGCAGGTTTGAAACACTCTTTTTGTAGTATCTGGATTTGGACATTTGGAGCGCTTTCAGGCCTATGGTGAAAAAGGAAATATCTTCCACTGAAAACTAGACAGAAGCATTCTCAGAAACTTATTTGTGATGTGCGCCCTCAACTAACAGTGTTGAAGCTTTCTTTTGATAGAGCAGTTTTGAAACACTCTTTTTGTAATATCTGCAAGAGGATATTTGGATAGCTTTGAGGATTTCGTTGGAAACGGGATTGTCTTCATATAAAGTCTAGACAGAAGCATTCTCAGAAGCTTCATTGGGATGTTTCAATTGAAGTCACAGTGTTGAACAGTTCCTTTCATAGAACAGGTTTGAAACACACTTTTTGTAGTATCTGGAAGTGGACTTTTGGAGGGCTCTCAGGACTAAGGTGAAAAATTAAATATCTTCCAATAAAAGCTACATAGAAGAAATGTCAGAAACTTTTTCACGATGTATCTACTCAGCTAAAAGAGTTGAACTTTTCTTTTGAGAGAGCAGTTTTGAAACACTATTTTTGTGGAATCTGCAAGGGGATATTTGTCTAGCTTTGAGGATTTCGTTGGAAACGGGATTACATATAAAAAGCAGACAGCAGCATTCCCAGAAACTTCTTTGTGATGTTTGCATTCAAGTCACAGAGTTGAACATTCCCTTTCATAGAGCAGGTTTGAAACTCTCTTTTTGTAGTATCTCTATGTGGACATTTGGAGCGCTTTCAGTCCTATGGTGAAAAAGGAAATATCTTCCCCTGAAAACTAGACAGAAGCATTCTCAGAATCTTATTTGTGATGTGCGCCCTCAACTAACAGAGTTGAAGCTTTCTTTTGATAGAGCAGTTTTGAAACACTCTTTTTGTAAAATCTGCAAGAGGATATTTGGATAGCTTTGAGGATTTCGTTGGAAACGGGATTGTCTTCATATAAACTCTAGACAGAAGCATTCTCAGAAGCCTCATTGGGATGTTTCAATTGAAGTCACAGTGTTGAACAGTCCCTTTCATAGAGCAGGTTTGAAACACTCTTTTTGCAGTATCTGGAAGTGGACATTTGGAGAGATCTCAGGAATACGGTGATAAAGGAAATATCTTCCAATAAAAGCTAGATAGAAGCATTCTCAGAAACTTATTTGTGATGTGCGCCTTCAACTAACAGTGTTGAAGCATTCTTTTGATAGAGCAGTTTTGAAACACTCTTTTTGTGGAATCTGCAAGTGGATATTTGTCTAGCTTTGAGGATTTCGTTGGAAACGGGATTACATATAAAAAGCAGACAGCAGCATTCCCAGAAACTTCTTTGTGATGTTTGCATTCAAGTCACAGAGTTGAACCTTCCCTTTCATAGAGCAGGTTTGAAACACTCTTTTTGTAGTATCTGGATGTGGACATTTGGAGCGCTTTCAGCCCTATGGTGAAAAAGGAAATATCTTCCCCTGAAAACTAGACAGAAGCATTCTCAGAAACTTATTTGTGATGTGCGCCCTCAACTAACAGTGTTGAAGCTTTCTTTTGATAGAGCAGTTTTGAAACACTCTTTTTGTAATATCTGCAAGAGGATATTTGGATAGCTTTGAGGATTTCGTTGGAAACGGGATTGTCTTCATATAAACTCTAGACAGAAGCATTCTCAGAAGCTTCATTGGGATGTTTCAATTGAAGTCACAGTGTTGAACAGTCCCTTTCATAGAGCAGGTTTGAAACACTCTTTTTGTAGTATCTGGAAGTGGACATTTGGAGCGCTCTCAGGACTACGGTGAAAAAGGAAGTGTCTTCCAATAAAAGCTAGATAGAAGCAATGTCGGAAACTTTTTCATGTTGTATCTACTCAGCTAACAGAGTTGAACCTTTCTTTTGAGAGAGCAGTTTTGAAACACTCTTTTTGTGGAATCTGCAAGTGGATATTTGTCTAGCTTTGAGGATTTCGTTGGAAACGAGATTACATATAAAAAGCAGACAGCAGCATTCCCAGAAACTTCTTTGTGATGTTTGCATTCAAGTCACAGAGTTGAACATTCCCTTTCATAGAGCAGGTTTGAAACACTCTTTTTGTAGTATCTGGATGTGGACATTTGGAGCGCTTTCAGGCCTATGGTGAAAAAGGAAATATCTTCCCTTGAAAACTAGACAGAAGCATTCTCAGAAACTTATTTGTGATGTGCGCCCTCAACTAACAGTGTTGAACCTTTCTTTTGATAGAGCAGTTTTGAAACACTCCTTTTGTAATATCTGCAAGAGGATATTTGGATAGCTTTGAGGATTTCGTTGGAAACGGGATTGTCTTCATATAAACTCTAGACAGAAGCATTCTCAGAAGCTTCATTGGGATGTTTCAATTGAAGTCACAGTGTTGAACAGTCCCTTTCATACAGCAGGTTTGAAACACTCTTTTTGTAGTATCTGGAAGTGGACATTTGGAGCGCTCTCAGGACTACGATGATAAAGGAAATATCTTCCAATAAAAGCTAGATAGAAGCAATGTCAGAAACTTTTTCATGATGTATCTACTCAGCTAACAGAGTTGAACCTTTCCTTTGAGGGAGCAGTTTTGAAACACTCTTTTTGTGGAATCTGCAAGTGGATATTTGTCTAGCTTTGAGGATTTCGTTGGAAACGGGATTACATATAAAAAGCAGACAGCAGCATTCCCAGTAACTTCTTTGTGATGTTTGCATTCAAGTCACAGAGTTGAACATTCCCTTTCATAGAGCAGGTTTGAAACACTCTTTTTGTAGTATCTGGATGTGGACATTTGGAGCGCTTTCAGGCCTATGGTGAAAAAGGAAATATGTTCCCCTGAAAACTAGACAGAAGCATTCTCAGAAACTTATTTCTGATGTGCGCCCTCAACTAACAGTGTTGAACCTTTCTTTTGATAGAGCAGTTTTGAAACACTCTTTTTGTAATATCTGCAAGAGGATATTTGGATAGCTTTGAGGATTTCGTTGGAAACGGGATTACATATAAAAAGCAGACAGCAGCATTCCCAGAATCTTGTTTGTGATGTTTGCATTCAAGTCAGAGTTGAACATTCCCTTTCAGAGAGCAGGTTTGAAACACTCTTTTTATAGTATCTGGATGTGGACATTTGGAGCGCTTTCAGGCCTATGGTGAAAAAGGAAATATCTTCTCCTGAAAACTAGACAGAAGCATTCTCAGAATCTTATTTGTGATGTGCGCCCTCAACTAACAGTGTTGAAGCTTTCTTTTGATAGAGCAGTTTTGAAACACTCTTTTTGTAAAATCTGCAAGAGGATATTTGGATAGCTTTGAGGATTTCGTTGGAAACGGGATTGTCTTCATATAAACTCTAGACAGAAGCATTCTCAGAAGCTTCAATGGGATGTTTCAATTGAAGTCACAGAGTTGAACAGTCCCTTTCATAGAGCAGGTTTGAAACAATCTTTTTGTAGTATCTGGAAGTGGACGTTTGGAGAGTTCTCAGGAATACGGTGATAAAGGAATTATCTTCCAATAAAAGCTAGATAGAGAAGCAATGTCAGCAAACTTTTTCATGATGTATCTACTCAGCTAACAGAGTTGAACCTTTCTTTTGAGAGAGCAGTTTTGAAACACTCTTTTTGTGAAATCTGCAAGTGGATATTTGTCTACCTTTGAGGATTTCGTTGGAAACGGGATTACATATAAAAAGCAGACAGCAGCATTCCCAGTAACTTCTTTGTGATGTTTGCATTCAAGTCACAGAGTTGAACATTCCCTTTCATACAGCAGGTTTGAAACACTCTTTTTGTAGTATCTGGATGTGGACATTTGGAGCGCTTTCAGGCCTATGGTGAAAAAGGAAATATCTTCCCCTGAAAACTAGACAGAAGAATTCTCAGAATCTTATTTGTGATGTGCGCCCTCAACTAACAGTCTTGAAGCTTTCTTTTGATAGAGCAGTTTTGAAACACTCTTTTTGTAAAATCTGCAAGAGGATATTTGGATAGCTTTGAGGATTTCGTTGGAAACGGGATTGTCTTCATATAAACTCTAGACAGAAGCATTCTCAGAAGCTTCATTGGGATGTTTCAATTGAAGTCACAGTGTTGAACAGTCCCTTTCATAGAGCAGGTTTGAAACACTCTTTTTGTAGTATCTGGAAGTGGACATTTGGAGAGATCTCAGGAATACGGTGATAAAGGAAATATCTTCCAATAAACGCTACATAGAAGCAATGTCAGAAACTTTTTCATGATGTATCTACTCAGCTAACAGAGTTGAACCTTTCCTTTGAGAGAGCAGTTTTGAAACACTCTTTTTGTGGAATCTGCAAGTGGATATTTGTCTAGCTTTGAGGATTTCGTTGGAAACGGGATTACATATAAAAAGCAGGCAGCAGCATTCCCAGTAACTTCTTTCTGATGTTTGCATTCAAGTCACAGAGTTGAACGTTCCCTTTCATGGAGCAGGTTTGAAACACTCTTTTTGAAGTATCTGGATGTGGACATTTGGAGCGCTTTCAGGCCTATGGTGAAAAAGGAAATATCTTCCCCTGAAAGCTAGACAGATAAGCATTCTCAGAATCTTATTTGTGATGTGCGCCCTCAACTAACAGTGTTGAAGCTTTCTTTTGATAGAGCAGTTTTGAAACACTCTTTTTGTGAAATCTGCAAGAGGATATTTGGATAGATTTGAGGATTTCGTTGGAAACGGTATTGTCTTCATATAAACTCTAGACAGAAGCATTCTCAGAAGCGTCATTGGGATGTTTCAATTGAAGTCACAGTGTTGAACAGTCCCTTTCATAGAGCAGGTTTGAAACACTCTTTTTGTAGTATCTGGATGTGGACATTTGGAGCGCTTTCAGGCCTATGGTTTAAAAGGAAATATCTTCCCCTGAAAACTAGACAGAAGCATTCTCAGAAACTTATTTGTGATGTGCGCCCTCAACTAACAGTGTTGAAGCATTCTTTTGATAGAGCAGTTTTGAAACACTCTTTTTGTGGAATCTGCAAGTGGATATTTGTCTAGCTTTGAGGATTTCGTTGGAAACGGGATTACATATAAAAAGCAGACAGCAGCATTCCCAGAAACTTCTTTGTGATGTTTGCATTCAAGTCACAGAGTTGAACATTCCCTTTCATAGAGCAGGTTTGAAACACTCTTTTTGTAGTATCTGGATGTGGACATTTGGAGCGCTTTCAGGCCTAGGGTGAAAAAGGAAATATCTTCCCCTGAAAACTAGACAGAAGCATTCTCAGAAACTTATTTGTGATGTGCGCCCTCAACTAACAGTGTTGAAGCTTTCTTTTGATAGAGCAGTTTTGAAACACTCTTTTTGTAATATCTGCAAGAGGATATTTGGATAGCTTTGAGGATTTCGTTGGAAACGGGATTGTCTTCATATAAACTCTAGACAGAAGCATTCTCAGAAGCTTCATTGGGATGTTTCAATTGAAGTCACAGTGTTGAACAGTCCCTTTCATAGAGCAGGTTGGAAACACTCTTTTTGTAGTATCTGGAAGTGGACATTTGGAGAGATCTCAGGAATACGGTGATAAAGGAAATATCTTCCAATAAACGCTACATAGAAGCAATGTCAGAAACTTTTTCATGATGTATCTACTCAGCTAACAGAGTTGAACCTTTCCTTTGAGAGAGCAGTTTTGAAACACTCTTTTTGTGGAATCTGCAAGTGGATATTTGTCTAGCTTTGAGGATTTCGTTGGAAACGGGATTACATATAAAAAGCAGACAGCAGCATTCCCAGAAACTTCTTTGTGATGTTTGCATTCAAGTCACACAGTTGAACATTCCCTTTCATAGAGCAGGTTTGAAACACTCTTTTTGTAGTATCTGTATGTGGACATTTGGAGCGCTTTCAGGCCTATGGTGAAAAAGGAAATATCTTCCCCTGAAAACTAGACAGAAGCATTCTCAGAATCTTATTTGTGATGTGCGCCCTCAACTAACAGTGTTGAAGCTTTCTTTTGATAGAGCAGTTTTGAAACACTCTTTTTGTAAAATCTGCAAGAGGATATTTGGATAGCTTTGAGGATTTCGTTGGAAACGGGATTGTCTTCATATAAACTCTAGACAGAAGCATTCTCAGAAGCTTCATTGGGATATTTCAATTGAAGTCACAGTGTTGAACAGTCCCTTTCATAGAGCAGGTTTGAAACACTCTTTTTGTAGCATCTGGAAGTGGACATTTGGAGCGTTCTCAGGACTATGGTGAAAAAGGAAATATCTTCCAATAAAAGCTGGATAGAAGCAATGTCAGAAACATTTTCATGATGTATCTACTCAGCTAATAGAGTTGAACCTTTCTCTTGAGAGAGAAGTTTTGAAACCCTCTTTTGGTGGAATCTGCAAGTGGATATTTGTCTAGCTTTGAGGATTTCGTTGGAAACGGGATTACATATAAAAAGCAGACAGCAGCATTCCCCAGAAACTTCTTTGTGATGTTTGCATTCAAGTCACAGAGTTTAACATTCCCTTTCATAGAGCAGGTTTGAAACACTCTTTTTGTAGTATCTGGATGTGGACATTTGGAGCGCTTTCAGGCCTATGGTGAAAAAGGAAATATCTTCCCCTGCAAACTAGACAGAAGCATTCTCAGAATCTTATTTGTGATGTGCGCCCTCAACTAACAGTGTTGAAGCTTTCTTTTGATAGAGCAGTTTTGAAACACTCTTTTTGTAAAATCTGCAAGAGGATATTTGCATAGCTTTGAGGATTTCATTGGAAACGGGATTGTCTTCATATAAACTCTAGACAGAAGCATTCTCAGAAGCTTCATTGGGATGTTTCAATTGAAGTCACAGTGTTGAACAGTCCCTTTCATAGAGCAGGTTTGAAACACTCTTTTTGTAGTATCTGGAAGTGGACATTTGGAGCGCTCTCAGGACTACGGTGAAAAAGGAAATATCTTCCAATAAAAGCTACATAGAAGCAATGTCAGAAACTTTTTCATGATGTATCTACTCAGCTAACAGAGTTGAACCTTTCTTTTGAGAGAGCAGTTTTGAAACACTCTTTTTGTGGAATCTGCAAGTGGATATTTGTCTAGCTTTGAGGATTTCGTTGGAAACGGGAATACATATAAAAAGAAGACAGCAGCATTCCCAGAAACTTCTTTGTGATGTTTGCATTCAAGTCACAGAGTTGAACATTCCCTTTCATAGAGCAGGTTTGAAACTCTCTTTTTGTAGTATCTGGATGTGGACATTTGGAGCGCTTTCAGGCCTATGGTGAAAAAGGAAATATCTTCCCCTGAAAACTAGACAGAAGCATTCTCAGAATCTTATTTGTGATGTGCGACCTCAACTAACAGTGTTGAAGCTTTCTTTTGATAGACCAGTTTTGAAACACTCTTTTTGTAAAATCTGCAAGAGGATATTTGGATAGCTTTGAGGATTTCGTTGGAAACGGGATTGTCTTCATATAAACTCTAGACAGAAGCATTCTCAGAAGCTTCATTGGGATGTTTCAATTGAAGTCACAGTGTTGAACAGTCCCTTTCATAGAGCAGGTTTGAAACACTCTTTTTGTAGTATCTGGAAGTGGACATTTGGAGAGATCTCAGGAATACGGTGAAAAAGGAAATATCTTCCAATAAAAGCTAGATAGAAGCAATGTCAGAAACTTTTTCATCATGTGTCTACTCAGCTAACAGAGTTGAACCTTTCTTTTGAGAGAGCAGTTTTGAAACACTCTTTTTGTGGAATCTGCAAGTGGATATTTGTCTAGCTTTGAGGATTTCGTTGGAAACGGGATTACATATAAAAAGCAGACAGCAGCATTTCCAGAAACTTCTTTGTGATGTTTGCATTCAAGTCACAGAGTTGAACATTCCCTTTCATAGAGCAGGTTTGAAACACTCTTTTTGTAGTATCTGGATGTGGACATTTGGAGCGCTTTCAGGCCTATGGTGAAAAAGGAAATGTCTTCCCCTGAAAACTAGAGAGAAGCATTCTCAGAATCTTATTTGTGATGTGCGCCCTCAACTAACAGTGTTGAAGCTTTCTTTTGATAGAGCAGTTTTGGAACACTCTTTTTGTAAAATCTGCAAGAGGATATTTGGATAGCTTTGAGGATTTCGTTGGAAACGGGATTGTCTTCATATAAACTCTAGACAGAAGCATTCTCAGAGGCTTCATTGGGATGTTTCAATTGAAGTCACAGTGTTGAACAGTTCCTTTCATAGAACAGGTTTGAAACACTCTTTTTGTAGTATCTGGAAGTGGACATTTGGAGCGCTCTCAGGACTATGGTGAAAAAGGAAATATCTTCCAATAAAAGCTACATAGAAGCAATGTCAGAAACTTTTTCATGATGTATCTACTCAGCTAACACAGTTGAACCTTTCTTTTCAGAGAGAAGTTTTGAAACACTCTTTTTGTGGAATCTGCAAGTGGATATTTGTCTAGCTTTGAGGATTTCGTTGGAAACGGGATTACATATAAAAAGCAGACAGCAGCATTCCCAGAAACTTCTTTGTGATGTTTGCATTCAAGTCACACAGTTGAACATTCCCTTTCATAGAGCAGGTTTGAAACACTCTTTTTGTAGTATCTGGATGTGGACATTTGGAGCGCTTTTAGGCCTATGGTGAAAAAGGAAATATCTTCCCCTGAAAACTAGACAGAAGCATTCTCAGAAACTTATTTGTGATGTGCGCCCTCAACTAACAGTGTTGAACCTTTCTTTTGATAGAGCAGTTTTGAAACACTCTTTTTGTAATATCTGCAAGAGGATATTTGGATAGCTTTGAGGATTTCGTTGGAAACGGGATTGTCTTCACATAAACTCTAGACAGAAGCATTCTCAGAAGCTTCATTGGGATGTTTCATTTGAAGTCACAGTGTTGAACGGTTCCTTTCATAGAACAGGTTTGAAACACTCTTTTTGTAGTATCTGGAAGTGGACATTTGGAGCGCTCTCAGGACTACGGTGAAAAAGGAAATATCTTCCAATAAAAGCTAGATAGAAGCAATGTCAGAAAATTTTTCATGATGTATCTACTCAGCTAACAGAGTTGAACCTTCCTTTGAGAGAGCAGTTTTGAAACACTCTTTTTGTGGAATCTGCAAGTGGATATTTGTCTAGCTTTGAGGATTTCGCTGGAAACGGGATTTCATATAAAAACAGACAGCAGCATTCCCAGTAACTTCTTTGTGATGTTTGCATTCAAGTCACAGAGTTGAACATTCCCTTTCATAGAGCAGGTTTGAAACACTCTTTTTGTAGTATCTGGATGTGGACATTTGGAGCGCTTTCAGGCCTAAGGTTTAAAAGGAAATATCTTCCCCTGAAAACTAGACAGAAGCATTCTCAGAAACTTATTTGTGGTGTGCGCCCTCAACTAACAGTGTTGAAGCTTTCTTTTGATAGAGCAGTTTTGAAACACTCTTTTTGAAAAATCTGCAAGAGGATATTTGGATAGCTTTGAGGATTTCGTTGGAAACGGGATTGTCTTCATATAAAATCTAGACAGAAGCATTCTCAGAAGCTTCATTGGGATGTTTCAATTGAAGTCACAGTGTTGAACAGTCCCTTTCATAGAGCAGGTTTGAAACACTCTTTTTGTAGTATCTGGATGTGGACATTTGGAGCGCTTTCAGGCCTATGGTTTAAAAGGAAATATCTTCCCCTGAAAACTAGACAGAAGCATTCTCAGAAACTTATTTGTGATGTGCGCCCTCAACTAACAGTGTTGAAGCATTCTTTTGATAGAGCAGTTTTGAAATACTCTTTTTGTGGAATCTGCAAGTAGATATTTGTCTAGCTTTGAGGATTTCGTTGGAAACGGGATTACATATAAAAAGCAGACAGCAGCATTCCCACAAACTTCTTTGTGATGTTTGCATTCAAGTCACAGAGTTAAACATTCCCTTTCATAGAGCAGGTTTGAAACACTCTTTTTGTAGTATCTGGATGTGGACATTTGGAGCGCTTTCAGGCCTATGGTGAAAAAGGAAATATCTTCCCCTGAAAACTAGACAGAAGCATTCTCAGAATCTTATTTGTGATGTGCGCCCTCAACTAACAGTGTTGAAGCTTTCTTTTGATAGAGCAGTTTTGAAACACTCTTTTTGTAAAATCTGCAAGAGGATATTTGGATAGCTTTGAGGATTTCGTTGGAAACGGGATTGTCTTCATATAAACTCTAGACAGAAGCATTCTCAGAAGCTTCATTGGGATGTTTCAATTGAAGTCACAGTGTTGAACAGTCCCTTTCATAGAGCAGGTTTGAAACACTCTTTTTGTAGTATCTGGAAGTGGACATTTGGAGAGATCTCAGGAATACGGTGATAAAGGAAATATCTTCCAATAAAAGCTAGGTAGAAGCAATGTCAGAAACTTTTTCATGATGTATCTACTCAGCTAACAGAGTTGAACCTTTCTTTTGAGAGAGCAGTTTTGAAACACTCTTTTTGTGGAATCTGCAAGTGGATATTTGTCTAGCTTTGAGGACTTCGTTGGAAACGGGATTACATATAAAAAGCAGACAGCAGCATTCCCAGTAACTTCTTTGTGATGTTTGCATTCAAGTCACAGAGTTGAACATTCCCTTTCATAGAGCAGGTTTGAAACACTTTTTTTGTAGTATCTGGATGTGGACATTTGGAGCGCTTTCAGGCCTATGGTGAAAAAGGAAATATCTTCCAATAAAAGCTACATAGAAGCAATGTCAGAAACTTTTTCATGATGTATCTACTCAGCTAGCAGAGTTGAAACATTCTTTTGAGAGAGCCGTTTTGAAACACTCTTTTTGTTCGATCTGCAGGTGGATATTTGTCTAGCTTTGAGGATATCGTTGGAAACGGGATTACATATAAAAAGCAGACAGCAGCATTCCCAGTAACTTCTTTGTGATGTTTGCATTCAAGTCACAGGGTTGAACATTCCCTTTCATAGAGCAGGTTTGAAACACTCTTTTTGTAGTATCTGTATGTGGACATTTTGAGCGCTTTCAGGCCTATGGTGAAAAAGGAAATATCTTCCCCTGAAAACTAGACAGAAGCATTCTCAGAATCTTATTTGTGATGTGCGCCCTCAACTAACAGTGTTGAAGCTTTCTTTTGATAGAGCAGTTTTGAAACACTCTTTTTGTAAAATCTGCAAGAGGATATTTGGATAGCTTTGAGGATTTCGTTGGAAACGGGATTGTCTTCATATAAACTCTAGACAGAAGCATTCTCAGAAGCTTCATTGGGATGTTTCAATTGAAGTCACAGTGTTGAACAGTCCCTTTCATAGAGCAGGTTTGAAACACTCTTTTTGTAGTATCTGGAAGTGGACATTTGGAACGCTCTCAGGACTGCGGTGAAAAAGGAAATATCTTCCAATAAAAGCTAGATAGAAGCAATGTCAGAATCTTTTTCATGATGTATCTACTCAGCTAACAGAGTTGAACCTTTCTTTTGAGAGAGCGGTTTTGAAACACTCTTTTTGTGGAATCTGCAAGTGGATATTTGTCTAGCTTTGAGGATTTCGTTGGAAACGGGATTACATATAAAAAGCAGACAGCAGCATTCCCAGAATCTTCTTTGTGATGTTTGCATTCAAGTCACAGGATTGAACATTCCCTTTCATAGAGCAGGTTTGAAACACTCTTTTTGTAGTATCTGGATGTGGACATTTGGAGCGCTTTCAGGCCTATGGTGAAAAAGGAAATATCTTCCCCTGAAAACTAGACAGAAGCATTCTCAGAATCTTATTTGTGATGTGCGCCCTCAACTAACAGTGTTGAAGCTTTCTTTTGATAGAGCAGTTTTGAAACACTCTTTTTGTAAAATCTGCAAGAGGATATTTGGATAGCTTTGAGGATTTCGTTGGAAACGGGATTGTCTTCATATAAACTCTAGACAGAAGCATTCTCAGAAGCTTCATTGGGATGTTTCAATTGAAGTCACAGTGTTGAACAGTCCCTTTCATAGAGCAGGTTTGAAACACTCTTTTTGTAGTATCTGGAAGTGGACATTTGGAGCGCTCTCAGGACTACGGTGAAAAAGGAAATATCTTCCAATAAAAGCTAGATAGAAGCAATGTCAGAAACTTTTTCATGATGTATCTACTCAGCTAACAGAGTTGAACCTTTCTTTTGAGAGAGCAGTTTTGGAACACTCTTTTTGTGGAATCTGCAAGTGGATATTTGTCTAGCTTTGAGGATTTCGTTGGAAACGGGATTACATATAAAAAGCAGACAGCAGCATTCCCAGAATCTTGTTTGTGATGTTTGCATTCAAGTCACAGAGTTGAACATTCCCTTTCAGAGAGCAGGCTTGAAACACTCTTTTTATAGTATCTGGATGTGGACATTTGGAGCGCTTTCAGGCCTATGGTGAAAAAGGAAATATCTTCTCCTGAAAACTAGACAGAAGCATTCTCAGAATCTTATTTGTGATGTGCGCCCTCAACTAACAGTGTTGAAGCTTTCTTTTGATAGAGCAGTTTTGAAACACTCTTTTTGTAAAATCTGCAAGAGGATATTTGGATAGCTTTGAGGATTTCGTTGGAAACGGGATTGTCTTCATATAAACTCTAGACAGAAGCATTCTCAGAAGCTTCATTGGGATGTTTCAATTGAAGTCACAGTGTTGAACAGTCCCTTTCATAGAGCAGGTTTGAAACACTCTTTTTGTAGTATCTGGATGTGGACATTTGGAGCGCTTTCAGGCCTATGGTTTAAAAGGAAATATCTTCCCCTGAAAACTAGACAGAAGCAATGTCAGAAACTTTTTCAGTGATGTATCTACTCAGCTAACAGAGTTGAACCTTCCTTTGAGAGAGCAGTTTTGAAACACTCTTTTTGTGGAATCTGCAAGTGGATATTTGTCTAGCTTTGAAGATTTCGTTGGAAACGGGATTACATATAAAAAGGAGACAGCAGCATTCCCAGGAACATCTTTGTGATGTTTGCATTCAAGTCACAGAGTTGAACATTCCCTTTCATAGAGCAGGTTTGAAACACTCTTTTTGTAGTATCTGGATGTGGACATTTGGAGCGCTTTCAGGCCTATGGTGAAAAAGGAAATATCTTCCCCTGAAAACTAGACAGAAGCATTCTCAGAATCTTATTTGTGATGTGTGCCCTCAACTAACAGTGTTGAACCTTTCTTTTGATAGAGCAGTTTTGAAACACTCTTTTTGTAATATCTGCAAGAGGATATTTGGATAGCTTCGAGGATTTCGTTGGAAACGGGATTGTCTTCATATAAACTCTAGACAGAAGCATTGTCAGAAGCTTCATTGGGATGTTTCAATTGAAGTCACAGTGTTGAACAGTCCCTTTCATAGAGCAGGTTTCAAACACTCTTTTTGTAGTATCTGGAAGGGGACATTTGGAGCGCTCTCAGGACTACGGGGATAAAGGAAATATCTTCCAATAAAAGCTAGATAGAAGCAATGTCAGAAACTTTTTCATGATGTATCTACTCAGCTAAAAGAGTTGAACCTTTCTTTTGTGAGAGCAGTCTTGAAACACTATTTTTGTGGAATCTGCAAGTGGATATTTGTCTAGCTTTGAGGATTTCGTTGGAAACGAGATTACATATAAAAAGCAGACAGCAGCATTCCCAGAATCTTCTTTGTGATGTTTGCATTCAAGTCACAGAGTTGAACATTCCCTTTCATAGAGCAGGTTTGAAACACTCTTTTTGTAGTATCTGGATGTGGACATTTGGAGCGCTTTCAGGCCTACGGTGAAAATGGAAATATCTTCTCCTGAAAACTAGACAGAAGCATTCTCAGAAACTTATTTGTGATGTGCGCCCTCAACTAACAGTGTTGAAGCTTTCTTTTGATAGAGCAGTTTTGAAACACTCTTTTTGTAAAATCTGCAAGACGATATTTGGATAGCTTTGAGGATTTCGGTGGAAATGGGATTGTCTTCATATAAACTCTAGACAGTAGCATTCACAGAAGCCTCATTGGGATGTTTCAATTGAAGTCACAGTGTTGAACAGTCCCTTTCATAGAGCAGGTTTGAAACACTCTTTTTGTAGTATCTGGATGTGGACATTTGGAGCACTTTCAGGCCTATGGTGAAAAAGGAAATATCTTCCTCTGAAAACTAGACAGAAGCATTCTCAGAAACTTATTTGTGATGTGCGCCCTCAACTAACAGTGTTGAAGCATTCTTTTGATAGAGCAGTTTTGAAACACTCTTTTTGTGGAATCTGCAAGTGGATATTTGTCTAGCTTTGAGGATTTCGTTGGAAACGGGATTACATATAAAAAGCAGACAGCAGCATTCCCAGAATCTTGATTGTGATGTTTGCATTCAAGTCACAGAGTTCAACATTCCCTTTCAGAGAGCAGGTTTGAAACACTCTTTTTATAGTATCTGGATGTGGACATTTGGAGCGCTTTCAGGCCTATGGTGAAAAAGGAAATATCTTCTCCTGAAAACTAGACAGAAGCATTCTCAGAATCTTATTTGTGATGTGCGCCCTCAACTAACAGTGTTGAAGCTTTCTTTTGATAGAGCAGTTTTGAAACACTCTTTTTGTAAAATCTGCAAGAGGATATTTGGATAGCTTTGAGGATTTCGTTGGAAACGGGATTGTCTTCATATAAACTCTAGACAGAAGCATTCTCAGAAGCTTCATTGGGATGTTTCAATTGAAGTCACAGTGTTGAACAGTCCCTTTCATAGAGCAGGTTTGAAACACTCTTTTTGTAGTATCTGGAAGTGGACATTTGGAGCGCTCTCAGGACTACGGTGAAAAAGGAAATATCTTCCAATAAAAGCTAGATAGAAGCAATGTCAGAAACATTTTCATGATGTATCTACTCAGCTAACAGAGTTGAACCTTTCTTTTGAGAGAGCAGTTTTGAAACACTCTTTTTGTGGAATCTGCAAGTGGATATTTGTCTAGCTTTGAGGATTTCGTTGGAAACGGGATTACATATAAAAAGCAGACAGCAGCATTCCCAGAAACTTCTTTGTGATGTTTGCATTCACGTCACAGAGTTGAACAATCCCTTTCATAGAGCAGGTTTGAAACACTCTTTTTGTAGTATCTGGATGTGGACATTTGGAGCGCTTTCAGGCCTATGGTGAAAAAGGAAATATCTTCCCCTGAAAACTAGACAGAAGCATTCTCAGAATCTGATTTGTGATGTGCGCCCTCAACTAACAGTGTTGAAGCTTTCTTTTGATAGAGCAGTTTTGAAACACTCTTTTTGTAAAATCTGCAAGAGGATATTTGGATAGCTTTGAGGATTTCGTTGGAAACGGGATTGTCTTCATATAAACTCCAGACAGAAGCATTCTCAGAAGCTTCATTGGGATGTTTCAGTTGAAGTCACAGTGTTGAACAGTCCCTTTCATAGAGCAGGTTTGAAACACTCTTTTTGTAGTATCTGGAAGTGGACATTTGGAGCGCTCTCAGGACTGCGGTGAAAAAGGAAATATCTTCCAATAAAAGCTAGATAGAAGCAATGTCAGAAACTTTTTCATGATGTATCTACTCAGCTAACAGAGTTGAACCTTCCTTTGAGAGAGCAGTTTTGAAACACTCTTTTTGTGGAATCTGCAAGTGGATATTTGTCTAGCTTTGAGGATTGCGTTGGAAACGGGATTACATATAAAAAGCAGACAGCAGCATTCCCAGAAACTTCTTTGTGATGTTTGCATTCAAGTCACACAGTTGAACATTCCCTTTCATAGAGCAGGTTTGAAACACTCTTTTTGTAGTATCTGGATGTGGACATTTGGAGCGCTTTCAGGCCTATGGTGAAAAAGGAAATATCTTCCCCTGAAAACTAGACAGAAGCATTCTCAGAATCTTATTTGTGATGTGCGCCCTCAACTAACAGTGTTGAAGCTTTCTTTTGATAGAGCAGTTTTGAAACACTCTTTTTGTGAAATCTGCAAGAGGATATTTGGATAGCTTTGAGGAGTTCGTTGGAAACGGGATTGTCTACATATAAACTCTAGACAGAAGCATTCTCAGAAGCTTCATTGGGATGTTTCAATTGAAGTCACAGTGTTGAACAGTCCCTTTCATAGAGCAGGTTTGAAACACTCTTTTTGTAGTATCTGGAAGTGGACATTTGGAGCGCTCTCAGGACTGCGGTGAAAAAGGAAATATCTTCCAATAAAAGCTACATAGAAGCAATGTCAGAATCTTTTTCATGATGTGTCTACTCAGCTAACAGAGTTGAACCTTCCTTTGAGAGAGCAGTTTTGAAACACTCTTTTTGTGGAATCTGCAAGTGGATATTTGTCTAGCTTTGAGGATTTCGTTGGAAACGGGATTACATATAAAAAGCAGACAGCAGCATTCCCAGAATCTTGTTTGTGATGTTTGCATTCATGTCACAGAGTTGAACATTCCCTTTCAGAGAGCAGGTTTGAAACACTCTTTTTATAGTATCTGGATGTGGACATTTGGAGCGCTTTCAGGCCTATGGTGAAAAAGGAAATATCTTCTCCTGAAAACTAGACAGAAGCATTCTCAGAATCTTATTTGTGATGTGCGCCCTCAACTAACAGAGTTGAAGCTTTCTTTTGATAGAGCAGTTTTGAAACACTCTTTTTGTAAAATCTGCAAGAGGATATTTGGATAGCTTTGAGGATTTCGTTGGAAACGGGATTGTCTTCATATAAACTCTAGACAGAAGCATTCTCAGAAGCTTCATTGGGATGTTTCAATTGAAGTCACAGTGTTGAACAGTCCCTTTCATAGAGCAGGTTTGAAACACTCTTTTTGTAGTATCTGGATGTGGACATTTGGAGCGCTTTCAGGCCTATGGTTTAAAAGGAAATATCTTCCCCTGAAAACTAGACAGAAGCATTCTCAGAAACTTATTTGTGATGTGCGCCCTCAACTAACAGTGTTGAAGCATTCTTTTGATAGAGCAGTTTTGAAACACTCTTTTTGTGGAATCTGCAAGTGGATATTTGTCTAGCTTTGAGGATTTCGTTGGAAACGGGATTACATAGAAAAAGCAGACAGCAGCATTCCCAGAAACTTCTTTGTGATGTTTGCATTCAAGTCACAGAGTTGAACATTCCCTTTTATAGAGCAGGTTTGAAACACTCTTTTTGTAGTATCTGGATGTGGACATTTGGAGCGCTTTCAGGCCTATGGTGAAAAAGGAAATATCTTCCCCTGAAAACTAGACAGAAGCATTCTCAGAAACTTATTTGTGATGTGCGCCCTCAACTAACAGTGTTGAACCTTTCTTTTGATAGAGCAGATTTGAAACACTCTTTTTGTAATATCTGCAAGAGGATATTTGGATAGCTTTGAGGATTTCTTTGGAAACGGGATTGTCTTCATATAAACTCTAGACAGAAGCATTCTCAGAAGCTTCATTGGGATGTTTCAATTGAAGTTACAGTGTTGAACAGTCTCTTTCATAGAGCAGGTTTGAAACACTCTTTTTGTAGTATCTGGATGTGGACATTTGGAGCGCTTTCAGGCCTATGGTTTAAAAGGAAATATCTTCCCCTGAAAACTAGACAGAAGCAATGTCAGAAACTTTTTCATGATGTATCTACTCAGCTAACAGAGTTGAACCTTTCCTTTGAGAGAGCAGTTTTGAAACACTCTTTTTGTGGAATCTGCAAGTGGATATTTGTCTAGCTTTGAGGATTTCGTTGGAAACGGGATTGCATATAAAAAGCAGACAGCAGCATTCCCAGTAACTTCTTTGTGATGTTCGCATTCAAGTCACAGAGTTGAACATTCCCTTTCATAGAGCAGGTTTGAAACACTCTTTTTGTAGTATCTGGATGTGGACATTTGGAGCGCTTTCAGGCCTATGGTGAAAAAGGAAATATCTTCCCCTGAAAACTACACAGAAGCATTCTCAGAATCTTATTTGTGATGTGCGCCCTCAACTAACAGTGTTGAAGCTTTCTTTTGATAGAGCAGTTTTGAAACACTCTTTTTGTAAAATCTGCAAGAGGATATTTGGATAGCTTTGAGGATTTCGTTGGAAACGGGATTGTCTTCATATAAACTCTAGACAGAAGCATTCTCAGAAGCTTCATTGGGATGTTTCAATTGAAGTCACAGTGTTGAACAGTCCCTTTCATAGAGCAGGTTTGAAACACTCTTTTTGTAGTATCTGGATGTGGACATTTGGAGCGCTTTCAGGCCTATGGTGAAAAAGGAAATATCTTCCCCTGAAAACTAGACAGAAGCATTCTCAGAAACTTATTTGTGATGTGCGCCCTCAACTAACAGTGTTGAAGCTTTCTTTTGATAGAGCAGTTTTGAAACACTCTTTTTGTGGAATCTGCAAGTGGATATTTGTCTAGCTTTGAGGATTTCGTTGGAAACGGGATTACATATAAAAAGCAGACAGCAGCATTCCCAGTAACTTCTTTGTGATGTTTGCATTCAAGTCACAGAGTTGAACATTCCCTTTCATAGAGCAGGTTTGAAACACTCTTTTTGTAGTATCTTGATGTGGACATTTGCAGCGCTTTCAGGCCTACGGTGAAAAACGAAATATCTTCCCCTGAAAACTAGACAGAAGCATTCTCAGAAACTTATTTGCGATGGGCGCCCTCAACTAACAGTGTTGAAGCTTTCTTTTGATAGAGCAGTTTTGAAACACTCTTTTTGTAATATCTGCAAGAGGATATTTGGATAGCTTTGAGGATTTCGTTGGAAACGGGATTGTCTTCATATAAACTCTAGACAGAAGCATTCTCAGAAGCTTCATTGGGATGTTTCAATTGAAGTCACAGTGTTGAACAGTCCCTTTCATAGAGCAGGTTTGAAACACTCTTTTTGTAGTATCTGGATGTGGACATTTGGAGCGCTTTCAGGCCTATGGTTTAAAAGGAAATATCTTCCCCTGAAAAATAGACAGAAGCATTCTCAGAAACTTATTTGTGATGTGCGCCCTCAACTAACAGTGTTGAAGCATTCTTTTGATAGAGCAGTTTTGAAACACTCTTTTTGTGGAATCTGCAAGTGGATATTTGTCTAGCTTTGAGGATTTCGTTGGAAACGGGATTACATATAAAAAGCAGACAGCAGCATTCCCAGTAACTTCTTTGTGATGTTTGCATTCAAGCCAGAGAGTTGAACATTCCCTTTCATAGAGCAGGTTTGAAACACTCTTTTTGAAGTATCTGGTTGTGGACATTTGGAGCGCTTTCAGGCCTATGGTGAAAAAGGAAATATCTTCCCCTGAAAACTAGACAGAAGCATTCTCAGAAACTTATTTGTGATGTGCGCCCTCAACTAACAGTGTTAAACCTTTCTTTTGATAGAGTAGTTTTGAAACACTCTTTGTAAAATCTGCAAGAGGATATTTTGATAGCTTTGAGGATTTCTTTGGAAACGGGATTGTCTTCATATAAAATCTAGACAAAAGCATTCTCAGAAGCGTCATTGGGATATTTCAATTGAAGTCACAGTGTTGAACAGTCCCTTTCATAGAGCAGGTTTGAAACACTCTTTTTGTAGTATCTGGATGTGGACATTTGGAGCGCTTTCAGGCCTATGGTTTAAAAGGAAATATCTTCCCCTGAAAACTAGACAGAAGCAATGTCAGAAACTTTTTCATGATGTATCTACTCAGCTAACAGAGTTGAACCTTTCTTTTGAGAGAGCAGTTTTGAAACACTCTTTTTGTGGAATCTGCAAGTGGATAGTTGTCTAGCTTTGAGGATTTCGTTGGAAACGGGATTACATATAAAAAGCAGACAGCAGCATTCCCAGAAACTTCTTTGTGATGTTTGCATTCAAGTCACAGAGTTGAACATTCCCTTTCATAGAGCAGGTTTGAAACACTCTTTTTGTAGTATCTGGATGTGGACATTTGGAGCAATTTCATGCCTATGGTGAAAAAGGAAATATCTTCCCCTGAGAACTAGACAGAAGCATTCTCAGAAACTTATTTGTGATGTGCGCCCTCAACTAACAGTGTTGAACCTTTCTTTTGATAGAGCAGTTTTGAAACACTCTTTTTGTAATATCTGCAAGAGGATATTTGGATAGCTTTGAGGATTTCGTTGGAAACGGGATTACATATAAAAAGCAGAGAGCAGCATTCCCAGAATCTTGTTTGTGATGTTTGCATTCAAGTCACAGAGTTGAACATTCCCTTTCAGAGAGCAGGTTTGAAACACTCTTTTTATAGTATCTGGATGTGGACATTTGGAGCGCTTTCAGGCCTATGGTGAAAAAGGAAATATCTTCTCCTGAAAACTAGACAGAAGCATTCTCAGAATCTTATTTGTGATGTGCGCCCTCAACTAACAGTGTTGAAGCTTTCTTTTGATAGAGCAGTTTTGAAACACTCTTTTTGTAAAATCTGCAAGAGGATATTTGGATAGCTTTGAGGATTTCGTTGGAAACGGGATTGTCTTCATATAAACTCTAGACAGAAGCATTCTCAGAAGCTTCATTGGGATGTTTCAATTGAAGTCACAGTGTTGAACAGTCCCTTTCATAGAGCAGGTTTGAAACACTGTTTTTGTAGTATCTGGAAGTGGACATTTGGAGCGTTCTCAGGACTACAGAGAAAAAGGAAATATCTACCAATAAAAGCTAGATAGAAGCAATGTCAGAAACTTTTTCATGGTGTATCTACTCAGCTAACAGAGTTGAACCTTTCTTTTGAGAGAGCAGTTTTGAAACACTCTTTTTGTGGAATCTGCAAGTGCATATTTGTCTAGCTTTGAGGATTTCCGTTGGAAACGGGATTACATATAAAAAGCAGACAGCAGCATTCCCAGAAACTTCTTTGTGATGTTTGCATTAAAGTCACAGAGTTGAACATTCCCTTTCATAGAGCAGGTTTGAAACACTCTTTTTGTAGTATCTGGATGTGGACATTTGGAGCGCTTTCAGGCCTATGGTGAAAAAGGAAATATCTTCCCCTGAAAACTAGACAGAAGCATTCTCAGAATCTTATTTGTGATGTGCGCCCTCAACTAACAGTGTTGAAGCTTTCTTTTGATAGAGCAGTTTTGAAACACTCTTTTTGTAAAATCTGCAAGAGGATATTTGGATAGCTTTGAGGATTTCGTTGGAAACGGGATTGTCTTCATATAAACTCTAGACAGAAGCATTCTCAGAAGCTTCATTGGGATGTTTCAATTGAAGTCACAGTGTTGAACAGTCCCTTTCATAGAGCAGGTTTGAAACACTCTTTTTGTAGTATCTGGATGTGGACATTTCGAGCGCTTTCAGGCCTATGGTGAAAAAGGAAATATCTTCCCCTGAAAACTAGACAGAAGCATTCTCAGAAACTTATTTGTGATGTGCGCCCTCAACTAACAGTGTTGAAGCTTTCTTTTGATAGAGCAGTTTTGAAACACTCTTTTTGTAAAATCTGCAAGAGGATATTTGGATAGCTTTGAGGATTTCGTTGGAAACGGGATTGTCTTCATATAAACTCCAGACAGAAGCATTCTCAGAAACTCCTTTGTGATGTTTGCATTCAAGTCACAGAGTTGAACATTCCCTTTCATAGAGCAGGATTGAAAAACTCTTTTTGTAGAATCTGGATGTGGACATTTGGAGTGCTTTCAGGCCTATGGTGAAAAAGGAAATATCTTCCCCTGAAAGCTAGACAGAAGCACTCTCAGAAACTTAATTGTGATGTGTGCCCTCAACTAACAGTGTTGAACCTTTCTTTTCATAGAGCAGTTTTGAAACACAATTTTGTTAAATCTGCAAGAGGATATTTGGATAGCTTTGAGGATTTCGTTGGAAACGGGATTGTCTTCATATAAACTCTAGACAGAAGCATTCTTAGAAATTTCTTTGGGATGTTTCAATTGACGTCACAGTGTTGAACATTCCCTTTGATAGAGCAGGTTTGAAACACTCTTCTTGTAGTTTCTGGAAGTGGACATTTGGAGCGCTCTCAGGACTACAGTGAAAAAGGAAATATCTTCCAATAAAAGCTAGATAGAAGCAATGTCAGAAACTTTTTCATGACGTATCTACTCAGCTAACAGAGTTGAACCTTTCTTTTGAGAGAGCAGTTTTGAAACACTCTTTTTGTGGAATGTGCAAGTGGATATTTGTCTAGCTTTGAGGATTTCGTTGGAAACGGGATTACATATAAAAACAGACAGCAGCATTCCCAGTAACTTCTTTGTGATGTTTGCATTCAAGTCACAGAGTTGAACATTCCCTTTCATAGAGCAGGTTTGAAACACTTTTTTTGTAGTATCTGGATGTGGACATTTGGAGCGCTTTCAGGCCTATGGTGAAAAAGGAAATATCTTCCAATAAAAGCTACATAGAAGCAATGTCAGAAACTTTTTCATGATGTATCTACTCAGCTAACAGAGTTGAACCTTTCTTTTGAGAGAGCAGTTTTGAAACACTCTTTTTGTAAAATCTGCAAGAGGATATTTGGATAGCTTTGAGGATTTCGTTGGAAACGGGATTGTCTTCATATAAACTCTAGACAGAAGCATTCTCAGAAGCGTCATTGGGATGTTTCAATTGAAGTCACAGTGTTGAACAGTCCCTTTCATAGAGCAGGTTTGAAACACTCTTTTTGTAGTATCTGGATGTGGACATTTGGAGCGCTTTCAGGCCTATGGTGAAAAAGGAAATATCTTCCCCTGAAAACTAGACAGAAGCATTCTCAGAAAATTATTTGAGATGTGCGCCCTCAACTAACAGTGTTGAAGCTTTCTTTTGATAGAGCAGTTTTGAAACACTCTTTTTGTGGAATCTGCAAGAGGATATTTGTCTAGCTTTGAGGATTTCGTTGGAAACGGGATTACATATAAAAAGCAGACAGCAGCATTCTCAGTAAACTTATTTGTGATGTGCGCCCTCAACTAACAGTGTTGAACCTTTCTTTTGATAGAGCAGTTTTGAAACACTCTTTTTGTAATATCTGCAAGAGGATATTTGGATAGCTTTGAGGATTTCGTTGGAAACGGGATTGTCTTCATATAAACTCTAGACAGAAGCATTCTCAGAAGCTTCATTGGGATGTTTCAATTGAAGTCACAGTGTTGAACAGTCCCTTTCATAGAGCATGTTTGAAACAATCTTTTTGTAGTATCTGGAAGTGGACATTTGGAGCGCTCTCAGGACTACGGTGAAAAAGGAAATATCTTCCAAATAAAGCTAGATAGAAGCAATGTCAGAAAATTTCTCATGATGTATCTGTTCAGCTAACAGAGTTGAACCTTTCTTTTGACAGAGCAGTTTTGAAACACTCTTTTTGTGGAATCTGCAAGTGGATATTTTTCTAGCTTTGAGGATTTCGTTGGAAACGGGATTACATATAAAAAGCAGACAGCAGCATTCCCAGAAACATCTTTGTGATATTTGCATTCAAGTCACAGAGTTGAACATTCCCTTTCATAGAGCAGGTTTGAAACACTCTTTTTGTAGTATCTGGATGTGGACATTTGGAGCGCTTTCAGGCCTATGGTGAAAAAGGAAATATCTTCCCCTGAAAACTAGACAGAAGCATTCTCAGAAACTTATTTGTGATGTGCGCCCTCAACTAACAGTGTTGAAGCTTTCTTTTGATAGAGCAGTTTTGAAACACTCTTTTTGTAAAATCTGCAAGAGGATATTTGGATAGCTTTGAGGATTTCGTTGGAAACGGGATTGTCTTCATATACAATCTAGACAGAAGCATTCTCAGAAGCTTCATTGGGATGTTTCAATTGAAGTCACAGTGTTGAACACTCACTTTCGTAGAGCAGGTTTGAAACACTCTTTTTGTAATATCTGGAAGTGGACATTTGGAGCGTTCTCAGGACTATGGTGAAAAAGGAAATAACTTCCAATAAAAGCTAGATAGAAGCAATGTCAGAAACTTTTTCATGATGTATCTACTCAGCTAAGAGAGTTGAACCTTTCTTTTGAGAGAGCCGTTTTGAAACACTCTTTTTGTGGAATCTGCAAGTGGATATTTGTCTAGCTTTGAGGATTTCGTTGGAAACGGGATTACATATAAAAAGCAGACAGCAGCATTCCCAGAATCTTCTTTGTGATGTTTGCATTCAAGTCACAGAGTTGAACATTCCCTTTCATAGAGTACGTTTGAAACACTCTTTTTGTAGTATCTGGATGTGGACATTTGGAGCGCTTTCAGGCCTATGGTGAAAAAGGAAATATCTTCCCCTGAAAACTAGACAGAAGCATTCTCAGAAACTTATTTGTGATGTGCGCCCTCAACTAACAGTGTTGAAGCTTTCTTTTGATAGAGCAGTTTTGAAACACTCTTTTTGTAATATCTGCAAGAGGATATTTGGATAGCTTTGAGGATTTCGTTGGAAACGGGATTGTCTTCATATAAACTCTAGACAGAAGCATTCCCAGAAGCTTCATTGGGATGTTTCAATTGAAGTCACAGTGTTGAACAGTTCCTTTCATAGAACAGGTTTGAAACACTCTTTTTGTAGTATCTGGAAGTGGACATTTGGAGCGCTCTCAGGACTATGGTGAAAAAGGAAATATCTTCCAATAAAAGCTACATAGAAGCAATGTCAGAAACTTTTTCATGATGTATCTACTCAGCTAACAGAGTTGAACCTTTCCTTTGAGAGAGCAGTTTTGAAACACTCTTTTTGTGGAATCTGCAAGTGGATATTTGTCTAGCTTTGAGGATTTCGTTGGAAACGGGATTACATATAAAAAGCAGACAGCAGCATTCCCAGTAACTTCTTTGTGATGTTTGCATTCAAGTCACAGAGTTGAACATTCCCTTTCATAGAGCAGGTTTGAAACACTCTTTTTGTAGTATCTGGATGTGGACATTTGCAGCGTTTTCAGGCCTATGGTGAAAAAGGAAATATCTTCACCTGAAAACTAGACAGAAGCATTCTCAGAATCTTATTTGTGATGTGCGCCCTCAACTAACAGTGTTGAAGCTTTCTTTTGATAGAGCAGTTTTGAAACACTCTTTTTGTAAAATCTGCAAGAGGATATTTGGATAGCTTTGAGGATTTCGTTGGAAACGGGATTGTCTTCATATAAACTCTAGACAGAAGCATTCTCAGAAGCTTCATTGGGATGTTTCAATTGAAGTCACAGTGTTGAACAGTCCCTTTCATAGAGCAGGTTTGAAACACTCTTTTTGTAGTATCTGGAAGTGGACATTTGGAGCGCTCTCAGGACTACGGTGAAAAAGGAAGTATCTTCCAATAAAAGCTAGATAGAAGCAATGTCAGAAACTTTTTCATGATGTATCTACTCAGCAAACAGAGTTGAACCTTTCTTTTGAGAGAGCAGTTTTGAAACACTCTTTTTGTGGAATCTGCAAGTGGATATTTGTCTAGCTTTGAGGATTTCGTTGGAAACGGGATTACATATAAAAAGCAGACAGCAGCATTCCCGGAAACTTCTTTGTGATGTTTGCATTCAAGTCACACAGTTGAACATTCCCTTTCATAGAGCAGGTTTGAAACACTCTTTTTGTAGTATCTGTATGTGGACATTTGGAGCGCTTTCAGGCCTATGGTGAAAAAGGAAATATCTTCCCCTGAAAACTAGCCAAAAGCATTCTCAGAAACTTATTTGTGATGTGCGCCCTCAACTAACACTGTTGAACCTTTCTTTTGATAGAGCAGTTTTGAAACACTCTTTTTGTAATATCTGCAAGAGGATATTTGGATAGCTTTGAGGATTTCGTTGGAAACGGGATTGTCTTCATATAAACTCTAGACAGAAGCATTCCCAGAAGCTTCATTGGGATGTTTCAATTGAAGTCACAGTGTTGAACAGTCCCTTTCATAGAGCAGGTTTGAAACACTCTTTTTGTAGTATCTGGAAGTGGACATTTGGAACGCTCTCAGGACTGCGTTGAAAAAGGAAATATCTTCCAATAAAAGCTAGATAGAAGCAATGTCAGAAACTTTTTCATGATGTATCTACTCAGCTAACAGAGTTGAACCTTTCTTTTGAGAGAGCAGTTTTGAAACACTCTTTTTGTGGAATCTGCAAGTGGATATTTGTCTACCTTTGAGGATTTCGTTGGAAACGGGATTACATATAAAAACCAGACAGCAGCATTCCCAGAATCTTCTTTGTGATGTTTGCATTCAAGTCACAGAGTTGAACATTCCCTTTCATAGAGCAGGTTTGAAACACTCTTTTTGTAGTATCTGGATGTGGACATTTGGAGCGCTTTCAGGCCTATGGTGAAAAAGGAAATATCTTCCCCTGAAAACTAGACAGAAGCATTCTCAGAATCTTATTTCTGATGTGCGCCCTCAACTAACAGTGTTGAAGCTTTCTTTTGATAGAGCAGTTTTGAAACACTCTTTTTGTAAAATCTGCAAGAGGATACTAGGATAGCTTTGAGGATTTCGTTGGAAACGGGATTGTCTTCATATAAACTCTAGAAAGAAGCATTCTCAGAAGCTACATTGGGATGTTTCAGTTGAAGTCACAGTGCTGAACAGTCCCTTTCATAGAGCAGGTTTGAAACACTCTTTTTGTAGTATCTGGAAGTGGACATTTGGAGCGCTCTCAGGACTGCGGTGAAAAAGGAAATATCTTCCAATAAAAGCTAGATAGAAGCAATGTCAGAAACTTTTTCATGATGTATCTACTCAGGTAAAAGAGTTGAACCTTTCTTTTGAGAGAGCAGTTTTGAGACTCTCTTTTTGTGGAATCTGCAAGTGGATATTTGTCTAGCTTTGAGGATTTCGTTGGAAACGGGATTACATATAAAAAGCAGACAGCAGCATTCCCAGAAACTTCTTTGTGATATTTGCATTCAATCACAGACTTGAACATTCCCTTTCATAGAGCAGGTTTGAAACACTCTTTTTGTAGTATCTGGATGTGGACATTTGGAGCGCTTTCAGGCCTATCGTGAAAAAGGAAATATCTTCCCCTGAAAACTAGACAGAAGCATTCTCAGAAACTTATTTGTGATGTGCGCCCTCAACTAACAGTGTTGAAGCTTTCTTTTGATAGAGCAGTTTTGAAACACTCTTTTTGTAATATCTGCAAGAGGATATTTGGATAGCTTTGAGGATTTCGTTGGAAACGGGATTGTCTTCATATAAACTCTAGACAGAAGCATTCTCAGAAGCTTCATTGGGATGTTTCAATTGAAGTTGCAGTGTTGAACAGTCCCTTTCATAGAGCAGGTTTGAAACACTCTTTTTGTAGTATCTGGATGTGGACATTTGGAGCGCTTTCAGGCCTATGGTTTAAAAGGAAATATCTTCCCCTGAAAACTAGACAGAAGCATTCTCAGAAACTTATTTGTGATGTGCGCCCTCAAGTAAGAGTGTTGAAGCATTCTTTTGATAGAGCAGTTTTGAAACACTCTTTTTGTGGAATCTGCAAGTGGATATTTGTCTAGCTTTGAGGATTTCGTTGGAAACGGGATTACATATAAAAAGCAGACAGCAGCATTCCCAGAAACTTCTTTGTGATGTTTGCATTCACGTCACAGAGTTGAACATTCCCTTTCATAGAGCAGGTTTGAAACACTCCTTTTGTAGTATCTGGATGTGGACATTTGGAGCGCTTTCAGGCCTATGGTGAAAAAGGAAATATCTTCCCCTGAAAACTAGACAGAAGCATTCTCAGAAACTTATTTGTGATGTGCGCCCTCAACTAACAGTGTTGAAGCTTTCTTTTGATAGAGCAGTTTTGAAACACTCTTTTTGTAATATCTGCAAGAGGATATTTGGATAGCTTTGAGGATTTCGTTGGAAACGGGATTAATTATAAAAAGCAGACAGCATCATTCCCAGAATCTTGTTTGTGATGTTTGCATTCAAGTCACAGAGTTGAACATTCCCTTTCAGAGAGCAGGTTTGAAACACTCTTTTTATAGTATCTGGATGTGGACATTTGGAGCGCTTTCAGGCCTATGGTGAAAAAGGAAATATCTTCTCCTGAAAACTAGACAGAAGCATTCTCAGAAACTTATTTGTGATGTGCGCCGTCAACTAACAGTGTTGAACCTTTCTTTTGATAGAGTAGTTTTGAAACACTCTTTTTGTAAAATCTGCAAGAGGATATTTGGATAGCTTTGAGTATTTCGTTGGAAACGGGATTGTCTTCATATAAACTCTAGACAGTAGCATTCTGAGAAGCTTCATTGGGATGTTTCAATTGAAGTCACAGTGTTGAACAGTCCCTTTCATAGAGCAGGTTTGAAACACTCTTTTTGAAGCATCTGGAAGTGGACATTTGGAGCGCTCTCAGGACTACGGTGAAAAAGGAAATATCTTCCAATAAAAGCTAGATAGAAGCAATGTGAGAAACTTTTTCATGATGTATCTACTCAGCTAAAAGAGTTGAACCTTTCTTTTGAGAGAGCAGTTTTGAAACACTCTTTTTGTGGAATCTGCAAGTGGATATTTGTCTAGCTTTGAGGATTTCTTTGGAAACGGGAATACATATAAAAAGCAGACAGCAGCATTCCCAGAAACTTCTTTGTGATGTTTGCATTCAAGTCACAGAGTTGAACATTCCCTTTCATAGAGCAGGTTTGAAACACTCTTTTTGTAGTATCTGGATGTGGACATTTGGAGCGCTCTCAGGCCTATGGTTGAAAAGGAAATATCTTCCCCTGAAAACTAGACAGAAGCATTCTCAGAAACTTATTTGTGATGTGCGCCCTCAACTAACAGTGTTGAACTTTTCTTTTGATAGAGCAGTTTTGAAACACTCTTTTTGTAAAATCTGCAAGAGGATATTTGGATAGCTTTGAGGATTTCGTTGGAAACGGGATTGTCTTCATATAAAATCTAGACAGAAGCATTCTCAGAAGCTTCATTGGGATGTTTCAATTGAAGTCACAGTGTTGAACAGTCCCTTTCATAGAGCAGGTTTGAAACACTCTTTTTGTAGTATCTGGAAGTGGACATTTGGAGCGCTCTCAGGACTACGGTGAAAAAGGAAATATCTTCCAATAAAAGCTAGATAGAAGCAATGTCAGAAACTTTTTCATGATGTATCTACTCAGCTAAAAGAGTTGAACCTTTCTTTTGCGAGAGCAGTTTTGAAACACTATTTTTGTGGAATCTGCAAGTGGATATTTGTCTAGCTTTGAGGATTTCGTTGGAAACGGGATTACATATAAAAAGCAGACAGCAGCATTCCCAGTAACTTCTTTGTGATGTTTGCATTCAAGTCACAGAGTTGAACATTCCCTTTCATAGAGCAGGTTTGAAACACTTTTTTTGTAGTATCTGGATGTGTACATTTGGAGCGCTTTCAGGCCTATGGTGAAAAAGGAAATATCTTCCAATAAGAGCTAGATAGAAGCATTCTCAGAATCTTATTTGTGATGTGCGCCCTCAACTAACAGTGTTGAAGCTTTCTTTTGATAGAGCAGTTTTGAAACACTCTTTTTGTAAAATCTGCAAGAGGATATTTGGATAGCTTTGAGGATTTCGTTGGAAACGGGATTGTCTTCATATAAACTCTAGACAGAAGCATTCTCAGAAGCTTCATTGGGATGTTTCAATTGAAGTCACAGTGTTGAACAGTCCCTTTCATAGAGCAGGTTTGAAACACTCTTTTTGTAGTATCTGGACGTGGACATTTGGAGCGCTCTCAGGACTACGGTGAAAAAGGAAATATCTTCCAATAAAAGCTAGATAGAAGCAATGTCAGAAACTTTTTCATGATGTATCTACTCAGCTAACAGAGTTGAAACTTTCTTTTGAGAGAGCAGTTTTGAAACACTCTTTTTGTGGAATCTGCAAGTGGATATTTGTCTAGCTTTGAGGATTGCGTTGGAAACGGGATTACATATAAAAAGCAGACAGCAGCATTCCCAGAATCCTTGTTTGTGATGTTTGCATTCAAGTCACAGAGTTGAACATTCCCTTTCAGAGAGCAGGTTTGAAACACTCTTTTTATAGTATCTGGATGTGAACATTTGGAGCGCTTTCAGGCCTATGGTGAAAAAGGAAATATCTTCTCCTGAAAACTAGACAGAAGCATTCTCAGAATCTTATTTGTGATGTGCGCCCTCAACTAACAGTGTTGAAGCTTTCTTTTGATGGAGCAGTTTTGGAACACTCTTTTTGTAAAATCTGCAAGAGGATATTTGGATAGCTTTGAGGATTTCGTTGGAAACGGGATTGTCTTCATATAAACTCTAGACAGAAGCATTCTCAGAAGCTTCATTGGGATGTTTCAATTGAAGTCACAGTGTTGAACAGTCCCTTTCATAGAGCAGGTTTGAAACACTCTTTTTGTAGTATCTGGATGTGGACATTTGGAGCGCTTTCAGGCCTACGGTTTAAAAGGAAATATCTTCCCCTGAAAACTAGACAGAAGCATTCTCAGAAACTTATTTGTGATGTGCGCCCTCAACTAACAGTGTTGAAGCATTCTTTTGATAGAGCAGTTTTGAAACACTCTTTTTGTGGAATCTGCAAGTGGATATTTGTCTAGCTTTGAGGATTTCGTTGGAAACGGGATTACATATAAAAAGCAGACAGCAGCATTCCCAGAAACTTCTTTGTGATGTTTGCATTCAAGTCACAGAGTTGAACATTCCCTTTCATAGAGCAGGTTTGAAACACTCTTTTTGTAGTATCTGGATGTGGACATTTGGAGCGTTTTCAGGCCTATGGTGAAAAAGGAAATATCTTCCACTGAAAACTAGACAGAAGCATTCTCAGAAACTTATTTGTGATGTGCGCCCTCAACTAACAGTGTTGAACCTTTCTTTTGATAGAGCAGTTTTGAAACACTCTTTTTGTAATATCTGCAAGAGGATATTTGGATAGCTTTGAGGATTTCGTTGGAAACGGGATTACATATAAAAAGCAGACAGCAGCATTCCCAGAATCTTGTTTGTGATGTTTGCATTCAAGTCAGAGTTGAACATTCCCTTTCAGAGAGCAGGTTTGAAACACTCTTTTTATAGTATCTGGATGTGGACATTTGGAGCGCTTTCAGGCCTATGGTGAAAAAGGAAATATCTTCTCCTGAAAACTAGACAGAAGCATTCTCAGAATCTTATTTGTGATGTGCGCCCTCAACTAACAGTGTTGAAGCTTTCTTTTGATAGAGCAGTTTTGAAACACTCTTTTCGTAAAATCTGCAAGAGGATATTTTGATAGCTTTGAGGATTTCGTTGGAAACGGGATTGTCTTCATATAAACTCTAGACAGAAGCATTCTCAGAAGCTTCATTGGGATGTTTCAATTGAAGTCACAGTGTTGAACAGTCCCTTTCATAGAGCAGGTTTGAAACACTCTTTTTGTAGTATCTGGAAGTGGACATTTGGAGCGTTCTCAGGACTATAGTGAAAAAGGAAATATCTTCCAATAAAAGCTAGATAGAAGCAATGTCAGAAACTTTTTCATGATGTATCTACTCAGCTAACAGAGTTGAACCTTTCTTTTGAGAGAGCAGTTTTGAAACACTCTTTTTGTGGAATCTGCAAGTGGATATTTGTCTAGCTTTGAGGATTTCGTTGGAAACAGGATTACATATAAAAAGCAGACAGCAGCATTCCCAGTAACTTCTTTGTGATGTTTGCATTCAAGTCACAGAGTTGAACATTCCCTTTCATACAGCAGGTTTGAAACACTCTTTTTGTAGTATCTGGATGTGGACATTTGGAGCGCTTTCAGGCCTATGGTGAAAAAGGAAATATCTTCTCCTGAAAACTAGACAGAAGCATTCTCAGAATCTTATTTGTGATGTGTGCCCTCAACAAACAGTGTTGAAGCTTTCTTTTGATAGAGCAGTTTTGAAACACTCTTTTTGTAAAATCTGCAAGAGGATATTTGGATAGCTTTGAGGATTTCGTTGGAAACGGGATTGTCTTCATATAAACTCTAGACAGAAGCATTCTCAGAAGCTTCATTGGGATGTTTCAATTGAAGTCACAGTGTTGAACAGTCCCTTTCATAGACCAGGTTTGAAACACTCTTTTTGTAGTATATGGAAGTGGACATTTGGAGCGCTCTCAGGACTGCGGTGAAAAAGGAAATATCTTCCAATAAAAGCTACATAGAAGCAATGTCAGAAACTTTTTCATGATGTATCTACTCAGCTAACAGAGTTGAACCTTCCTTTGAGACAGCAGTTTTGAAACACTCTTTTTGTGGAATCTCCAAGTGGATATTTGTCTAGCTTTGAGGATTTCGTTGGAAACGGGATTACATATAAAAAGCAGACAGCAGCATTCCCAGAAACTTCTTTGTGATGTTTGCATTCAAGTCACAGAGTTGAACATTCCCTTTCATAGAGCAGGTTTGAAACACTCTTTTTGTAGTATCTGGATGTGGACATTTGGAGCGCTTTCAGGCCTATGGTGAAAAAGGAAATATCTTACCCTGAAAACTAGACAGAAGCATTCTCAGAATCTTATTTGTGATGTGCGCCCTCAACTAACAGTGTTGAAGCTTTCTTTTGATAGAGCAGTTTTGAAACACTCTTTTTGTAAAATCTGCAAGAGGATATTTGGATAGCTTTGAGGATTTCGTTGGAAACGGGATTGTCTTCATATAAACTCTAGACAGAAGCATTCTCAGAAGCTTCATTGGGATGTTTCAATTGAAGTCACAGTGTTGAACAGTCCCTTTCATAGAGCAGGTTTGAAACACTCTTTTTGTAGTATCTGGAAGTGGACATTTGGAGCGCTCTCAGGACTGCGGTGAAAAAGGAAATATCTTCCAATAAAAGCTAGATAGAAGCAATGTCAGAAACTTTTTCATGATGTATCTACTCAGCTAACAGATTTGAACCTTCCTTTGAGAGAGCAGTTTTGAAACACTCTTTTTGTGGAATCTGCAAGTGGATATTTGTCTAGCTTTGAGGATTTCTTTGGAAATGGGATTACATAAAAAAAGCAGACAGCAGCATTCCCAGAATCTTCTTTGTGATGTTTGCATTCAAGTCACACAGTTGAACATTCCCTTTCATAGAGCAGGTTTGAAACACTCTTTTTATAGTATCTGGATGTGGACATTTGGAGCGCTTTCAGGCCTATGGTGAAAAAGGAAATATATTCTCCTGAAAACTAGACAGAAGCATTCTCAGAATCTTGTTTGTGATGTGCGCCCTCAACTAACAGTGTTGAAGCTTTCTTTTGATAGAGCAGTTTTGAAACACTCTTTTTGTAAAATCTGCAAGAGGATATTTGGATAGCTTTGAGGATTTCGTTGGAAACGGGATTGTCTTCATATAAACTCTAGACAGAAGCATTCTCAGAAGCTTCATTGGGATGTTTCAATTGAAGTCACAGTGTTGAACAGTCCCTTTCATAGAGCAGGTTTGAAACACTCTTTTTGTAGTATCTGGATGTGGACATTTGGAGCGCTTTCAGGCCTATGGTGAAAAAGGAAATATCTTCCCCTGAAAACTAGACTGAAGCATTCTCAGAATCTTATTTGTGATGTGCGCCCTCAACTAACAGTGTTGAAGCTTTCTTTTGATAGAGCAGTTTTGAAACACTCTTTTCGTAAAATCTGCAAGAGGATATTTGGATAGCTTTGAGGATTTCGTTGGAAACGGGATTACATATAAAAAGCAGACAGCAGCATTCCCAGAATCTTCTTTGTGATGTTTGCATTCAAGTCACAGAGTTGAACATTCCCTTTCATAGAGCAGGTTTGAAACACTCTTTTTATAGTATCTGGATGTGGACATTTGGAGCGCTTTCAGGCCTATGGTGAAAAAGGAAATATATTCTCCTGAAAACTAGACAGAAGCATTCTCAGAATCTTATTTGTGATGTGCGCCCTCAACTAACAGTGTTGAAGCTTTCTTTTGATAGAGCAGTTTTGAAACACTCTTTTTGTAATATCTGCAAGAAGGATATTTGGATAGCTTTGAGGATTTCGTTGGAAACGGGATTGTCTTCATATAAACTCTAGACAGAAGCATTCTCAGAAGCTTCATTGGGATGTTTCAATTGAAGTCACAGTGTTGAACAGTCCCTTTCATAGAGCAGGTTTGAAACACTCTTTTTGTAGTATCTGGAAGTGGACATTTGGAGCGCTCTCAGGACTACGGTGAAAAAGGAAGTATCTTCCAATAAAAGCTAGATAGAAGCAATGTCAGAAACTTTTTCATGATGTATCTACTCAGCAAACAGAGTTGAACCTTTCTTTTGAGAGAGCAGTTTTGAAACACTCTTTTTGTGGAATCTGCAAGTGGATATTTGTCCAGCTTTGAGGATTTCGTTGGAAATGGGATTACATATAAAAAGCAGACAGCAGCATTCCCAGAAACTTCTTTGTGAAGTTTGCATTCAAGTCACAGAGTTGAACATTCCCTTTCATAGAGCAGGTTTGAAACACTCTTTTTGTAGTATCTGTATGTGGACATTTGGAGCGCTTTCAGGCCTATGGTGAAAAAGGAAATATCTTCCCCTGAAAACTAGACAGAAGCATTCTCAGAAACTTATTTGTGATGTGCGCCCTCAACTAACAGTGTTAAACCTTTCTTTTGATAGAGTAGTTTTGAAACACTCTTTTTGTAAAATCTGCAAGAGGATATTTGGATAGCTTTGAGGATTTCGTTGGAAACGGGATTGTCTTCATATAAAATCTAGACAGAAGCATTCTCAGAAGCTTCATTGGGATGTTTCAATTGAAGTCACAGTGTTGAACAGTCCCTTTCATAGAGCAGGTTTGAAACACTCTTTTTGTAGTATCTGGAAGTGGACATTTGGAACGCTCTCAGGACTGCGGTGAAAAAGGAAATATCTTCCAATAAAAGCTAGATAGAAGCAATGTCAGAAACTTTTTCATGATGTATCTACTCAGCTAACAGAGTTGAACCTTTCCTTTGAGAGAGCAGTTTTGAAACACTCGTTTTGTGGAATCTGCAAGTGGATATTTGTCTACCTTTGAGGATTTCGTTGGAAACGGGATTACATATAAAAAGCAGACAGCAGCATTCCCAGAAACTTCTTTGTGATGTTTGCATTCAAGTCACAGAGTTGAACATTCCCTTTCATAGAGCAGGTTTGAAACACTCTTTTTGTAGTATCTGGATGTGGACATTTGCAGCGCTTTCAGGCCTAAGGTGAAAAAGGAAATATCTTCCCCTGAAAACTAGACAGAAGCATTCTCAGAAACTTATTTGTGATGTGCGCCCTCAACTAACAGTGTTGAACCTTTCTTTTGATAGAGCAGTTTTGAAACACTCTTTTTGTAATATCTGCAAGAGGATATTTGGATAGCTTTGAAGATTTCGTTGGAAACGGGATTGTCTTCATATAAACTCTAGACAGAAGCATTCTCAGAAGCTTCATTGGGATGTTTCAATTGAAGTCACAGTGTTGAACAGTCCCTTTCATAGAGCAGGTTTGAAACACTCTTTTTGTAGTATCTGGATGTGGACATTTGGAGCGCTTTCAGGCCTATGGTTTAAAAGGAAATATCTTCCCCTGAAAACTAGACAGAAGCATTCTCAGAAACTTATTTGTGATGTGCGCCCTCAACTAACAGTGTTGAAGCATTCTTTTGATAGAGCAGTTTTGAAACACTCTTTTTGTGGAATCTGCAAGTGGATGTTTGTCTAGCTTTGAGGATTTCGTTGGAAACGGGATTACATATAAAAAGCAGACAGCAGCATTCCCAGTAACTTCTTTCTGATGTTTGCATTCAAGTCACAGAGTTGAACATTCCCTTTCATAGAGCAGGTTTGAAACACTCTTTTTGTAGTATCTGGATGTGGACATTTGGAGCGCTCTCAGGCCTATGGTGAAAAAGGAAATATCTTCCCCTGAAAACTAGACAGAAGCATTCTCAGAATCTTATTTGTGATGTGCGCCCTCAATTAATAGTGTTGAAGCTTTCTTTTGATAGAGCAGTTTTGAAACACTCTTTTTGTAAAATCTGCAAGAGGATATTTGGATAGCTTTGAGGATTTCGTTGGAAACGGGATTGTCTTCATATAAACTCTAGACAGAAGCATTCTCAGAAGCTTCATTGGGATGTTTCAATTGAAGTCACAGTGTTGAACAGTCCCTTTCATAGAGCAGGTTTGAAACACTCTTTTTGTAGTATCTGGATGTGGACATTTGGAGCGCTTTCAGGCCTATGGTTTAAAATGAAATATCTTCCCCTGAAAACTAGACAGAAGCATTCTCAGAAACTTATTTGTGATGTGCGCCCTCAACTAACAGTGTTGAAGCATTCTTTTGATAGAGCAGTTTTGAAACACTCTTTTTGTGGAATCTGCAAGTGGATGTTTGTCTAGCTTTGAGGATTTCGTTGGAAACGGGATTACATATAAAAAGCAGACAGCAGCATTCTCAGAAACTTATTTGTGATGTGCGCCCTCAACTAACAGTGTTGAAGCTTTCTTTTGATAGAGCAGTTTTGAAACACTCTTTTTGTAATATCTGCAAGAGGATATTTGGATAGCTTTGAGGATTTCGTTGGAAACGGGATTAATTATACAAAGCAGACAGCAGCATTCTGAGAAGCTTCATTGGGATGTTTCAATTGAAGTCACAGTGTTGAACAGTCCCTTTCATAGAGCAGGTTTGAAACACTCTTTTTGAAGCATCTGGAAGTGGACATTTGGAGCGCTCTCAGGACTACGGTGAAAAAGGAAATATCTTCCAATAAAAGCTAGATAGAAGCAATGTCAGAAACTTTTTCATGATGTATCTACTCGGCTAACAGAGTTGAACCTTTCTTTTGAGAGAGCAGTTTTGAAACACTCTTTTTGTGGAATCTGCAAGTGGATATTTGTCTAGCTTTGAGGATTTCGTTGGAAACGGGATTACATATAAAAAGCAGACAGCAGCATTCCCAGAATCTTCTTTGTGATGTTTGCATTCAAGTCACAGAGTTGAACATTCCCTTTCATAGTGCAGGTTTGAAAGACTCTTTTTGAAGTATCTGGATGTGGACATTTGGAGCGCTTTCAGGCCTATGGTGAAAAAGGAAATATCTTCCCCTGAAAACTAGACAGAAGCATTCTGAGAATCTTATTTGTGATGTGCGCCCTCAACTAACAGTGTTGAAGCTTTCTTTTGATAGAGCAGTTTTGAAACACTCTTTTTGTAAAATCTGCAAGAGGATATTTGGATAGCTTTGAGGATTTCGTTGGAAACGGGATTGTCTTCATATAAACTCTAGACAGAAGCATTCCCAGAAACTTCTTTGTGATGTTTGCATTCAAGTCACAGAGTTGAACATTCCCTTTCATAGAGCAGCTTTGAAACACTCTTTTTGTAGTATCTGGATGTGGACATTTGGAGCGCTTTCAGGCCTATGGTGAAAAAGGAAATATGTTCTCCTGAAAACTAGACAGAAGCATTCTCAGAAACTTATTTGTGATGTGCGCCCTCAACTAACAGTGTTGAACCTTTCTTTTGATAGAGCAGTTTTGAAACACTCTTTTTGTAGAGTCTGCAAGTGGATATTTGGATAGCTTAGAGGATTTCGTTGGAAACGGGAATATGTCCATACAAAACCTAGACAGAAGCATTCTCAGAAAAATCTCTGTGAGGATTGCATTCAAGTCCCAGTGTTGAACATTCTCTTTCATAAAGCAGGTGTGAACACAGGATGTTGTAGTATATGGAACTGGACTTTTGGAGTGCTTTGTGACCTATTGTGAAAAAGGAAATATCTTCCCATATAAACTAGGCAGAAGCATTCTCAGAATCTTATTTGTGATGTGCGCCCTCAACTAACAGTGTTGAAGCTTTCTTTTGATAGAGCAGTTTTGAAACACTCTTTTTGTAAAATCTGCAAGAGGATATTTGGATAGCTTTGAGGATTTCTTTGGAAACGGGATTGTCTTCATATAAACTCTAGACAGAAGCATTCTCAGAAGCTTCATTGGGATGTTTCAATTGAAGTCACAGTGTTGAACAGTCCCTTTCATAGAGCAGGTTTGAAACACTCTTTTTGTAGTATCTGGATGTGGACATTTGGAGCGCTTTCAGGCCTATGGTGAAAAAGGAAATATCTTCCCCTGAAAACTAGACAGAAGCATTCTCAGAAACTTATTTGTGATGTGCGCCCTCAACTAACAGTGTTGAAGCTTTCTTTTGATAGAGCAGTTTTGAAACACTCTTTTTGTGGAATCTGCAAGTGGATATTTGTCTAGCTTTGAGGATTTCGTTGGAAACGGGATTACATATAAAAAGCAGACAGCAGCATTCCCAGAATCTTGTTTGTGATGTTTGCATTCAAGTGACAGAGTTGAACATTCCCTTTCAGAGAGCAGGTTTGAAACACTCTTTTTATAGTATCTGGATGTGGACATTTGGAGTGCTTTCAGGCCTATGGTGAAAAAGGAAATATCTTCTCCTGAAATCTAGACAGAAGCATTCTCAGAATCTTATTTGTGATGTGCACCCTCAACTAACAGTGTTGAAGCTTTCTTTTGATAGAGCAGTTTTGAAACACTCTTTTCGTAAAATCTGCAAGAGGATATTTGGATAGCTTTGAGGATTTCGTTGGAAACGGGATTGACTTCATACAAACTCTAGACAGAAGCATTCTCAGAAGCTTCATTGGGATGTTTCAATTGAAGTCACAGTGTTGAACAGTCCCTTTCATAGAGCAGGTTTGAAACACTCTTTTTGTAATATCTGCAAGTGGACATTTGGAGCGCTCTCAGGACTGCGGTGAAAAAGGAAATATCTTCCAATAAAAGCTAGATAGAAGCAATGTCAGAAACTTTTTCATGATGTATCTACTCAGCTAACAGAGTTGAACCTTCCTTTGAGAGAGCAGTTTTGAAACACTCTTTTTGTGGAATCTGCAAGTGGATATTTGTCTAGCTTTGAGGATTTCGTTGGAAACGGGATTACATATAAAAAGCAGACAGCAGCATTCCCAGAAACTTCTTTGTGATGTTTGCATTCAAGTCACAGAGTTGAACATTCCCTTTCATAGAGCAGGTTTGAAACACTCTTTTTGTAGTATCTGGATGTGGACATTTGCAGCGCTTTCAGGCCTATGGTGAAAAAGGAAATATCTTCCCCTGAAAACTACACAGAAGCATTCTCAGAATCTTATTTGTGATGTGCGCCCTCAACTAACAGTGTAGAAGCTTTCTTTTGATAGAGCAGTTTTGAAACACTCTTTTTGTAAAATCTGCAAGAGGATATTTGGATAGCTTTGAGGATTTCGTTGGAAACGGGATTGTCTTCATATAAACTCTAGACAGAAGCATTCTCAGATGCTTCATTGGGATGTTTCAATTGAAGTCACAGTGTTGAACAGTCCCTTTCATAGAGCAGGTTTGAAACACTCTTTTTGTAGTATCTGGATGTGGACATTTGGAGCGCTTTCAGGCCTATGGTGAAAAAGGAAATATCTTCCCCTGAAAACTAGACAGAAGCATTCTCAGAAACTTATTTGTGATGTGCCCCCTCAACTAACAGTGTTGAAGCTTTCTTTTGATAGAGCAGTTTTGAAACACTCTTTTTGTGGAATCTGCAAGTGGATATTTGTCTAGCTTTGAGGATTTCGTTGGAAACGGGATTACATATAAAAAGCAGACAGCAGCATTCCCAGAATCTTCTTTGTGATGTTTGCATTCAAGTCACAGAGTTGAACATTCCCTTTCATAGAGCAGGTTTGAAACACTCTTTTTGTAGTATCTCGATGTGGACATTTGGAGCGCTTTCAGGCCTATGGTGAAAAAGGAAATATCTTCTCCTGAAAACTAGACAGAAGCAATGTCAGAAACTTTTTCATGATGTATCTACTCTGCTAACAGAGTTGAACCTTTCTTTTGAGAGAGCAGTTTTGAAACACTCTTTTTGTAAAATCTGCAAGAGGATATTTGGATAGCTTTGAGGATTTCGTTGGAAACGGGATTGTCTTCATATAAACTCTAGACAGAAGCATTCTCAGAAGCGTCATTGGGATGTTTCAATTGAAGTCACAGTGTTGAACACTCCCTTTCATAGAGCAGGTTTGAAACACTCTTTTTGTAGTATCTGGATGTGGACATTTGGGGCGCTTTCAGGCCTATGGTTTAAAAGGAAATATCTTCCCCTGAAAACTAGACAGAAGCATTCTCAGAAACTTATTTGTGATGTGCGCCCTCAACTAACAGTGTTGAAGCTTTCTTTTGATAGAGCAGTTTTGAAACACTCTTTTTGTGGAATCTGCAAGTGGATATTTGTCTAGCTTTGAGGATTTCGTTGGAAACGGGATTACATATAAAAAGCAGACAGCAGCATTCCCAGAATCTTGTTTGTGATGTTTGCATTCATGTCACAGAGTTGAACATTCCCTTTCAGAGAGCAGGTTTGAAACACTCTTTTTATAGTATCTGGATGTGGACATTTGGAGCGCTTTCAGGCCTATGGTGAAAAAGGAAATATCTTCTCCTGAAAACTAGACAGAAGCTTTCTCAGAATCTTATTTGTGATGTGCGCCCTCAACTAACAGTGTTGAAGCTTTCTTTTGATAGAGCAGTTTTGAAACACTCTTTTCGTAAAATCTGCAAGAGGATATTTTGATAGCTTTGAGGATTTCGTTGGAAACGGGATTGTCTTCATATAAACTCTAGACAGAAGCATTCTCAGAAGCTTCATTGGGATGTTTCAATTGAAGTCACAGTGTTGAACAGTCCCTTTCATAGAGCAGGTTTGAAACACTCTTTTTGTAGTATCTGGAAGTGGACACTTGGAGAGATCTCAGGAATACGGTGATAAAGGAAATATCTTCCAATAAAAGCTAGATAGAAGCAATGTCAGAAACTTTTTCATGATGTATCTACTCAGCTAACAGAGTTGAACCTTTCCTTTGAGAGAGCAGTTTTGAAACACTCTTTTTGTGGAATCTGCAAGTGGATATTTGTCTAGCTTTGAGGATTTCGTTGGAAACGGGATTACATATAAAAAGCAGACAGCAGCATTCCCAGTAACTTCTTTGTGATATTTGCATTCAAGTCACAGAGTTGAACATTCCCTTTCATAGAGCAGGTTTGAAACACTCTTTTTGTAGTATCTGGATGTGGACATTGGGAGCGCTTTCAGGCCTATGGTGAAAAAGGAAATATCTTCCCCTGAAAACTAGACAGAAGCATTCTCAGAATCTTATTTGTGATGTGCGCCCTCAACTAACAGTGTTGAAGCTTTCTTTTGATAGAGCAGTTTTGAAACACTCTTTTTGTAAAATCTGCAAGAGGATATTTGGATAGCTTTGAGGATTTCGTTGGAAACGGGATTGTCTTCATATAAACTCTAGACAGAAGGATTCTCAGAAGCTTCATTGGGATGTTTCAATTGAAGTCACAGTGTTGAACAGTCCCTTTCATAGAGCAGGTTTGAAACACTCTTTTTGTAGTATCTGGAAGTGGACATTTGGAGCGCTCTCAGGACTACGGTGAAAAAGGAAGTATCTTCCAATAAAAGCTAGATAGAAGCATTCTCAGAAACTTATTTGTGATGTGCGCCCTCAACTAACAGTGTTGAAGCATTCTTTTGATAGAGCAGTTTTGAAACACTCTTTTTGTGGAATCTGCAAGTGGATATTTGTCTACCTTTGAGGATTTCGTTGGAAACGGGATTACATATAAAAAGCAGACAGCAGCATTCCCAGTAACTTCTTTGTGATGTTTGCATTCAAGTCAGAGAGTTGAACATTCCCTTTCATAGAGCAGGTTTGAAACACTCTTTTTGAAGTATCTGGTTGTGGACATTTGGAGCGCTTTCAGGCCTATGGTGAAAAAGGAAATATCTTCCCCTGAAAACTAGACAGAAGCATTCTCAGAAACTTATTTGTGATGTGCGCCCTCAACTAACAGTGTTGAACCTTTCTTTTGATAGAGCAGTTTTGAAACACTCTTTTTGTAATATCTGCAAGAGGATATTTGGATAGCTTTGAGGATTTCGTTGGAAACGGGATTGTCTTCATATAAACTCTAGACAGAAGCATTCTCAGAAGCTTCATTGGGATGTTTCAATTGAAGTCACAGTGTTGAACAGTCCCTTTCATAGAGCAGGTTTGAAACACTCTTTTTGTAGTATCTGGAGATGGACATTTGGAGCGCTCTCAGGACTACGGTGATAAAGGAAATATCTTCCAATAAAAGCTACATAGAAGCAATGTCAGAAACTTTTTCATGATGTATCTACTCAGCTAACAGAGTTGAACATTTTTTTTGAGAGAGCAGTTTTGAAACACTCTTTTTGTGGAATCTGCAGGTGGATATTTGTCTAGCTTTCAGGATTTCGTTGGAAACGGGATTACATATAAAAAGCAGACAGCAGCATTCCCAGAAACTTCTTTGTGATGTTTGCATTCAAGTCACAGAGATGAACATTCCCTTTCATAGAGCAGGTTTGAAACACTCTTTTTGTAGTATCTGGATGCGGACATTTGGAGCGCTTTCAGGCCTATGGTGAAAAAGGAAATATCTTCCCCTGAAAACTAGACAGAAGCATTCTCAGAATCTTATTTGTGATGTGCGCCCTCAACTAACAGTGTTGAAGCTTTCTTTTGATAGAGCAGTTTTGAAACACTCTTTTTGTAAAATCTGCAAGAGGATATTTGGATAGCTTTGAGGATTTCGTTGGAAACGGGATTGTCTTCATATAAACTCTAGACAGAAAGCATTCTCAGATGCTTCATTGGGATGTTTCAATTGAAGTCACAGTATTGGACAGTCCCTTTCTTAGAGCAGGTTTGAAACACTCTTTTTGTAGTATCTGGATGTGGACATTTGGAGCGCTTTCATGCCTATGGTGAAAAAGGAAATATCTTCCCCTGAAAACTAGACAGAAGCATTCTCAGAAACTTATTTGTGATGTGCGCCTTCAACTAACAGTGTTGAAGCATTCTTTTGATAGAGCAGTTTTGAAACACTCTTTTTGTGGAATCTGCAAGTGGATATTTGTCTAGCTTTGAGGATTTCGTTGGAAACGGGATTACATATAAAAAGCAGACAGCAGCATTCCCAGAAACTTCTTTGTGATGTTTGCATTCAAGTCACAGAGTTGAACATTCCCTTTCATAGAGCAGGTTTGAAACACTCTTTTTGTAGTATCTGGATGTGGACATTTGCAGCGCTTTCAGGCCTAAGGTGAAAAAGGAAATATCTTCCCCTGAAAACTAGACAGAAGCATTCTCAGAAACTTATTTGTGATGTGCGCCCTCAACTAACAGTGTTGAAGCTTTCTTTTGATAGAGCAGTTTTGAAACACTCTTTTTGTAATATCTGCAAGAGGATATTTGGATAGCTTTGAGGATTTCGTTGGAAACGGGATTGTCTTCATATAAACTCTAGACAGAAGCATTCTCAGAAGCTTCATTGGGATGTTTCAATTGAAGTCACAGTGTTGAACAGTTCCTTTCATAGAACAGGTTTGAAACACTCTTTTTGTAGTATCTGGAAGTGGACATTTGGAGCGCTCTCAGGACTACGGTGAAAAAGGAAATATCTTCCAATAAAAGCTACATAGAAGCAATGTCAGAAACTTTTTCATGATGTATCTACTCAGCTAACAGAGTTGAACCTTTCCTTTGAGAGAGCAGTTTTGAAACACTCTTTTTGTGGAATCTGCAAGTGGATATTTGTCTAGCTTTGAGGATTTCGTTGGAAACGGGATTACATATAAAAAGCAGACAGCAGCATTCCCAGTAACTTCTTTGTGATGTTTGCATTCAAGTCACAGAGTTGAACATTCCCTTTCATAGAGCAGGTTTGAAACACTCTTTTTGAAGTATCTGGATGTGGACATTTGGAGCGCTCTCAGGACTACGGTGATAAAGGAAATATCTTCCAATAAAAGCTAGATAGAAGCATTCTCAGAATCTTATTTGTGATGTGCGCCCTCAACTAACAGTGTTGAAGCTTTCTTTTGATAGAGCAGTTTTGAAACACTCTTTTTGTAAAATCTGCAAGAGGATATTTGGATAGCTTTGAGGATTTCGTTGGAAACGGGATTGTCTTCATATAAACTCTAGACAGAAGCATTCTCAGAAGCTTCATTGGGATGTTTCAATTGAAGTCACAGTGTTGAACAGTCCCTTTCATAGAGCACGTTTGAAACACTCTTTTTGTAGTATCTGGAAGTGGACATTTGGAGCGCTCTCAGGACTGCGGTGAAAAAGGAAATATCTTCCAATAAAAGCTAGATAGAAGCAATGTCAGAAACTTTTTCATGATGTATCTACTCAGGTAACAGAGTTGAACCTTTCTTTTGAGAGAGCAGTTTTGAAACACTCTTTTTGTGGAATCTGCAAGTGGATATTTGTCTAGCTTTGAGGATTTCGTTGGAAACGGGATTACATATAAAAAGCAGACAGCAGCATTCCCACAAACTTCTTTGTGATGTTTGCATTCAAGTCACAGAGTTGAACATTCCCTTTCATAGAGCAGGTTTGAAACACTCTTTTTGTAGTATCTGGATGTGGACATTTGGAGCGCTTTCAGGCCTATGGTGAAAAAGGAAATATCTTCCCCTGAAAACTAGACAGAAGCATTCTCAGAAACTTATTTGTGATGTGCGCCCTCAACTAACAGTGTTGAACCTTTCTTTTGATAGAGCAGTTTTGAAACACTCTTTTTGTAAAATCTGCAAGAGGATATTTGGATAGCTTTGAGGATTTCGTTGGAAACGGGATTGTCTTCATATAAACTCTAGACAGAAGCATTCTCAGAAGCTTCATTGGGATGTTTCAATTGAAGTCACAGTGTTGAACAGTCCCTTTCATAGAGCAGGTTTGAAACACTCTTTTTGTAGTATCTGGATGTGGACATTTGGAGCGCTTTCAGGCCTATGGTGAAAAAGGAAATATCTTCCCCTGAAAACTAGACAGAAGCATTCTCAGAAACTTATTTGTGATGTGCGCCCTCAACTAACAGTGTTGAAGCTTTCTTTTGATAGAGCAGTTTTGAAACACTCTTTTTGTGGAATCTGCAAGTGGATATTTGTCTAGCTTTGAGGATTTCGTTGGAAACGGGATTACATATAAAAAGCAGACAGCAGCATTCCCAGAATCTTCTTTGTGATGTTTGCATTCAAGTCACAGAGTTGAACATTCCCTTTCATAGAGCAGGTTTGAAACACTCTTTTTGTAGTATCTGGATGTGGACATTTGGAGCGCTTTCAGGCCTATGGTGAAAAAGGAAATATACTTCCCCTGAGAACTAGACAGAAGCATTCTCAGAAACTTATTTGTGATGTGCGCCCTCAACTAACAGTGTTGAAGCTTTCTTTTGATAGAGCAGTTTTGAGACACTCTTTTTGTAAAATCTGCAAGAGGATATTTGGATAGCTTTGAGGATTTCGTTGGAAACGGGATTGTCTTCATATAAACTCTAGACAGAAGCATTCTCAGAAGCTTCATTGGGTTGTTTCAATTGAAGTCACAGTGTTGAACAGTCCCTTTCATAGAGCAGGTTTGAAACACTCTTTTTGTAGTATCTGGAAGTGGACATTTGGAGAGTTCTCAGGAATACGGTGAAAAAGGAAATATCTTCCAATAAAAGCTAGATAGAAGCAATGTCAGAAAGTTTTTCATGATGTATCTACTCAGCTAACAGAGTTGAACATTTCTTTTGAGAGAGCAGTTTTGAAACACTCTTTTTGTGGAATCTGCAAGTGGATATTTGTCTAGCTTTGAGAATTTCGTTGGAAATGGGATTACATATAAAAAGCAGACAGCAGCATTCCCAGAAACTTCTTTGTGAAGTTTGCATTCAAGTCACAGAGTTGAACATTCCCTTTCATAGAGCAGGTTTGAAACACTCTTTTTGTAGTATCTGTATGTGGACATTTGGAGCGCTTTCAGGCCTATGGTGAAAAAGGAAATATCTTCCCCTGAAAACTAGACAGAAGCATTCTCAGAATCTTATTTGTGATGTGCGCCCTCAACTAACAGTGTTGAAGCTTTCTTTTGATAGAGCAGTTTTGAAACACTGTTTTTGTAAAATCTGCAAGAGGATATTTGGATAGCTTTGAGGATTTCTTTGGAAACGGGATTGTCTTCATATAAACTCTAGACAGAAGCATTCTCAGAAGCTTCATTGGGATGTTTCAATTGAAGACACAGTGTTGAACAGTCCCTTTCATAGAGCAGGTTTGAAACACTCTTTTCGTAGTATCTGGAAGTGGACATTTGGAGCGCTCTCAGGACTACGGTGAAAAAGGAAGTATCTTCCAATAAAAGCTAGATAGAAGCAATGTCAGAAACTTTTTCATGGTGTATCTACTCAGCTAACAGAGTTGAACCTTTCTTTTGAGAGAGCAGTTTTGAAACACTCTTTTTGTGGAATCTGCAAGTGCATATTTGTCTAGCTTTGAGGATTTCGTTGGAAACGGGATTACATATAAAAAGCAGACAGCAGCATTCCCAGAAACTACTTTGTGATGTTTGCATTCAAGTCACAGAGTTGAACATTCCCTTTCATAGAGCAGGTTTGAAACACTCTTTTTGTAGTATCTGGATGTGGACATTTGGAGCGCTTTCAGGCCTATGGTGAAAAAGGAAATATCTTCCCCTGAAAACTAGACAGAAGCATTCTCAGAATCTTATTTGTGATGTGCGCCCTCAACTAACAGTGTTGAAGCTTTCTTTTGATAGAGCAGTTTTGAAACACTCTTTTTGTAAAATCTGCAAGAGGATATTTGGATAGCTTTGAGGATTTCGTTGGAAACGGGATTGTCTTCATATAAACTCTAGACAGAAGCATTCTCAGAAGCTTCATTGGGATGTTTCAATTGAAGTCACAGTGTTGAACAGTCCCTTTCATAGAGCAGGTTTGAAACACTCTTTTTGTAGTATCTGGAAGTGGACATTTGGAGCGCTCTCAGGACTGCGATGAAAAAGGAACTATCTTCCAATAAAAGCTAGATAGAAGCAATGTCAGAAACTTTTTCATGATGTATCTACTCAGCTAACAGAGTTGAACCTTCCTTTGAGAGAGCAGTTTTGAAACACTCTTTTTGTGGAATCTGCAAGTGGATATTTGTCTAGCTTTGAGGATTTCGTTGGAAACGGGATTACATATAAAAAGCAGACAGCAGCATTCCCAGAAACTTCTTTGTGATGTTTGCATTCACGTCACAGAGTTGAACTTTCCTTTTCATAGAGCAGGTTTGAAACACTCTTTTTCTAGTATCTGGATGTGGACATTTGGAGCGCTTTCAGGCCTATGGTGAAAAAGGAAATATCTTCCCCTGAAAACTAGACAGAAGCATTCTCAGAAACTTATTTGTGATGTGCGCCCTCAACTAACAGTGTTGAAGCTTTCTTTTGATAGAGCAGTTTTGAAACACTCTTTTTGTAATATCTGCAAGAGGATATTTGGATAGCTTTGAGGATTTCGTTGGAAACGGGATTGTCTTCATATAAACTCTAGACAGAAGCATTCTCAGAAGCTTCATTGGGATGTTTCAATTGAAGTCACAGTGTTGAACAGTCCCTTTCATAGAGCAGGTTTGAAACACTCTTTTTGTAGTATCTGGAAGTGGACATTTGGAGCGCTCTCAGGACTACGGTGAAAAAGGAAGTATCTTCCAATAAAAGCTAGATAGAAGCAATGTCAGAAACTTTTTCATGATGTATCTACTCAGCAAACAGAGTTGAACCTTTCTTTTGAGAGAGCAGTTTTGAAACACTCTTTTTGTGGAATCTGCAAGTGGATATTTGTCTAGCTTTGAGGATTTCGTTGGAAACGGGATTACATATAAAAAGCAGACAGCAGCATTCCCAGAAACTTCTTTGTGATATTTGCATTCAAGTCACAGAGTTGAACATTCCCTTTCATAGAGCAGGTTTGAAACACTCTTTTTGTAGTATCTGGATGTGGACATTTGGAGCGCTTTCAGGCCTATGGTGAAAACGGAAATATCTTCCCCTGAAAACTAGACAGAAGCATTCTCAGAATCTTATTTGTGATGTGCGCCCTCAACTAACAGTGTTGAAGCTTTCTTTTGATAGAGCAGTTTTGAAACACTCTTTTTGTAAAATCTGCAGGAGGATATTTGGATAGCTTGAGGATTTCGTTGGAAACGGGATTGTCTTCATATAAACTCTAGACAGAAGCATTCTCAGAAGCTTCATTGGGATGTTTCAATTGAAGTCACAGTGTTGAACAGTCCCTTTCATAGAGCAAGTTTGAAACACTCTTTTTGTAGTATCTGGAAGTGGACATTTGGAGCGCTCTCAGGACTACGGTGATAAAGGAAATATCTTCCAATAAAAGCTAGATAGAAGCAATGTCAGAAACTTTTTCATGATGTATCTACTCAGCTAACAGAGTTGAACCTTTCTTTTGAGAGAGCAGTTTTGAAACACTCTTTTTGTGGAATCTGCAAGTGGATATTTGTCTAGCTTTGAGGATTTCGTTGGAAACGGGATTACATAGAAAAAGCAGACAGCAGCATTCCCAGTAACTTCTTTGTGATGTTTGCATTCAAGTCACAGAGTTGAACATTCGCTTTCATAGAGCAGGTTTGAAACACTCTTTTTGTAGTATCTGGATGTGGACATTTGGAGCGCTTTCAGGCCTATGGTGAAAAAGGAAATATCTTCCCCTGAAAACTAGACAGAAGCATTCTCAGAATGTTATTTGTTATGTGCGCCCTCAACTAACAGTGTTGAAGCTTTCTTTTGATAGAGCAGTTTTGAAACACTCTTTTTATAAAATCTGCAAGAGGAGATTTGGATAGCTTTGAGGATTTCTTTGGAAACGGGATTGTCTTCATATAAACTCTAGACAGAAGCATTCTCAGAAGCTTCATTGGGATGTTTCAATTGAAGTCACAGTGTTGAACAGTCCCTTTCATAGAGCAGGTTTGAAACACTCTTTTTGTAGTATCTGGATGTGGACATTTAGAGCGATTTCAGGCCTATGGTGAAAAAGGAAATATCTTCCCCTGAAAACTAGACAGAAGCAATGTCAGAAAATTTTTCATGATGTATCTACTCAGCTAACAGAATTTAACCTTTCTTTTGAGAGAGCAGTTTTGAAACACTCTTTTTGTGGAATCTGCAAGTGGATATTTGTCTAGGTTTGAGGATTTCGTTGGAAACCGGATTACATATGAAAAGCAGACAGCAGCATTCCCAGAAACTTCTTTGTGATGTTTGCATTCAAGTCACAGAGTTGAACATTCCCTTTCAGAGAGCAGGTTTGAAACACTCTTTTTGTAGTATCTGGATGTGGACATTTGGAGCGCTTTCAGGCCTATGGTGAAAAAGGAAATATCTTCCCCTGAAAACTAGACAGAAGCATTCTCAGAAACTTATTTGTGATGTGCGCCCTCAACTAACAGTGTTGAACCTTTCTTTTGATAGAGCAGTTTTGAAACACTCTTTTTGTAATATCTGCAAGAGGATATTTGGATAGCTTTGAGGATTTCGTTGGAAACGGGATTGTCTTCATATAAACTCTAGACAGAAGCATTCTCAGAAGCTTCATTGGGATGTTTCAATTGAAGTCACTGTGTTGAACAGTTCCTTTCATAGAACAGGTTTGAAACACTCTTTTTGTAGTATCTGGAAGTGGACATTTGGAGCGCTCTCAGGACTACGGTGAAAAAGGAAATATCTTCCAATAAAAGCTACATAGAAGCAATGTCAGAAACTTTTTCATGATGTATCTACTCAGCTAACAGAGTTGAACCTTTCCTTTGAGAGAGCAGTTTTGAAACACTCTTTTTGTGGAATCTGCAAGTGGATATTTGTCTAGCTTTGAGGATTTCGTTGGAAACGGGATTACATATAAAAAGCAGACAGCAGCATTCCCAGTAACTTCTTTGTGATGTTTGCATTCAAGTCACAGAGTTGAACATTCCCTTTCATAGAGCAGGTTTGAAACACTCTTTTTGTAGTATCTGGATGTGGACATTTGGAGCGCTTTCAGGCCTATGGTGAAAAAGGAAATATCTTCCCCTGAAAACTAGACAGAAGCATTCTCAGAATCTTATTTGTGATGTGCGCCCTCAACTAACAGTGTTGAAGCTTTCTTTTGATAGAGCAGTTTTGAAACACTCTTTTTGTAAAATCTGCAAGAGGATATTTGGATAGCTTTGAGGATTTCGTTGGAAACGGGATTGTCTTCATATAAACTCTAGACAGAAGCATTCTCAGAAGCTTCATTGGGATGTTTCAATTGAAGTCACAGTGTTGAACAGTCCCTTTCATAGAGCAGGTTTGAAACACTCTTTTTGTATTATCTGGAAGTGGACATTTGGAGCGCTCTCAGGACTGCGGTGAAAAAGGAACTATCTTCCAATAAAAGCTAGATAGAAGCAATGTCAGAAACTTTTTCATGATGTATCTACTCAGCTAACAGAGTTGAACCTTCCTTTGAGAGAGCAGTTTTGAAACACTCTTTTTGTGGAATCTGCAAGTGGATATTTGTCTAGCTTTGAGGATTTCGTTGGAAACGGGATTGTCTTCATATAAACTCTAGACAGAAGCATTCTCAGAAGCTTCATTGGGATGTTTGAATTGAAGTGACAGTGTTGAACATTTCCTTTCATAGAACAGGTTTGAAACACTCTTTTTGTAGTATCTGGAAGTGGACATTTGGAGCGCTCTCAGGACTATGGTGAAAAAGGAAATATCTTCCAATAAAAGCTACATAGAAGCAATGTCAGAAACTTTTTCATGATGTATCTACTCAGCTAACAGAGTTGAACCTTTCCTTTGAGAGAGCAGTTTTGAAACACTCTTTTTGTGGAATCTGCAAGTGGATATTTGTCTAGCTTTGAGGATTTCGTTGGAAACGGGATTACATATAAAAAGCAGACAGCAGCATTCCCAGTAACTTCTTTGTGATGTTCGCATTCAAGTCACAGAGTTGTACATTCCCTTTCATAGAGCAGGTTTGAAACACTCTTTTTGTAGTATCTGGATGTGGACATTTGGAGCGCTTTCAGGCCTATGGTGAAAAAGGAAATATCTTCCCCTGAAAACTAGACAGAAGCATTCTCAGAATCTTATTTGTGATGTGCGCCCTCAACTAACAGTGTTGAAGCTTTCTTTTGATAGAGCAGATTTGAAACACTCTTTTTGTAAAATCTGCAAGAGGATATTTGCATAGCTTTGAGGATTTCATTGGAAACGGGATTGTCTTCAAATAAACTCTAGACAGAAGCATTCTCAGAAGCTTCATTGGGATGTTTCAATTGAAGTCACAGTGTTGAACAGTCCCTTTCATAGAGCAGGTTTGAAACACTCTTTTTGTAGTATCTGGAAGTGGACATTTGGAGCGCTCTCAGGACTACGGTGAAAAAGGAAATATCTTCCAATAAAAGCTACATAGAAGCAATGTCAGAAACTTTTTCATGATGTATCTACTCAGCTAACAGAGTTGAACCTTTCTTTTGAGAGAGCAGTTTTGAAACACTCTTTTTGTGGAATCTGCAAGTGGATATTTGTCTAGCTTTGAGGATTTCGTTGGAAACAGGATTACATATAAAAAGCAGACAGCAGCATTCCCAGTAACTTCTTTGTGATGTTTACATTCAAGTCACAGAGTTGAACATTCCCTTTCATAGAGCAGGTTTGAAACACTCTTTTTGTAGTATCTGGATGTGGACATTTGGAGCGATTTCGGGCCTATGGTGAAAAAGGAAATATCTTCCCCTGAAAACTAGACAGAAGCATTCTCAGAAACTTATTTGTGATGTGCGCCCTCAACTAACAGTGTTGAACTTTTCTTTTGATAGAGCAGTTTTGAAACACTCTTTTTGTAATATCTGCAAGAGGACATTTGGATAGCTTTGAGGATTTCGTTGGAAACGGGATTGTCTTCATATAAACTCTAGACAGAAAGCATTCTCAGAAGCTTCATTGGGATGTTTCAATTGAAGTCACAGTGTTGAACAGTCCCTTTCATAGAGCAGGTTTGAAACACTCTTTTTGTAGTATCTGGATGTGGACATTTGGAGCGCTTTCAGGCCTATGGTGAAAAAGGAAATATCTTCCCCTGAAAACTAGACAGAAGCATTCTCAGAAACTTATTTGTGATGTGCGCCTTCAACTAACAGTGTTGAAGCATTCTTTTGATAGAGCAGTTTTGAAACACTCTTTTTGTGGAATCTGCAAGTGGATATTTGTCTAGCTTTGAGGATTTCGTTGGAAACGGGATTACATATAAATAGCAGACAGCAGCATTCTCAGCAAACTTATTTGTGATGTGCGCCCTCAACTAACAGTGTGGAACTTTTCTTTTGATAGAGCAGTTTTGAAACACTCTTTTTGTAAAATCTGCAAGAGGATATTTGGATAGCTTTGAGGATTTCGTTGGAAACGGGATTGTCTTCATATAGAATCTAGACAGAAGCATTCTCAGAAGCTTCATTGGGATGTTTCAATTGAAGTCACAGTGTTGAACAGTCCCTTTCATAGAGCAGGTTTGAAACACTCTTTTTGTAGTATCTGGAAGTGGACATTTGGAGCGCTCTCAGGACTGCGGTGAAAAAGGAAATATCTTCCAATAAAAGCTAGATAGAAGCAATGTCAGAAACTTTTTCATGATGTATCTACTCAGCTAACAGAGTTGAACCTTCCTTTGAGAGAGCAGTTTTGAAACACTCTTTTTGTGGAATCTGCAAGTGGATATTTGTCTAGCTTTGAGGATTGCGTTGGAAACGGGATTACATATAAAAAGCAGACAGCAGCATTCCCAGAAACTTCTTTGTGATGTTTGCATTCAAGTCACACAGTTGAACATTCCCTTTCATAGAGCAGGTTTGAAACACTCTTTTTGTAGTATCTGGATGTGGACATTTGGAGCGCTTTCAGGCCTATGGTGAAAAAGGAAATATCTTCCCCTGAAAACTAGACAGAAGCATTCTCAGAATCTTATTTGTGATGTGCGCCCTCAACTAACAGTGTTGAAGCTTTCTTTTGATAGAGCAGTTTTGAAACACTCTTTTTGTAAAATCTGCAAGAGGATATTTGGATAGCTTTGAGGATTTCGTTGGAAACGGGATTGTCTTCATATAAACTCTAGTCAGAAGCATTCTCAGAAGCTTCATTGGGATGTTTCAATTGAAGTCACAGTGTTGAACAGTCCCTTTCATAGAGCAGGTTTGAAACACTCTTTTTGTAGTATCTGGATGTGGACATTTGGAGCGCTTTCAGGCCTATGGTTTAAAAGGAAATATCTTCCCCTGAAAACTAGACAGAAGCATTCTCAGAAACTTATTTGTGATGTGCGCCCTCAACTAACAGTGTTGAAGCATTCTTTTGATAGAGCAGTTTTGAAACACTCTTTTTGTGGAATCTGCAAGTGGATATTTGTCTAGCTTTGAGGATTTCGTTGGAAACGGGATTACATATAAAAAGCAGACAGCAGCATTCCCAGAAACTTCTTTGTGATGTTTGCATTCACGTCACAGAGTTGAACATTCCCTTTCATAGAGCAGGTTTGAAACACTCTTTTTGTAGTATCTGGATGTGGACATTTGGAGCGCTTTCAGGCCTATGGTGAAAAAGGAAATATCTTCCCCTGAAAACTAGACAGAAGCATTCTCAGAAACTTATTTGTGATGTGCGCCCTCAACTAACAGTGTTGAACCTTTCTTTTGATAGAGCAGTTTTGAAACACTCTTTTTGTAATATCTGCAAGAGGATATTTGGATAGCTTTGAGGATTTCGTTGGAAACGGGATTAATTATAAAAAGCAGACAGCAGCATTCCCAGAATCTTGTTTGTGATGTTTGCATTCAAGTCACAGAGTTGAACATTCCCTTTCAGAGAGCAGGTTTGAAACACTCTTTTTATAGTATCTGGATGTGGACATTTGGAGCGCTTTCAGGCCTATGGTGAAAAAGGAAATATCTTCTCCTGAAAACTAGACAGAAGCATTCTCAGAATCTTATTTGTGATGTGCGCCCTCAACTAACAGTGTTGAAGCTTTCTTTTGATAGAGCAGTTTTGAAACACTCTTTTCGTAAAATCTGCAAGAGGATATTTGGATAGCTTTGAGGATTTCGTTGGAAACGGGATTGTCTTCATATAAACTCTAGACAAAAGCATTCTCAGAAGCTTCATTGGGATGTTTCAATTGAAGTCACAGTGTTGAACAGTCCCTTTCATAGAGCAGGTTTGAAACACTCTTTTTGTAGTATCTGGATGTGGACATTTGGAGCCTTTCAGGCCTATGGTTTAAAAGGAAATATCTTCCCCTGAAAACTAGACAGAAGCATTCTCAGAAGCTTATTTGTGATGTGCGCCCTCAACTAACAGTGTTGAAGCATTCTTTTGATAGAGCAGTTTTGAAACACTCTTTTTGTGGAATCTGCAAGTGGATATTTGTCTAGCTTTGAGGATTTCGTTGTTAACGGGATTACATATAAAAAGCAGACAGCAGCATTCTCAGTAAACTTATTTGTGATGTGCGCCCTCAACTAACAGTGTTGAACCTTTCTTTTGATAGAGCAGTTTTGAAACACTCTTTTTGTAATATCTGCAAGAGGATATTTGGATAGCTTTGAGGATTTCGTTGGAAACGGGATTGTCTTCATATAAACTCTAGACAGAAGCATTCTCAGAAGCTTCATTGGGACGTTTCAGTTGAAGTCACAGTGTTGAACAGTCCCTTTCATAGAGCAGGTTTGAAACACTCTTTTTGTAGTATCTGGAAGTGGACATTTTCAGCGCTCTCAGGACTGCGGTGAAAAAGGAAATATCTTCCAATAAAAGCTAGATAGAACAATGTCAGAAACTTTTTCATGATGTATCTACTCAGCTAACAGAGTTGAACCTTTCTTTTGAGAGAGCAGTTTTGAAACACTCTTTTTGTGGAATCTGCAAGTGGATATTTGTCTAGCTTTGAGGATTTCGTTGGAAACGGGATTACATATAAAAACCAGACAGCAGCATTCCCAGTAACTTCTTTGTGATGTTTGCATTCAAGTCACAGAGTTGAACATTCCCTTTCATAGAGCAGGTTTGAAACACTTTTTTTGTAGTATCTGGATGTGGACATTTGGAGCGCTTTCAGGCCTATGGTGAAAAAGGAAATATCTTCCAATAAAAGCTACATAGAAGCAATGTCAGAAACTTTTTCATGATGTATCTACTCAGCTAACAGAGTTGAACCTTTCTTTTGAGAGAGCAGTTTTGAAACACTCTTTTTGTGGAATCTGGAAGTGGATATTTGTCTAGCTTTGAGGATTTCCTTGGAAACGGGATTACATATAAAAAGCAGACAGCAGCATTCCCAGTAACTTCTTTGTGATGTTTGCATTCAAGTCACAGAGTTGAACATTCCCTTTCATAGAGCAGGTTTGAAACACTCTTTTTGTAGTATCTGGATGTGGACATTTGGAGCGCTTTCAGGCCTATGGTGAAAAAGGAAATATCTTCCCCTGAAAACTAGACAGAAGAATTCTCAGAATCTTATTTGTGATGTGCGCTCTCAACTAACAGTGTTGAAGCTTTCTTTTGATAGAGCAGTTTTGAAACACTCTTTTTGTAAAATCTGCAAGAGGATATTTGGATAGCTTTGAGGATTTCGTTGGAAACGGGATTGTCTTCATATAAACTCTAGACAAAAGCATTCTCAGAAGCTTCATTGGGATGTTTCAATTGAAGTCACAGTGTTGAACAGTCCCTTTCATAGAGCAGGTTTGAAACACTCTTTTTGTAGAATCTGGATGTGGACATTTGGAGCGCTTTCAGGCATAAGGTGAAAAAGGAAATATCTTCCCCTGAAAACTAGACAGAAGCATTCTCAGAAACTTATTTGTGATGTGCGCCCTCAACTAACAGTGTTGAAGCTTTCTTTTGATAGAGCAGTTTTGAAACACTCTTTTTGTGGAATCTGCAAGTGGATATTTTTCTAGCTTTGAGGATTTCGTTGGAAACGGGATTACATATAAAAAGCAGACAGCAGCATTCCCAGAATCTTGTTTGTGATGTTTGCATTCAAGTCACAGAGTTGAACATTCCCTTTCAGAGAGCAGGTTTGAAACACTCTTTTTATAGTATCTGGATATGGACATTTTGAGCGCTTTCAGGCCTATGGTGAAAAAGGAAATATCTTCTCCTGAAAACTAGACAGAAGCATTCTCAGAATCTTATTTGTGATGTGCGCCCTCAACTAACAGTGTTGAAGCTTTCTTTTGATAGAGCAGTTTTGAAACACTCTTTTTGTAAAATCTGCAAGAGGATATTTGGATAGCTTTGAGGATTTCGTTGGAAACGGGATTGTCTTCATATAAACTCTAGACAGAAGCATTCTCAGAAGCTTCATTGGGATGTTTCAATTGAAGTCACAGTGTTGAACAGTCCCTTTCATAGAGCAGGTTTGAAACACTCTTTTTGTAGTATCTGGAAGTGGACATTTGGAACGCTCTCAGGACTGCGGTGAAAAAGGAAATATCTTCCAATAAAAGCTAGATAGAAGCAATGTCAGAAACTTTTTCATGATGTATCTACTCAGCTAACAGAGTTGAACCTTTCTTTTGAGAGAGCAGTTTTGAAACACTCTTTTTGTGGAATCTGCAAGTGGATATTTGTCTAGCATTGAGGATTTCGTTGGAAACGGGATTACATATAAAAAGCAGACAGCAGCATTCCCAGTAACTTCTTTGTGAGGTTTGCATTCAAGTGACAGAGTTGAACATTCCCTTTCATAGAGCAGGTTTGAAACACTCTTTTTGTAGTATCTGGATGTGGACATTTGGAGCGCTTTCAGGCCTATGGTGAAAAAGGAAATATCTTCCAATAAAAGCTACATAGAAGCATTCTCAGAACTTATTTGTGATGTGCGCCCTCAACTAACAGTGTTGAAGCTTTCTTTTGATAGAGCAGTTTTGAAACACTCTTTTTGTAAAATCTGCAAGAGGATATTTGGATAGCTTTGAGGATTTCGTTGGAAACCGGATTGTCTTCATATAAACTCTAGACAGAAGCATTCTCAGAAGCTTCATTGGGATGTTTCAATTGAAGTCACAGTGTTGAACAGTCCCTTTGATAGAGCAGGTTTGAAACACTCTTTTTGTAGTATCTGGATGTGGACATTTGCAGCGCTTTCAGGCATAAGGTGAAAAAGGAAATATCTTCCCCTGAAAACTAGACAGAAGCATTCTCAGAAACTTATTTGTGATGTGCGCCCTCAACTAACAGTGTTGAAGCTTTCTTTTGATAGAGCAGTTTTGAAACACTCTTTTTGTAATATCTGCAAGAGGATATTTGGATAGCTTTGAGGATTTCGTTGGAAACGGGATTGTCTTCATATAAACTCTAGACAGAAGCATTCTCAGAAGCTTCATTGGGATGTTTCAATTGAAGTCACAGTGTTGAACAGTCCCTTTCATAGAGCAGGTTTGAAACACTCTTTTTGTAGTATCTGGAAGTGGACATTTGGAGCGCTCTCAGGACTACGGTGAAAAAGGAAATATCTTCCAATAAAAGCTACATAGAAGCAATGTCAGAAACTTTTTCATGATGTATCTACTCAGCTAACAGAGTTGAACCTTTCCTTTGAGAGAGCAGTTTTGAAACACTCTTTTTGTGGAATCTGCAAGTGGATATTTGTCTAGCTTTGAGGATTTCGTTGGAAACGGGATTACATATAAAAAGCAGACAGCAGCATTCCCAGTAACTTCTTTGTGATGTTTTCATTCAAGTCACAGAGTTGAACATTCCCTTTCATAGAGCAGGTTTGAAACACTCTTTTTGTAGTATCTGGATGTGGACATTTGGAGCGCTTTCAGGCCTATGGTGAAAAAGGAAATATCTTCCCCTGAAAACTAGACAGAAGCATTCTCAGAAACTTATTTGTGATGTGCGCCCTCAACTAACAGTGTTGAACCTTTCTTTTGATAGAGCAGTTTTGAAACACTCTTTTTGTAATATCTGCAAGAGTATATTTGGATAGCTTTGAGGATTTCGTTGGAAATGGGATTGTCTTCATATAAACTCTAGACAGAAGCATTCTCAGAAGCTTCATTGGGATGTTTCAATTGAAGTCACAGTGTTGAACAGTCCCTTTCATAGAGCAGGTTTGAAACACTCTTTTTGTAGTATCTGGAAGTGGACATTTGGAGAGATCTCAGGAATACGGTGATAAAGGAATTATCTTCCAATAAAAGCTAGATAGAAAGCAATGTCTGAAACATTTTCATGATGTATCTACTCAGCTAACAGAGTTGAACCTTTCTTTTGAGAGATCAGTTTTGAAACACTCTTTTTGTGGAATCTGCAAGTGGATATTTGTCTAGCTTTGAGGATTTCGTTGGAAACGGGATTACATATAAAAAGCAGACAGCAGCATTCACAGAAACTTGTTTGTCATGTTTGCATTCAAGTCACAGAGTTGAACATTCCCTTTCATAGAGCAGGTTTGAAACACTCTTTTTGTAGTATCTGGATGTGGACATTTGGAGCGCTTTCAGGCCTATGGTGAAAAAGGAAATATCTTCCCCTGAAAACTAGACAGAAGCATTCTCAGAAACTTATTTGTGATGTGCGCCCTCAACTAACAGTGTGGAACTTTTCTTTTGATAGAGCAGTTTTGAAACACTCTTTTTGTAAAATCTGCAAGAGGATATTTGGATAGCTTTGAGGATTTCGTTGGAAACGGGATTGTCTTCATATAGAATCTAGACAGAAGCATTCTCAGAAGCTTCATTGGGATGTTTCAATTGAAGTCACAGTGTTGAACAGTCCCTTTCATAGAGCAGGTTTGAAACACTCTTTTTGTAGTATCTGGAAGTGGACATTTGGAGCGCTCTCAGGACTACGGTGAAAAAGGAAATATCTTCCAAATAAAGCTAGATAGAAGCAATGTCAGAAACTTTTTCATGATGTATCTACTCAGCTAACAGAGTTGAACCTTTCTTTTGAGAGAGCAGTTTTGAAACACTCTTTTTGTGGAATCTGCAAGTGGATATTTTGTCTAGCTTTGAGGATTTCGTTGGAAACGGGATTACATATAAAAAGCAGACAGCAGCATTCCCAGAAACTTCTTGGTGATGTTTGCATTCAAGTCACAGAGTTGAACATTCCCTTTCATAGAGCATGTTTGAAACACTCTTTTTGTAGTATCTCTATGTGGACATTTGGAGCGCTTTCAGGCCTATGGTGAAAAAGGAAATATCTTCCCCTGAAAACTAGACAGAAGAATTCTCAGAATCTTATTTGTGATGTGCGCCCTCAACTAACAGTGTTGAACCTTTCTTTTGATAGAGCAGTTTTGAAACTCTCTTTTTGTAAAATCTGCAAGAGGATATTTGGATAGCTTTGAGGATTTCGTTGGAAACGGGATTGTCTTCATATAAACTCTAGACAGAAGCATTCTCAGAAGCTTCATTGGGATGTTTCAATTGAAGTCACAGTGTTGAACAGTCCCTTTCATAGAGCAGGTTTGAAACACTCTTTTTGTAGTATCTGGATGTGGACATTTGGAGCGCTTTCAGGCCTATGGTGAAAAAGGAAATATCTTCCCCTGAAAACTAGACAGAAGCATTCTCAGAAACTTATTTGTGATGTGCCCCCTCAACTAACAGTGTTGAAGCTTTCTTTTGATAGAGCAGTTTTGAAACACTCTTTTTGTGGAATCTGCAAGTGGATATTTGTCTAGCTTTGAGGATTTCGTTGGAAACGGGATTACATATAAAAAGCAGACAGCAGCATTCCCAGAATCTTCTTTGTGATGTTTGCATTCAAGTCACAGAGTTGAACATTCCCTTTCATAGAGCAGGTTTGAAACACTCTTTTTGTAGTATCTCGATGTGGACATTTGGAGCGCTTTCAGGCCTATGGTGAAAAAGGAAATATCTTCTCCTGAAAACTAGACAGAAGCATTCTCAGAATCTTATTTGTGATGTGCGCCCTCAACTAACAGTGTTGAAGCTTTCTTTTGATAGAGCAGTTTTGAAACACTCTTTTTGTAAAATCTGCAAGAGGATATTTGCATAGCTTTGAGGATTTCATTGGAAACGGGATTGTCTTCATATAAACTCTAGACAGAAGCATTCTCAGAAGCGTCATTGGGATGTTTCAATTGAAGTCACAGTGTTGAACAGTCCCTTTCATAGAGCAGGTTTGAAACACTCTTTTTGTAGTATCTGGATGTGGACATTTGGAGCGCTTTCAGGCCTATGGTTTAAAAGGAAATATCTTCCCCTGAAAACTAGACAGAAGCATTCTCAGAAACTTATTTGTGATGTGCGCCCTCAACTAACAGTGTTTAACCTTTCTTTTGATAGAGCAGTTTTGAAACACTCTTTTTGTAATATCTGCAAGAGGATATTTGGATAGCTTTGAGGATTTCGTTGGAAACGGGATTACATATAAAAAGCAGACAGCAGCATTCCCAGAATCTTGTTTGTCATGTTTGCATTCAAGTCACAGAGTTGAACATTCCCTTTCAGAGAGCAGGTTTGAAACACTCTTTTTATAGTATCTGGATGTGGACATTTGGAGCGCTTTCAGGCCTATGGTGAAAAAGGAAATATCTTCTCCTGAAAACTAGACAGAAGCATTCTCAGAATCTTATTTGTGATGTGCGCCCTCAACTAACAGTGTTGAAGCTTTCTTTTGATAGAGCAGTTTTGAAACACTCTTTTTGTAAAATCTGCAAGAGGATATTTGGATAGCTTTGAGGATTTCGTTGGAAACGGGATTGTCTTCATATAAACTCTAGACAGAAGCATTCTCAGAAGCTTCATTGGGATGTTTCAATTGAAGTCACAGTGTTGAACAGTCCCTTTCATAGAGCAGGTTTCAAACACTCTTTTTGTAGCATCTGGAAGTGGACATTTGGAGCGTTCTCAGGACTACGGTGAAAAAGGAAATATCTTCCAATAAAAGCTAGATAGAAGCAATGTCAGAAACTTTTTCATGATGTATCTACTCAGCTAACAGAGTTGAAACTTTCTTTTGAGAGAGCAGTTTTGAAACACTCTTTTTGTGGAATCTGCAAGTGGATATTTGTCTAGCTTTGAGGATTTCGTTGGAAACGGGATTACATATAAAAAGCAGACAGCAGCATTCCCAGAATCTTGTTTGTGATGTTTGCATTCAAGTCACAGAGTTGAACATTCCCTTTCAGAGAGCAGGTTTGAAACACTCTTTTTATAGTATCTGGATGTGGACATTTGGAGCGCTTTCAGGCCTATGGTGAAAAAGGAAATATCTTCCCCTGAAAACTAGACAGAAAGCATTCTCAGAAACTTATTTGTGATGTGCGCCCTCAACTAACAGTGTTGAACCTTTCTTTTGATAGAGCAGTTTTGAAACACTCTTTTTGTAATATCTGCAAGAGGATATTTGGATAGCTTTGAGGATTTCGTTGGAAACGGGATTGTCTTCATATAAACTCTAGACAGAAGCATTCTCAGAAGCTTCATTGGGATGTTTCAATTGAAGTCACAGTGTTGAACAGTCCCTTTCATAAAGCAGGTTTCAAACACTCTTTTTGTAGTATCTGGATGTGGACATTTGGAGCGCTTTCAGGCCTATGGTTTAAAAGGAAATATCTTCCCCTGAAAACTAGACAGAAGCATTCTCAGAAACTTATTTGTGATGTGCGCCCTCAACTAACAGTGTTGAAGCTTTCTTTTGATAGAGCAGTTTTGAAACACTCTTTTTGTGGAATCTGCAAGTGGATATTTGTCTAGCTTTGAGGATTTCGTTGGAAACGGGATTACATATAAAAAGCAGACAGCAGCATTCCCAGTAACTTCTTTGTGATGTTTGCATTCAAGTCACAGAGTTGAACATTCCCTTTCATAGAGCAGGTTTGAAACACTCTTTTTGCAGTATCTGGATGTGGACATTTGGAGCGCTTTCAGGCCTATGGTGAAAAAGGAAATATCTTCCCCTGAAAACTAGACAGAAGCATTCTCAGAATCTTATTTGTGATGTGCGCCCTCAACTAACAGTGTTGAAGCTTTCTTTTGATAGAGCAGTTTTGAAACACTCTTTTTGTAAAATCTGCAAGAGGATATTTGGATAGCTTTGAGGATTTCGTTGGAAACGGGATTGTCTTCATATAAACTCTAGACAGAAGCATTCTCAGAAGCGTCATTGGGATGTTTGAATTGAAGTCACAGTGTTGAACAGTCCCTTTCATAGAGCAGGTTTGAAACACTCTTTTTGTAGTATCTGGATGTGGACATTTGGAGAGATCTCAGGAATACGGTGATAAAGGAAATATCTTCCAATAAAAGCTAGATAGAAGCAAAGTCAGAAACTTTTTCATGATGTATCTACTCAGCTAACAGAGTTGAACCTTTCTTTTGAGAGAGCAGTTTTGAAACACTCTTTTTGTGGAATCTGCAAGTGGATATTTGTCTAGCTTTGAGGATTTCATTGGAAACGGGATTACATATAAAAAGCAGACAGCAGCATTCCCAGAAACTTCTTTGTGAAGTTTGCATTCAAGTCACAGAGTTGAACATTCCCTTTCATAGAGCAGGTTTGAAACACTCTTTTTGTAGTATCTGTATGTGGACATTTGGAGCGCTTTCAGGCCTATGGTGAAAAAGGAAATATCTTCCCCTGAAAACTAGACAGAAGCATTCTCAGAAACTTATTTGTGATGTGCGCCCTCAACTAACAGTGTTGAAGCTTTCTTTTGATAGAGCAGTTTTGAAACACTCTTTTTGTAATATCTGCAAGAGGATATTTGGATAGCTTTGAGGATTTCGTTGGAAACGGGATTGTCTTCATATAAACTCTAGACAGAAGCATTCTCAGAAGCTTCATTGGGATGTTTCAATTGAAGTCACAGTGTTGAACATTTCCTTTCATAGAACAGGTTTGAAACACTCTTTTTGTAGTATCTGGAAGTGGACATTTGGAGCGCTCTCAGGACTATGGTGAAAAAGGAAATATCTTCCAATAAAAGCTACATAGAAGCAATGTCAGAAACTTTTTCATGATGTATCTACTCAGCTAACAGAGTTGAACCTTTCTTTTGAGAGAGCAGTTTTGAAACACTCTTTTTGTGGAATCTGCAAGTGGATATTTGTCTAGCTTTGAGGATTTCGTTGGAAACGGGATTACTTATAAAAAGCAGACAGCAGCATTCCCAGTAACTTCTTTGTGATGTTTGCATTCAAGTCACAGAGTTGAACATTCCCTTTCATAGAGCAGGTTTGAAACACTCTTTTTGTAGTATCTGGATGTGGACATTTGGAGCGCTTTCAGGCCTATGGTGAAAAAGGAAATATCTTCCCCTGAAAACTAGACAGAAGCATTCTCAGAAACTTATTTGTGATGTGCGCCCTCAACTAACAGTGTTGAACCTTTCTTTTGATAGAGCAGTTTTGAAACACTCTTTTTGTAAAATCTGCAAGAGGATATTTGGATAGCTTTGAGGATTTCGTTGGAAACGGGATTGTCTTCATATAAACTCTAGACAGAAGCATTCTCAGAAGCTTCATTGGGATGTTTCAATTGAAGTCACAGTGTTGAACAGTCCCTTTCATAGAGCAGGTTTGAAACACTCTTTTTGTAGTATCTGGAAGTGGACATTTGGAGAGTTCTCAGGACTACGGTGAAAAAGGAAATATCTTCCAATAAAAGTTAGATAGAAGCAATCTCAGAAACTTTTTCATGATGTATCTACTCAGCTAACAGAGTTGAACCTTTCTTTTGAGAGAGCCGTTTTGAAACACTCTTTTGTGGAATCTGCAAGTGGATATTTGTCTAGTTTGAGGATTTCGTTGGAAACGGGATTACATATAAAAAGCAGACAGAAGCATTCCCAGTAACTTCTTTGTGAGGTTTGCATTCAAGTGACAGAGTTGAACATTCCCTTTCATAGAGCAGGTTTGAAACACTCTTTTTGTAGTATCTGGATGTGGACATTTGGAGCGCTTTCAGGCCTATGGTGAAAAAGGAAATATCTTCCAATAAAAGCTACATAGAAGCATTCTCAGAAACTTATTTGTGATGTGCGCCCTCAACTAACAGTGTTGAAGCTTTCTTTTGATAGAGCAGTTTTGAAACACTCTTTTTGTAAAATCTGCAAGAGGATATTTGGATAGCTTTGAGGATTTCGTTGGAAACGGGATTGTCTTCATATACAATCTAGACAGAAGCATTCTCAGAAGCTTCATTGGGATGTTTCAATTGAAGTCACAGTGTTGAACAGTCCCTTTCGTAGAGCAGGTTTGAAACACTCTTTTTGTAATATCTGGAAGTGGACATTTGGAGCGTTCTCAGGACTACGGTGAAAAAGGAAATATCTTCCAATAAAAGCTAGATAGAAGCAATGTCAGAAACTTTTTCATGATGTATCAACTCAGCTAAAAGAGTTGAACCTTTCTTTTGAGAGAGCAGTTTTGAAACACTCTTTTTGTGGAATCTGCAAGTGGATATTTGTCTAGCTTTGAGGATTTCGTTGGAAACGGGATTACATATAAAAGGCAGACAGCAGCATTCCCAGTAACTTCTTTGTGATGCTTGCATTCAAGTCACAGAGTTGAACATTCCCTTTCATAGAGCAGGTTTGAAACACTCTTTTTGTAGTATCTGGATGTGGACATTTGGAGCGCTTTCAGGCCTATGGTGAAAAAGGAAATATCTTCCCCTGAAAACTAGACAGAAGCATTCTCAGAAACTTATTTGTGATGTGCGCCCTCAACTAACAGTGTTGAAGCTTTCTTTTGATAGAGCAGTTTTGAAACACTCTTTTTGTAAAATCTGCAAGAGGATATTTGGATAGCTTTGAGGATTTCGTTGGAAACGGGATTGTCTTCATATACAATCTAGACAGAAGCATTCTCAGAAGCTTCATTGGGATGTTTCAATTGAAGTCACAGTGTTGAACAGTCCCTTTCGTAGAGCAGGTTTGAAACACTCTTTTTCTAATATCTGGAAGTGGACATTTGGAGCGTTCTCAGGACTATGGTGAAAAAGGAAATATCTTCCAATAAAAGCTAGATAGAAGCAATGTCAGAAACTTTTTCATGATGTATCTACTCAGCTAACAGAGTTGAACCTTTCTTTTGAGAGAGCCGTTTTGAAACACTCTTTTTGTGGAATCTGCAAGTGGATATTTGTCTAGCTTTGAGGATTTCGTTGGAAACGGGATTACATATAAAAAGCAGACAGCAGCATTCCCAGAAACTTCTCTGTGATGTTTGCATTCAAGTCACAGAGTTGAACATTCCCTTTCATAGAGCAGGTTTGAAACACTCTTTTTGTAGTATCTGGATGTGGACATTTGGAGCGCTTTCAGGCCTATGGTGAAAAAGGATATATCTTCCCCTGAAAACTAGACAGAAGCATTCTCAGAAACTTATTTGTGATGTGCGCCGTCAACTAACAGTGTTGAACCTTTCTTTTGATAGAGCAGTTTTGAAACACTCTTTTTGTGAAATCTGCAATAGGATATTTGGATAGCTTTGAGGATTTCGTTGGAAACGGGATTGTCTTCATATAAAATCTAGACAGAAGCATTCTCAGAAGCTTCATTGGGATGTTTCAATTGAAGTCACAGTGTTGAACAGTCCCTTTCATAGAGCATGTTTGAAACACTCTTTTTGTAGTATCTGGAAGTGGACATTTGGAGCGTTCTCAGGACTACAGTGAAAAAGGAAATATCTTCCAATAAAAGCTAGATAGAAGCATTCTCAGAAACTTATTTGTGATGTGCCCCCTCAACTAACAGTGTTGAAGCTTTCTTTTGATAGAGCAGTTTTGAAACACTCTTTTTGTGGTATCTGCAAGTGGATATTTGTCTAGCTTTGAGGATATCGTTGGAAACGGGATTACATATAAGAAGCAGACAGCAGCATTCCCAGAATCTTCTTTGTGATGTTTGCATTCAAGTCACAGAGTTGAACATTCCCTTTCATAGAGCAGGTTTGAAACACTCTTTTTGTAGTATCTCGATGTGGACATTTGGAGCGCTTTCAGGCCTATGGTGAAAAAGGAAATATCTTCTCCTGAAAACTAGACAGAAGCATTCTCAGAATCTTATTTGTGATGTGCGCCCTCAACTAACAGTGTTGAAGCTTTCTTTTGATAGAGCAGATTTGAAACACTCTTTTTGTAAAATCTGCAAGAGGATATTTGCATAGCTTTGAGGATTTCATTGGAAACGGGATTGTCTTCATATAAACTCTAGACAGAAGCATTCTCAGAAACTTCATTGGGATGTTTCAATTGAAGTCACAGTGTTGAACAGTCCCTTTCATAGAGCAGGTTTGAAACACTCTTTTTGTAGTATCAGGAAGTGGACATTTGGAGCGCTCTCAGGACTACGGTGAAAAAGGAAATATCTTCCAATAAAAGCTACATAGAAGCATTCTCAGAAACTTATTTGTGATGTGCGCCCTCAACTAACAGTGTTGAAGCTTTCTTTTGATAGAGCAGTTTTGAAACACTCTTTTTGTGGAATCTGCAGGTGGATATTTGTCTAGCTTTGAGGATTTCGTTGGAAACGGGATTACATATAAAAAGCAGACAGCAGCATTCTCAGTAAACTTATTTGTGATGTGCGCCCTCAACTAACAGTGTTGAACCTTTCTTTTGATAGAGCAGTTTTGAAACACTCTTTTTGTAATATCTGCAAGAGGATATTTGGATAGCTTTGAGGATTTCGTTGGAAACGGGATTGTCTTCATATAAACTCTAGACAGAAGCATTCTCAGAAGCTTCATTGGGATGTTTCAATTGAAGTCACAGTGTTGAACAGTTCCTTTCATAGAACAGGTTTGAAACACTCTTTTTGTAGTATCTGGAAGTGGACATTTGGAGCGCTCTCAGGACTATGGTGAAAAAGGAAATATCTTCCAATAAAAGCTACATAGAAGCAATGTCAGAAACTTTTTCATGATGTATCTACTCAGCTAACAGAGTTGAACCTTTCTTTTGATAGAGCAGTTTTGAAACACTCTTTTTGTAATATCTGCAAGAGGATATTTGGATAGCTTTGAGGATTTCGTTGGAAACGGGATTACATATAAAAAGCAGACAGCAGCATTCCCAGAATCTTGTTTGCGATGTTTGCATTCAAGTCACAGAGTTGAACATTCCCTTTCAGAGAGCAGGTTTGAAACACTCTTTTTATAGTATCTGGATGTGGACATTTGGAGCGCTTTCAGGCCTATGGTGAAAAAGGAAATATCTTCTCCTGTAAACTAGACAGAAGCATTCCCAGAATCTTATTTGTGATAAGCGCCCTCAACTAACAGTGTTGAAGCTTTCTTTTGATAGAGCAGTTTTGAAACACTCTTTTCGTAAAATCTGCAAGAGGATATTTGGATAGCTTTGAGGATTTCGTTGGAAACGGGATTGTCTTCATATAAACTCTAGACAGAAGCATTCTCAGAAGCTTCATTGGGATGTTTCAATTGAAGTCAGAGTGTTGAACAGTCCCTTTCATAGAGCAGGTTTGAAACACTCTTTTTGTAGTATCTGGAAGTGGACATTTGGAGAGTCCTCAGGAATACGGTGAAAAAGGAAATATCTTCCAATAAAAGCTAGATAGAAGCAATGTCAGAAACTTTTTCATGATGTATCTACTCAGCTAACAGAGTTGAACCTTTCTTTTGAGAGAGCAGTTTTGAAACACTCTTTTTGTGGAATCTGCAAGTGGATATTTGTCTAGCATTGAGGATTTCGTTGGAAACGGGATTACATATAAAAAGCAGACAGCAGCATTCCCAGTAACTTCTTTGTGATGTTTGCATTCAAGTCACAGAGTTGGACATTCCCTTTCATAGAGCAGGTTTGAAACACTCTTTTTGTAGTATCTGGATGTGGACATTTGGAGCGCTTTCAGGCCAATGGGGAAAAAGGAAATATCTTCCCCTGAAAACTAGACAGAAGAATTCTCAGAATCTTATTTGTGATGTGCGCCCTCAACTAACAGTGTTGAAGCTTTCTTTTGATAGAGCAGTTTTGAAACACTCTTTTTGTAAAATCTGCAAGAGGATATTTGGATAGCTTTGAGGATTTCGTTGGAAACGGGATTGTCTTCATACAATCTCTAGACCGAAGCATTCTCAGAAGCGTCATTGGGATGTTTCAATTGAAGTCACAGTGTTGAACAGTCCCTTTCATAGAGCAGGTTTGAAACACTCTTTTTGTAGTATCTGGATGTGGACATTTGGAGCGCTTTCAGGCCTATGGTTTAAAAGGAAATATCTTCCCCTGAAAACTAGACAGAAGCATTCTCAGAAACTTATTTGTGATGTGCGCCCTCAACTAACAGTGTTGAAGCATTCTTTTGATAGAGCAGTTTTGAAACACTCTTTTTGTGGAATCTGCAAGTGGATATTTGTGTAGCTTTGAGGATTTCGTTGGAAACGGGATTACATATAAAAAGCAGACTGCAGCATTCCCAGAAACTTCTTTGTGATGTTTGCATTCAAGTCACAGAGTTGAACATTCCCTTTCATAGAGCAGGTTTGAAACACTCTTTTTGTAGTATCTGGATGTGGACATGTGGAGCGCTTTCAGGCCTATGGTGAAAAAGGAAATATCTTCCCCTGAAAACTAGACAGAAGCATTCTCAGAATCTTATTTGTGATGTGCGCCCTCAACTAACAGTGTTGAAGCTTTCTTTTGATAGAGCAGTTTTGAAACACTCTTTTTGTAAAATCTGCAAGAGGATATTTGGATAGCTTTGAGGATTTCGTTGGAAACGGGATTGTCTTCATATAAACTCTAGACAGAAGCATTCTCAGAAGCTTCATTGGGATGTTTCAATTGAAGTCACAGTGTTGAACAGTCCCTTTCATAGAGCAGGTTTGAACCACTCTTTTTGTAGTATCTGGAAGTGGACATTTGGAGCGCTCTCAGGACTACGGTGAAAAAGGAAATATCTTCCAATAAAAGCTACATAGAAGCAATGTCAGAAACTTTTTCATGATGTATCTACTCAGCTAACAGAGTTGAACCTTTCCTTTGAGAGAGCAGTTTTGAAACACTCTTTTTGTGGAATCTGCAAGTGGAAATTTGTCTAGCTTTGAGGATTTCGTTGGAAACGGGATTACATATAAAAAGCAGACAGCAGCATTCCCAGTAACTTCTTTGTGGTGTTTGCATTCAAGTCACAGAGTTGAACATTCCCTTTCATAGAGCAGGTTTGAAACACTCTTTTTGTAGTATCGGGATGTGGACATTTGCAGCGCTTTCAGGCCTACGGTGAAAAAGGAAATATCTTCCCCTGAAAACTAGACAGAAGCATTCTCAGAATCTTATTTGTGATGTGCGCCCTCAACTAACAGTATTGAAGCTTTCTTTTGATAGAGCAGTTTTGAAACACTCTTTTTGTAAAATCTGCAAGAGGATATTTGGATAGCTTTGAGGATTTCTTTGGAAACGGGATTGTCTTCATATAAACTCTAGACAGAAGCATTCTCAGAAGCTTCATTGGGATGTTTCAATTGAAGTCACAGTGTTGAACAGTCCCTTTCATAGAGCAGGTGTGAAACACTCTTTTTGTAGTATCTGGATGTGGACATTTGGAGCGCTTTCAGGACTATGGTGAGAAAGGAAATATCTTCCCCTGAAAAGTAGACAGAAGCATTCTCAGAAACTTATTTGTGATGTGCGCCCTCAACTAACAGAATTGAATCATCGTTTTGAAAGAGCAGTTTTGAAACACTCCTTTTGTGGAATCTGCAAGTGGATATTTGTCTAGCTTTGAGGATTTCGTTGGAAACGGGATTACATATAAAAAGCAGACAGCAGCATTCTCAGTAAACTTATTTGTGATGTGCGCCCTCAACTAACAGTGTTGAACCTTTCTTTTGATAGAGCAGTTTTGAAACACTCTTTTTGTAATATCTGCAAGAGGATATTTGGATAGCTTTGAGGATTTCGTTGGAAACGGGATTGTCTTCATATAAACTCTAGACAGAAGCATTCTCAGAAGCTTCATTGGGATGTTTCAATTGAAGTCACAGTGTTGAACAGTCCCTTTCATAGAGCAGGTTTGAAACAATCTTTTTGTAGTATCTGGAAGTGGACATTTGGAGCGCTCTCAGGACTACGGTGAAAAAGGAAATATCTTCCAATAAAAGCTAGATAGAAGCAATGTCAGAAACTTTTTCATGATGTATCTACTCAGCTAACAGAGTTGAACCTTTCTTTTGAGAGAGCAGTTTTGAAACACTCGTTTTGTGGAATCTGCAAGTGGATATTTGTCTACCTTTGAGGATTAAGTTGGAAACGGGATTACATATAAAAAGCAGACAGCAGCATTCTCAGAAGCTTCATTGGGATGTTTCAATTGAAGTCACAGTGTTGAACAGTCCCTTTCATAGAGCAGGTTTGAAACACTCTTTTTGTAGTATCTGGAAGTGGACATTTGGAGCGCTCTCAGGACTGCGGTGAAAAAGGAAATGTCTTCCAATAAAAGCTAGATAGAAGCAATGTCAGAAACTTTTTCATGATGTATCTACTCAGCTAACAGAGTTGAACCTTTCTTTTGAGAGAGCAGTTTTGAAACACTCTTTTTGTGGAATCTGAAAGTGGATATTTGTCTAGCTTTGAGGATTTCGTTGGAAACAGGATTACATATAAAAAGCAGACAGCAGCATTCCCAGAAACTTCTTTGTGATGTTTGCATTCAAGTCACAGACTTGAATATTCCCTTTCATAGAGCAGGTTTGAAACACTCTTTTTGTAGTATCTGGATGTGGACATTTGGAGCGCTTTCAGGCCTATGGTGAAAAAGGAAATATCTTCCCCTGAAAACTAGACAGAAGCATTCTCAGAAACTTATTTGTGATGTGCACCCTCAACTAACAGTGTTGAAGCTTTCTTTTGACAGAGCAGTTTGAAACACTCTTTTTGTAAAATCTGCAAGAGGATATTTGGATTGCTTTGAGGATTTCGGTGGAAGTGGGATTGTCTTCATATAAACTCTAGACAGTAGCATTCTCAGAAGCTTCATTGGGATGTTTCAATTGAAGTCACAGTGTTGAACAGTCCCTTTCATAGAGCAGGTTTGAAACACTCTTTTTGTAGTATCTGGATGTGGACATTTGGAGTGCTTTCAGGCCTATGGTTTAAAAGGAAATATCTTCCCCTGAAAACTGGACAGAAGCATTCTCAGAAACTTATTTGTGATGTGCGCCCTCAACTAACAGTGTTGAAGCATTCTTTTGATAGAGCAGTTTTGAAACACTCTTTTTGTGGAATCTGCAAGTAGATATTTGTCTAGATTTGAGGATTTCGTTGGAAACGGGATTACATATAAAAAGCAGACAGCAGCATTCCCAGAAACTTCTTTGTGATGTTTGCATTCAAGTCACAGAGTTGAACATTCCCTTTCATAGAGCAGGTTTGAAACACTCTTTTTGTAGTATCTGTATGTGGACATTTGGAGCGCTTTCAGGCCTATGGTAAAAAAGGAAATATCTTCCCCTGAAAACTAGACAGAAGCATTCTCAGAATCTTATTTGTGATGTGCGCCCTCAACTAACAGTGTTGAAGCTTTCTTTTGATAGAGCAGTTTTGAAACACTCTTTTTGTAAAATCTGCAAGAGGATATTTGGATAGCTTTGAGGATTTCGTTGGAAACGGGATTGTCTTCATATAAACTCTAGACAGAAGCATTCTCAGAAGCTTCATTGGGATGTTTCAATTGAAGTCACAGTGTTGAACAGTCCCTTTCATATAGCAGGTTTGAAACACTCTTTTTGTAGTATCTGGAAGTGGACATTTTGAGCGCTCTCAGGACTACGGTGAAAAAGGAAATATCTTTCAATAAAAGCTAGATAGAAGCAATGTCAGAAACTTTTTCATGATGTATCTACTCAGCTAACAGAGTTGAACCTTTCTTTTGAGAGAACAGTTTTGAAACACTCTTTTTGTGGAATCTGCAAGTGGATATTTGTCTAGCTTTGAGGATTTCGTTGGAAACGGGATTACATAGAAAAAGCAGACAGCAGCATTCCCAGAAACTTCTTTGTGAAGTTTGCATTCAAGTCACAGAGTTGAACATTCCCTTTCATAGAGCAGGTTTGAAACACTCTTTTTGTAGTATCTGTATGTGGACATTTGCAGCGCTTTCAGGCCTATGGTGAAAAAGGAAATATCTTCCCCTGAAAACTAGACAGAAGCATTCGCAGAATCTTATTTGTGATGTGCGCCCTCAACTAACAGTGTTGAAGCTTTCTTTTGATAGAGCAGTTTTGAAACACTCTTTTTGTAAAATCTGCAAGAGGATATTTGGATAGCTTTGAGGATTTCGGTTGGAAACGGGATTGTCTTCATATAAACTCTAGACAGAAGCATTCTCAGAAGCTTCATTGGGATGTTTCAATTGAAGTCACAGTGTTGAACAGTCCCTTTCATAGAGCAGGTTTGAAACACTCTTTTTGTAGTATCTGGATGTGGACATTTGGAGCGCTTTCAGGCCTATGGTGAAAAAGGAAATATCTTCCCCTGAAAACTAGACAGAAGCATTCTCAGAAACTTATTTGTGATGTGCGCCCTCAACTAACAGTGTTGAAGCTTTCTTTTGATAGAGCAGTTTTGAAACACTCTTTTTGTGGAATCTGCAAGTGGATATTTGTCTAGCTTTGAGGATTTCGTTGGAAACGGGATTACATATAAAAAGCAGACAGCAGCATTCCCAGAATCTTGTTTGTGATGTTTGCATTCAAGTCACAGAGTTGAACATTCCCTTTCAGAGAGCAGGTTTGAAACACTCTTTTTGTAGTATCTGGATGTGGACATTTGGAGCGCTTTCAGGCCTATGGTGAAAAAGGAAATATCTTCTCCTGAAAACTAGACAGAAGCATTCTCAGAAACTTATTTGTGATGTGCGCCCTCAACTAACAGTGTTGAACCTTTCTTTTGATAGAGCAGTTTTGAAACACTCTTTTTGTAATATCTGCAAGAGGATATTTGGATAGCTTTGAGGATTTCGTTGGAAACGGGATTGTCTTCATATAAACTCTAGACAGAAGCATTCTCAGAAGCTTCATTAGGATGTTTCAATTAAAGTCACAGTGTTGAACAGTCCCTTTCATAGAGCAGGTTTGAAACACTCTTTTTGTAGTATCTGGAAGTGGACATTTGGAGCGCTCTCAGGACTGCGGTGAAAAAGGAAATATCTTCCAATAAAAGCTAGATAGAAAGCAATGTCAGAAACTTTTTCATGATGTATCTACTCAGCTAACAGAGTTGAAACTTTCTTTTGAGAGAGCAGTTTTGAAACACTCTTTTTGTGGAATCTGGAAGTGGATATTTGTCTAGCTTTGAGGATTTCGTTGGAAACGGGATTACATATAAAAAGCAGACAGCAGCATTCCCAGTAACTTCTTTGTGATGTTTGCATTCAAGTCACAGAGTTGAACATTCCCTTTCATAGAGCAGGTTTGAAACACTCTTTTTGTAGTATCTGGATGTGGACATTTGGAGCGCTTTCAGGCCTATGGTGAAAAAGGAAATATCTTCCCCTGAAAACTAGACAGAAGCATTCTCAGAAACTTATTTGTGATGTGCGCCCTCAACTAACAGTGTTGAAGCTTTCTTTTGATAGAGCAGTTTTGAAACACACTTTTTGTAATATCTGCAAGAGGATATTTGGATAGCTTTGAGGATTTCGTTGGAAACGGGATTGTCTTCATATAAACTCTAGACAGAAGCATTCTCAGAAGCTTCATTGGGATGTTTCAATTGAAGTCACAGTGTTGAACAGTCCCTTTCATAGAGCAGGTTTGAAACACTCTTTTTGTAGTATTTGGAAGTGGACATTTGGAGAGATCTCAGGAATACGGTGATAAAGGAAATATCTTCCAATAAAAGCTAGATAGAAGAAATGTCAGAAACTTTTTCATGATGTATCTACTCAGCTAACAGAGTTGAACCTTTCTTTTGAGAGAGCAGTTTTGAAACTCTCTTTTTGTGGAATCTGCAAGTGGATATTTGTCTAGCTTTGAGGATTTCGTTGGAAACGGGATTACAAATAAAAAGCAGACAGCAGCATTCCCAGTAACTTCTTTGTGATGTTTGCATTCAAGTCACAGAGTTGAACATTCCCTTTCATAGAGCAGGTTTGAAACACTTTTTTTGTAGTATCTGGATGTGGACATTTGGAGCGGTTTCAGGCCTATGGTGAAAAAGGAAATATCTTCCAATAAAAGCTACATAAAAGCATTCTCAGAATCTTATTTGTGATGTGCGCCCTCAACTAACAGTGTTGAAGCTTTCTTTTGATAGAGCAGTTTTGAAACACTCTTTTTGTAAAATCTGCAAGAGGATATTTGGATAGCTTTGAGGATTTCGTTGGAAACGGGATTGTCTTCATATAAACTCTAGACAGAAGCATTCTCAGAAGCTTCATTGGGATGTTTCAATTGAAGTCACAGTGTTGAACAGTCCCTTTCATAGAGCAGGTTTGAAACACTCTTTTTGTAGTATCTGGAAGTGGACATTTGGAGCGCTCTCAGGACTGCGGTGAAAAAGGAAATATCTTCCAATAAAAGCTAGATAGAAGCAATGTCAGAAACTTTTTCATGATGTATCTACTCAGCTAACAGAGTTGAACCTTTCTTTTGAGAGAGCAGTTTTGAAACACTCTTTTTGTGGAATCTGCAAGTGGATATTTGTCTAGCATTGAGGATTTCGTTGGAAACGGGATTACATATAAAAAGCAGACAGCAGCATTCCCAGTAACTTCTTTGTGATGTTTGCATTCAAGTCACAGAGTTGAACATTCCCTTTCATAGAGCAGGTTTGAAACACTTTTTTTGTAGTATCTGGATGTGGACATTTGGAGCGCTTTCAGGCCTATGGTGAAAAAGGAAATATCTTCCAATAAAAGCTACATAGAAGCAATGTCAGAAACTTTTTCATGATGTATCTACTCAGCTAACAGAGTTGAACCTTTCTTTTGAGAGAGCAGTTTTGAAACACTCTTTTTGTGTAATCTGAAAGTGGATATTTGTCTAGCTTTGAGGATTTCGTTGGAAACGGGATTACATATAAAAAGCAGACAGCAGCATTCCCAGTAACTTCTTTGTGATGTTTGCATTCAAGTCACAGAGTTGAACATTCCCTTTCATAGAGCAGGTTTGAAACACTCTTTTTGTAGTATCTGGATGTGGACATTTGGAGCGCTTTCAGGCCTATGGTGAAAAAGGAAATATCTTCCCCAGAAAACTAGACAGAAGCATTCTTACAAACTTATTTGTGATGTGCGCCCTCAACTAACAGTGTTGAACTTTTCTTTTGATAGAGTAGTTTTGAAACACTCTTTTTGTAAAATCTGCAAGAGGATATTTGGATAGCTTTGAGGATTTCGTTGGAAACGGGATTGTCTTCATATAAAATCTAGACAGAAGCATTCTCAGAAGCGTCATTGGGATGTTTCAATTGAAGTCACACTGTTGAACAGTCCCTTTCATAGAGCAGGTTTGAAACACTCTTTTTGTAGTATCTGGATGTGGACATTTGGAGCGCTTTCAGGCCTATGGTGAAAAAGGAAATATCTTCCCCTGAAAACTAGACAGAAGCATTCTCAGAAACTTATTTGTGATGTGCGCCCTCAACTCACAGTGTTGAAGCATTCTTTTGATAGAGCAGTTTTGAAACACTCTTTTTGTGGAATCTGCAAGTGGATATTTGTCTAGCTTTGAGGATTTCGTTGGAAACGGGATTACATATGAAAAGCAGACAGCAGCATTCTCAGAAACTTATTTGTGATGTGCGCCCTCAACTAACAGTGTTGAAGCTTTATTTTGATAGAGCAGTTTTGAAACACTCTTTTTGTAATATCTGCAAGAGAATATTTGGATAGCTTTGAGGATTTCGTTGGAAACGGGATTGTCTTCATATAAACTCTAGAAAGAAGCATTCTCAGAAGCTTCATTGGGATGTTACAATTGAAGTCACAGTGTTGAACAGTTCCTTTCATAGAACAGGTTTGAAACACTCTTTTTGTAGTATCTGGAAGTGGACATTTGGAGCGCTCTCAGGACTACGGTGAAAAAGGAAATATCTTCCAATAAAAGCTACATAGAAGCAATGTCAGAAACTTTTTCATGATGTATCTACTCAGCTAACAGAGTTGAACCTTTCTTTTGAGAGAGCAGTTTTGAAACACTCTTTTTGTGGAATCTGCAAGTGGATATTTGTCTAGCTTTGAGGATTTCGTTGGAAACAGGATTACATATAAAAAGCAGACAGCAGCATTCCCATAAACTTCTTTGTGATGTTTGCATTCAAGTCACAGAGTTGAACATTCCCTTTCATAGAGCAGGTTTGAAACACTCTTTTTGTAGTATCTGGATGTGGACATTTGGAGCGCTTTCAGGCCTATGGTGAAAAAGGAAATATCTTCCCCTGAAAACTAGACAGAAGCATTCTCAGAATTTTATTTGTGATGTGCGCCCTCAACTAACAGTGTTGAAGCTTTCTTTTGATAGAGCAGTTCTGAAACACTCTTTTTGTAAAATCTGCTAGAGGATATTTGGATAGCTTTGAGGATTTCTTTGGAAACGGGATTGTCTTCATATAAACTCTAGACAGAAGCATTCTCAGAAGCTTCATTGGGATGTTTCAATTGAAGTCACAGTGTTGAACAGTCCCTTTCATAGAGCAGGTTTGAAACACTCTTTTTGTAGTATCTGGATGTGGACATTTGGAGCGCTTTCAGGCCTATGGTGAAAAAGGAAATATCTTCCCCTGAAAACTAGACAGAAGCATTCTCAGAAACTTATTTGTGATGTGCGCCCTCAACTAACAGTGTTGAACCTTTCTTTTGAGAGAGCAGTTTTGAAACACTCTTTTTGTGGAATCTGCAAGTGGATATTTGTCTAGCTTTGAGGATTTCGTTGGAAACGGGATTACATATAAAAAGCAGACAGCAGCATTCTCAGAAACTTATTTGTGATGTGCGCCCTCAACTAACAGTGTTGAAGCTTTCTTTTGATAGAGCAGTTTTGAAACACTCTTTTTGTAATATCTGCAAGAGGATATTTGGATAGCTTTGAGGATTTCGTTGGAAACGGGATTAATTATACAAAGCAGACAGCAGCATTCTCAGAAGCTTCATTGGGATGTTTCAATTGAAGTCACAGTGTTGAACAGTCCCTTTCATAGAGCAGGTTTGAAACACACTTTTTGTAGTATCTGGACGTGGACATTTGGAGCGCTCTCAGGACTACGGTGAAAAAGGAAATATCTTCCAATAAAAGCTAGATAGAAGCAATGTCAGAAACATTTTCATGATGTATCTACTCAGCTAACAGAGTTGAACCTTTCTTTCGAGAGAGCAGTTTTGAAACACTCTTTTTGTGGAATCTGCAAGTGGATATTTGTCTAGCTTTGAGGATTTCGTTGGAAACGGGATTACATATAAAAAGCAGACAGCAGCATTCCCAGAAACTTCTTTGTGATGTTTGCATTCAAGTCACAGAGTTGAACATTCCCTTTCATAGAGCAGGTTTGAAACACTCTTTTTGTAGTATCTGGATGTGGACATTTGGAGCGCTTTCAGGTCTATGGTGAAAAAGGAAATATCTTCTCCTGAAAACTAGACAGAAGAATTCTCAGAATCTTATTTGTGATGTGCGCCCTCAACTAACAGTGTTGAAGCTTTCTTTTGATAGAGCAGTTTTGAAACACTCTTTTTGTAAAATCTGCAAGAGGATATTTGGATAGCTTTGAGGATTTCGTTGGAAACGGGATTGTCTTCATATAAACTCTACGCAGAAGCATTCTCAGAAGCGTCATTGGGATGTTTCAATTGAAGTCACAGTGTTGAACATTCCCTTTCATAGAGCAGGTTTGAAACACTCTTTTTGTAGTATCTGGATGTGGACATTTGGAGCGCTTTCAGGCCTATGGTTTAAAAGGAAGTATCTTCCCCTGAAAACTAGACAGAAGCATTCTCAGAAACTTATTTGTGATGTGCGCCCTCAACTAACAGTGTTGAAGCATTCTTTTGATAGAGCAGTTTTGAAACACTCTTTTTGTGGAATCTGCAAGTGGATATTTGTCTAGCTTTGAGGATTTCGTTGGAAACGGGATTACATATAAAAAGCAGACAGCAGCATTCCCAGTAACTTCTTTGTGATGTTTGCATTCAAGTCACAGAGTTGAACATTCCTTTTCATACAGCAGGTTTGAAACACTCTTTTTGTAGTATCTGGATGTGGACATTTGGAGCGCTTTCAGACCTATGGTGAAAAAGGAAATATCTTCCCCTGAAAACTAGACAGAAGAATTCTCAGAATCTTATTTGTGATGTGCGCCCTCAACTAACAGTCTTGAAGCTTTCTTTTGATAGAGCAGTTTTGAAACACTCTTTTTGTAAAATCTGCAAGAGGATATTTGGATAGCTTTGAGGATTTCGTTGGAAACGGGATTGTCTTCATATAAACTCTAGACGGAAGCATTCTCAGAAGCTTCATTGGGATGTTTCAATTGAAGTCACAGTGTTGAACAGTCCCTTTCATAGAGCAGGTTTGAAACACTCTTTTTGTAGTATCTGGAAGTGGACATTTGGAGAGATCTCAGGAATACGGTGATAAAGGAAATATCTTCCAATAAACGCTACATAGAAGCAATGTCACAAACTTTTTCATGATGTATCTACTCAGCTAACAGAGTTGAACCTTTCTTTTGAGAGAGCAGTTTTGAAACACTCTTTTTGTGGAATCTGCAAGTGGATATTTGTCTAGCTTTGAGGATTTCGTTGGAAACGGGATTACATATAAAAAGCAGACAGCAGCATTCCCAGTAACTTCTTTGTGAGGTTTGCATTCAAGTCACAGAGTTGAACATTCCCTTTCATAGAGCAGGTTTGAAACACTCTTTTTGTAGTATCTGGATGTGGACATTTGGAGCGCTTTCAGGCCTATGGTGAAAAAGGAAATATCTTCCAATAAAAGCTAGATAGAAGCATTCTCAGAATCTTATTTGTGATGTGCGCCCTCAACTAACAGTGTTGAAGCTTTCTTTTGATAGAGCAGTTTTGAGACACACTTTTCGTAAAATCTGCAAGAGGATATTTTGATAGCTTTGAGGATTTCGTTGGAAACGTGATTGTCTTCATATAAACTCTAAACAGAAGCATTCTCAGAAGCTTCATTGGGATGTTTCAATTGAAGTCACAGTGTTGAACAGTCCCTTTCATAGAGCAGGTTTGAAACACTCTTTTTGTAGCATCTGGATGTGGACATTTGGAGCGCTCTCAGGGCTACGGTGAAAAAGGAAATATCTTCCAATAAAAGCTAGATAGAAGCAATGTCAGAAAATTTTTCATGATGTGTCTACTCAGCTAACAGAGTTGAACCTTTCTTTTGAGAGAGCAGTTTTGAAACACTCTTTTTGTGGAATCTGCAAGTGGATATTTGTCTAGCTTTGAGGATTGCGTTGGAAACGGGATTACATATAAAAAGCAGACAGCAGCATTCCCAGAATCTTCTTTGTGATGTTTGCATTCAAGTCACAGAGTTGAACATTCCCTTTCATAGAGCAGGTTTGAAACACTCTTTTTGTAGTATCTGGATGTGGACATTTGCAGCGCTTTCAGGCCTAAGGTGAAAAAGGAAATATCTTCCCCTGAAAACTAGACAGAAGCATTCTCAGAATCTTATTTGTGATGTGCGCCCTCAACTAACAGTGTTGAAGCTTTCTTTTGATAGAGCAGTTTTGAAACACTCTTTTTGTAAAATCTGCAAGAGGATATTTGGATAGCTTTGAGGATTTCGTTGGAAACGGGATTGTCTTCATATAAACTCTAGACAGAAGCATTCTCAGAAGCTTCATTGGGATGTTTCAATTGAAGTCACAGTGTTGAACAGTCCCTTTCATAGAGCAGGTTTGAAACACTCTTTTTGTAGTATCTGGAAGTTGACATTTGGAGCGCTCTCAGGACTACAGTGAAAAAGGAAATATCTTCCAATAAAAGCTAGATAGAAGCAATGTCAGAAACTTTTTCATGATGTATCTATTCAGCTAACAGAGTTGAACCGTCCTTTGAGAGAGCAGTTTTGAAACACTCTTTTTGTGGAATCTGCAAGTGGATATTTGTCTAGCTTTGAGGATTTCGTTGGAAATGGGATTACATATAAAAAGCAGACAGCAGCATTCCCAGAAACTTCTTTGTGATGTTTGCATTCAAGTCACAGAGTTGAACATTCCCTTTCATAGAGCAGGTTTGAAACACTCTTTTTGTAGTATCTGTATGCGGACATTTGGAGCGCTTTCAGGCCTATGGTGAAAAAGGAAATATCTTCCCCTGAAAACTAGACAGAAGCATTCTCAGAAACTTATTTGTGATGTGCGCCCTCAACTAACAGTGTTGAACCTTTCTTTTGATAGAGCAGTTTTGAAACACTCTTTTTGTAAAATCTGCAAGAGGATATTTGGATAGCTTTGAGGATTTCGTTGGAAACGGGATTGTCTTCATATAAACTCTAGACAGAAGCATTCTCAGAAGCTTCATTGGGAGGTTTCAATTGAAGTCACAGTGTTGAACAGTCCCTTTCATAGAGCAGGTTTGAAACACTCTTTTTGTAGTATCTGGAAGTGGACATTTGGAGCGCTCTCAGGACTACGGTGATAAAGGAAATATCTTCCAATAAAAGCTAGATAGAAGCAATGTCAGAAAATTTTTCATGATGTATCTACTCAGCTAACAGAGTTGAACCTTTCTTTTGAGAGAGCAGTTTTGAAACACTCTTTTTGTGTAATCTGCAAGTGGATATTTGTCTAGCTTTGAGGATTGCGTTGGAAACGGGATTACATATAAAAAGCAGACAGTAGCATTCCCAGAAACTTCTTTGTGATGTTTGCATTCAAGTCACATAGTTGAACATTCCCTTTCATAGAGCAGGTTTGAAACACTCTTTTTGTAGTATCTGGATGTGGACATTTGGAGCGCTTTCAGGCCTATGGTGAAAAAGGAAATATCTTCCCCTGAAAACTAGACAGAAGCATTCTCAGAAACTTATTTGTGATGTGCGCCCTCAACTAACAGTGTTGAAGCTTTCTTTTGATAGAGCAGTTTTGAAACACTCTTTTTGTAATATCTGCAAGAGGATATTTGGATAGCTTTGAGGATTTCGTTGGAAACGGGATTGTCTTCATATAAACTCTAGGCAGAAGCATTCTCAGAAGCTTCATTGGGATGTTTCAATTGAAGTCACAGTGTTGAACAGTCCCTTTCATAGAGCAGGTTTGAAACACTCTTTTTGTAGTATCTGGAAGTGGACATTTGGAGCGCTCTCAGGACTATGGTGAAAAAGGAAATATCTTCCAATAAAAGCTACATAGAAGCAATGTCAGAAACTTTTTCATGATGTATCTACTCAGCTAACAGAGTTGAACCTTTCCTTTGAGAGAGCAGTTTTGAAACACTCTTTTTGTGGAATCTGCAAGTGGATATTTGTCTAGCTTTGAGGATTTCGTTGGAAACGGGATTACATATAAAAAGCAGACAGCAGCACTCCCAGTAACTTCTTTGTGATGTTTGCATTCAAGTCACAGAGTTGAATATTCCCTTTCATAGAGCAGGTTTGAAACACTCTTTTTGTAGTATCTGGATGTGGACATTTGGAGCGCTTTCAGGCCTATGGTGAAAAAGGAAATATCTTCCCCTGAAAACTAGACAGAAGCATTCTCAGAAACTTATTTGTGATGTGCGCCCTCAACTAACAGTGTTGAACCTTTCTTTTGATAGAGCAGTTTTGAAACACTCTTTTTGTAATATCTGCAAGAGGATATTTGGATAGCTTTGAGGATTTCGTTGGAAACGGGATTACATATAAAAAGCAGACAGCAGCATTCCCAGAATCTTGTTTGTGATGTTTGCATTCATGTCACAGAGTTGAACATTCCCTTTCAGAGAGCAGGTTTGAAACACTCTTTTTATAGTATCTGGATGTGGACATTTGGAGCGCTTTCAGGCCTATGGTGAAAAAGGAAATATCTTCTCCTGAAAACTAGACAGAAGCATTCTCAGAATCTTATTTGTGATGTGCGCCCTCAACTAACAGTGTTGAAGCTTTCTTTTGATAGAGCAGTTTTGAAACACTCTTTTCGTAAAATCTGCAAGAGGATATTTGGATAGCTTTGAGGATTTCGTTGGAAACGGGATTGTCTTCATATAAACTCTAGACAGAAGCATTCTCAGAAGCTTCATTGGGATGTTTCAATTGAAGTCACAGTGTTGAACAGTCCCTTTCATAGAGCAGGTTTGAAACACTGTTTTTGTAGTATCTGGAAGTGGACATTTGGAACGCTCTCAGGACTGCGTTGAAAAAGGAAATATCTTCCAATAAAAGGTAGATAGAAGCATTCTCAGAAACTTATTTGTGATGTGCGCCCTCAACTAACAGTGTTGAAGCTTTCTTTTGATAGAGCAGTTTTGAAACACTCTTTTTGTGGAATCTGCAAGTGGATATTTGTCTAGCTTTGAGGATTTCGTTGGAAACGGGATTACATATAAAAAGCAGACAGCAGCATTCCCAGAAACTTCTTTGTGATGTTTGCATTCAAGTCACAGAGTTGAACATTCCCTTTCATAGAGCAGGTTTGAAACACCCTTTTTGTACTATCTGGATGTGGACATTTGGAGCGCTTTCAGGCCTATGGTGAAAAAGGAAATATCTTCCCCTGGAAACTAGACAGAAGCATTCTCAGAATCTTATTTGTGATGTGCGCCCTCAACTAACAGTGTTGAAGCTTTCTTTTGATAGAGCAGTTTTGAAACACTCTTTTTGTAAAATCTGCAAGAGGATATTTGGATAGCTTTGAGGATTTCGTTGGAAACGGGATTGTCTTCATATAAACTCTAGACAGAAGCATTCTCAGAAGCTTCATTGGGATGTTTCAATTGAAGTCACAGTGTTGAACAGTCCCTTTCATAGAGCAGGTTGGAAACACTCTTTTTGTAGTATCTGGAAGTGGACATTTGGAGCACTCTCAGGACTACGGTGAAAAAGGAAATATCTTCCAATAAAAGCTAGATAGAAGCAATATCAGAAACTTTTTCATGATGTATCTACTCAGCTAACAGAGTTGAAACTTTCTTTTGAGAGAGCAGTTTTGAAACACTCTTTTTGTGGAATCTGCAAGTGGATATTTTTCTAGCTTTGAGGATTTCGTTGGAAACGGGATTACATATAAAAAGCAGACAGCAGCATTCCCAGAAACTTCTTGGTGATATTTGCATTCAAGTCACAGACTTGAACATTCCCTTTCATAGAGCAGGTTTGAAACACTCTTTTTGTAGTATCTGGATGTGGACATTTGGAGCGCTTTCAGGCCTATGGTGAAAAAGGAAATATCTTCCCCTGAAAGCTAGACAGAAGCATTCTCAGAATCTTATTTGTGATGTGCGCCCTCAACTAACAGTGTTGAAGCTTTCTTTTGATAGAGCAGTTTTGAAACACTCTTTTTGTAAAATCTGCAAGAGGATATTTGGATAGCTTTGAGGATTTGGTTGGAAACGGGATTGTCTTCATATTAACCCTAGGCAGTAGCATTCTCAGAAGCTTCATTGGGATGTTTCAATTGAAGTCACAGTGTTGAACAGTCCCTTTCATAGAGCAGGTTTGAAACACTCTTTTTGTAGTATCTGGATGTGGACATTTGGAGCGCTTTCAGGCCTATGGTGAAAAAGGAAATATCTTCCCCTGAAAACTAGACAGAAGCATTCTCAGAAACTTATTTGTGATGTGCGCCCTCAACTAACAGTGTTGAAGCTTTCTTTTGATAGAGCAGTTTTGAAACACTCTTTTTGTGGAATCTGCAAGTGGATATTTGTCTAGCTTTGAGGATTTCGTTGGAAACGGGATTACATATAAAAAGCAGACAGCAGCATTCCCAGTAACTTCTTTGTGATGTTTGCATTCAAGTCACAGAGTTGAGCATTCCCTTTCATAGAGCAGGTTTGAAACACTCTTTTTGTAGTATCTGGATGTGGACATTTGGAGCGCTTTCAGGCCTATGGTGAAAAAGGAAATATGTTCCCCTGAAAACTAGACAGAAGCATTCCCAGAAATTTCTTAGTGATGTTTGCATTCAAGTCACAGAGTTGAACATTCCCTTTCATAGAGCAGTTTTGAAACACTCTTTTTGTAAAATCTGCAAGAGGATATTTGGATAGCTTTGAGGATTTCGTTGGAAACGGGATTGTCTTCATATAAACTCTAGACAGAAGCATTCTCAGAAGCTTCATTGGGATGTTTCAATTGAAGTCACAGTGTTGAACAGTCCCTTTCATAGAGCAGGTTTGAAACACTCTTTTTGTAGTATCTGGAAGTGGACATTTGGAGCGCTCTCAGGACTACGGTGAAAAAGGAAATATCTTCCAATAAAAGCTAGATAGAAGCAATGTCAGAAACTTTTTCATGATGTATCTACTCAGCTAACAGAGTTGAACCTTTCCTTTGAGAGAGCAGTTTTGAAACACTCTTTTTGTGGAATCTGCAAGTGGATATTTGTCTAGCTTTGAGGATTTCGTTGGAAACGGGATTACATATAAAAAGCAGACAGCAGCATTCCCAGTAACTTCTTTGTGATGTTTGCATTCAAGTCACAGAGTTGAACATTCCCTTTCATAGAGCAGGTTTGAAACACTCTTTTTGTAGTATATGGATGTGGACATTTGGAGCACTTTCAGGCCTATGGTGAAAAAGGAAATATCTTCCCCTGAAAACTAGACAGAAGCATTCTCAGAATCTTATTTGTGATGTGCGCCCTCAACTAACAGTGTTGAAGCTTTCTTTTGATAGAGCAGTTTTGAAACACTCTTTTTGTAAAATCTGCAAGAGGATATTTGGATAGCTTTGAGGATTTCGTTGGAAACGGGATTGTCTTCATATAAACTCTAGACAGAAGCATTCTCAGAAGCTTCATTGGGATGTTTCAATTGAAGTCACAGTGTTGAACAGTCCCTTTCATAGAGCAGGTTTGAAACACTCTTTTTGTAGTATCTGGAAGTGGACATTTGGAGCGCTCTCAGGACTGCGGTGAAAAAGGAAATATCTTCCAATAAAAGCTAGATAGAAGCAATGTCAGAAACTTTTTCATGATGTATCTACTCAGCTAACAGAGTTGAACCTTCCTTTGAGAGAGCAGTTTTGAAACACTCTTTTTGTGGAATCTGCAAGTGGATATTTGTCTAGCTTTGAGGATTTCGTTGGAAACAGGATTACATATAAAAAGCAGACAGCAGCATTCCCAGAAACTTCTTTGTGATATTTGCATTCAAGTCACAGACTTGAACATTCCCTTTCATAGAGCAGGTTTGAAACACTCTTTTTGTAGTATCTGGATGTGGACATTTGGAGCGCTTTCAGGCCTATGGTGAAAAAGGAAATATCTTCCCCTGAAAACTAGACAGAAGCATTCTCAGAAACTTATTTGTGATGTGCGCCCTCAACTAACAGTGTTGAAGCTTTCTTTTGATAGAGCAGTTTTGAAACACTCTTTTTGTAAAATCTGCAAGAGGATATTTGGATAGCTTTGAGGATTTCGTTGGAAACGGGATTGTCTTCATATACAATCTAGACAGAAGCATTCTCAGAAGCTTCATTGGGATGTTTCAATTGAAGTCACAGTGTTGAACAGTCCCTTTCATAGAGCAGGTTTGAAACACTCTTTTTGTAGTATCTGGAAGTGGACATTTGGAGCGCTCTCAGGACTACGGTGAAAAAGGAAATATCTTCCAATAAAAGCTAGATAGAAGCAATGTCAGAAACTTTTTCATGATGTATCTACTCAGCTAACAGAGTTGAACCTTTCTTTTGAGAGAGCAGTTTTTGAACACTCTTTTTGTGGAATCTGCAAGTGGATATTTGTCTAGCTTTGAGGATTTCGTTGGAAACGGGATTACATATAAAAAGAAGACAGCAGCATTCCCAGAATCTTCTTTGTGATGTTTGCATTCAAGTCACAGAGTTGAACATTCCCTTTCATAGAGCAGGTTAGAAACACTCTTTTTGTAGTATCTGGATGTGGACATTTGGAGCGCTTTCAGGCCTATGGTGAAAAAGGAAATATCTTCTCCTGAAAACTAGACAGAAGCATTCTCAGAATCTTATTTGTGATGTGCGCCCTCAACTAACAGTGTTGAAGCTTTCTTTTGATAGAGCAGTTTTGAAACACTCTTTTTGTAAAATCTGCAAGAGGATATTTGGATAGCTTTGAGGATTTCGTTGGAAACGGGATTGTCTTCATATAAACTCTAGACAGAAGCATTCTCAGAAGCTTCATTGGGATGTTTCAATTGAAGTCACAGTGTTGAACAGTCCCTTTCATAGAGCAAGTTTGAAACACTCTTTTTGTAGTATCTGGAAGTGGACATTTGGAGCGCTCTCAGGACTGCGGTGAAAAAGGAAATATCTTCCAATAAAAGCTAGATAGAAGCAATGTCAGAAACTTTTTCGTGATGTATCTACTCAGCTAACAGAGTTGAACCTTCATTTGAGAGAGCAGTTTTGAAACACTCGTTTTGTGGAATCTGCAAGTGGATATTTGTCTAGCTTTGAGGATTTCGTTGGAAACGGGATTACATATAAAAAGCAGACAGCAGCATTCCCAGAAACTTCTTTGTGAAGTTTGCATTCAAGTCACAGAGTTGAACATTCCCTTTCAGAGAGCAGGTTTGAAACACTCTTTTTGTAGTATCTGGATGTGGACATTTGCAGCGCTTTCAGGCCTAAGGTGAAAAAGGAAATATCTTCCCCTGAAAACTAGACAGAAGCATTCTCAGAAACTTATTTGTGATGTGCGCCCTCAACTAACAGTGTTGAAGCTTTCTTTTGATAGAGCAGTTTTGAAACACTCTTTTTGTAATATCTGCAAGAGGATATTTGGATAGCTTTGAGGATTTCGTTGGAAACGGGATTGTCTTCATATAAACTCTAGACAGAAGCATTCTCAGAAGCTTCTTTGGGATGTTTCAATTGAAGTCACAGTGTTGAACAGTTCCTTTCATAGAACAGGTTTGAAACACTCTTTTTGTAGTATCTGGAAGTGGACATTTGGAGCGCTCTCAGGACTATGGTGAAAAAGGAAATATCTTCCAATAAAAGCTACATAGAAGCAATGTCAGAAACTTTTTCATGATGTATCTACTCAGCTAACAGAGTTGAACCTTTCCTTTGAGAGAGCAGTTTTGAAACACTCTTTTTGTGGAATCTGCAAGTGGATATTTGTCTAGCTTTGAGGATTTCGTTGGAAACGGGATTACATATAAAAAGCAGACAGCAGCATTCCCAGTAACTTCTTTGTGATGTTTGCATTCAAGTCACAGAGTTGAACGTTCCCTTTCATAGAGCAGGTTTGAAACACTCTTTTTGAAGTATCTGGATGTGGACATTTGGAGCGCTTTCAGGCCTATGGTGAAAAAGGAAATATCTTCCCCTGAAAACTAGACAGAAGCATTCTCAGAATCTTATTTGTGATGTGCGCCCTCAACTAACAGTGTTGAAGCTTTCTTTTGATAGAGCAGTTTTGAAACACTCTTTTTGTAAAATCTGCAAGAGGATATTTGGATAGCTTTGAGGATTTCGTTGGAAACGGGATTGTCTTCATATAAACTCCAGACAGAAGCATTCTCAGAAGCTTCATTGGGATGTTTCAATTGAAGTCACAGTGTTGAACAGTCCCTTTCATAGAGCAGGTTTGAAACACTCTTTTTGTAGTATCTGGAAGTGGACATTTGGAGCGCTCTCAGGACTGCGGTGAAAAAGGAAATATCTTCCAATAAAAGCTAGATAGAAGCAATGTCAGAAACTTTTTCATGATGTATCTACTCAGCTAACAGAGTTGAACCTTCCTTTGAGAGAGCAGTTTTGAAACACTCTTTTTGTGGAATCTGCAAGTGGATATTTGTCTAGCTTTGAGGATTGCGTTGGAAACGGGATTACATATAAAAAGCAGACAGCAGCATTCCCAGAAACTTCTTTGTGATGTTTGCATTCAAGTCACAGAGTTGAACATTCCCTTTCATAGAGCAGGTTTGAAACACTCTTTTTGTAGTATCTGGATGTGGACATTTGCAGCGCTTTCAGGCCTAAGGTGAAAAAGGAAATATCTTCCCCTGAAAACTAGACAGAAGCATTCTCAGAAACTTATTTGTGATGTGCGCCCTCAACTAACAGTGTTGAAGCTTTCTTTTGATAGAGCAGTTTTGAAACACTCTTTTTGTGGAATCTGGAAGTGGATATTTGTCTAGCTTTGAGGATTTCGTTGGAAACGGGATTACATATAAAAAGCAGACAGCAGCATTCCCAGAATCTTGTTTGTGATGTTTGCATTCAAGTCACAGAGTTGAACATTCCCTTTCAGAGAGCAGGTTTGAAACACTCTTTTTATAGTATCTGGATGTGGACATTTGGAGCGCTTTCAGGCCTATGGTGAAAAAGGAAATATCTTCTCCTGAAAACTAGACAGAAGCATTCTCAGAATCTTATTTGTGATGTGCGCCCTCAACTAACAGTGTTGAAGCTTTCTTTTGATAGAGCAGTTTTGAAACGCTCTTTTTGTAAAATCTGCAAGAGGATATTTGGATAGCTTTGAGGATTTCGTAGGAAACGGGATTGTCTTCATATAAACTCTAGACAGAAGCATTCTCAGAAGCTTCATTGGGATGTTTCAATTGAAGTCACAGTGTTGAACAGTCCCTTTCATAGAGCAGGTTTGAAACACTCTTTTTGTAGTATCTGGAAGTGGACATTTGGAGCGCTCTCAGGACTGCGGTGAAAAAGGAAATGTCTTCCAATAAAAGCTACATAGAAGCAATGTCAGAAACTTTTTCATGATGTATCTACTCAGCTAACAGAGTTGAACATTTTTTTTGAGAGAGCAGTTTTGAAACACGCTTTTTGAGGAATCTACAGGTGGATATTTGTCTAGCTTTCAGGATTTCGTTGGAAACGGGATTACATATAAAAAGCAGACAGCAGCATTCCCAGTAACTTCTTTGTGATGTTTGCATTCAAGTCACAGAGTTGAATATTCCCTCTCATAGAGCAGGTTTGAAACACTCTTTTTGTAGTATCTGGATCTGGACATTTGGAGCGCTTTCAGGCCTATTGTGAAAAAGGAAATATCTTCCCCTGAAAACTAGACAGAAGCATTCTCAGAATCTTATTTGTGATGTGCGCCCTCAACTAACAGTGTTGAAGCATTCTTTTGATAGAGCAGTTTTGAAACACTCTTTTTGTAAAATCTGCAAGAGGATATTTGGATAGCTTTGAGGATTTCGTTGGAAACGGGATTGTCTTCATATAAACTCTAGACAGAAGCATTCTCAGAAGCTTCATTGGGATGTTTCAATTGAAGTCACAGTGTTGAACAGTCCCTTTCATAGAGCAGGTTTGAAACACTCTTTTTGTAGTATCTGGAAGTGGACATTTGGAGCGCTCTCAGGACTGCGGTGAAAAAGGAAATATCTTCCAATAAAAGCTAGATAGAAGCAATGTCAGAAACTTTTTCATGATGTATCTACTCAGCTAACAGAGTTGAACCTTTCTTTTGAGAGAGCAGTTTTGAAACACTCTTTTTGTGGAATCTGCAAGTGGATATTTGTCTAGCTTTGAGGATTTCGTTGGAAACGGGATTACATATAAAAATCAGACAGCAGCATTCCCAGAATCTTGTTTGTGATGTTTGCATTCAAGTCACAGAGTTGAACATTCCCTTTCAGAGAGCAGGTTTGAAACACTCTTTTTATAGTATCTGGATGTGGACCTTTGGAGCGCTTTCAGGCCTATGGTGAAAAAGGAAATATCTTCTCCTGAAAACTAGACAGAAGCATTCTCAGAAACTTATTTGTGATGTGCGCCCTCAACTAACAGTGTTGAACCTTTCTTTTGATAGAGCAGTTTTGAAACACTCTTTTTGTAATATCTGCAAGAGGATATTTGGATAGCTTTGAGGATTTCGTTGGAAACGGGATTAATTATAAAAAGCAGACAGCAGCATTCCCAGAATCTTGTTTGTGATGTTTCCATTCAAGTCACAGAGTTGAACATTCCCTTTCAGAGAGCAGGTTTGAAACACTCTTTTTATAGTATCTGGATGTGGACATTTGGAGCGCTTTCAGGCCTATGGTGAAAAAGGAAATATCTTCTCCTGAAAACTAGACAGAAGCTTTCTCAGAATCTTATTTGTGATGTGCGCCCTCAACTAACAGTGTTGAAGCTTTCTTTTGATAGAGCAGTTTTGAAACACTCTTTTCGTAAAATCTGCAAGAGGATATTTTGATAGCTTTGAGGATTACGTTGGAAACGGGATTGTCTTCATATAAACTCTAGACAGAAGCATTCTCAGAAGCTTCATTGGGATGTTTCAATTGAAGTCACAGTGTTGAACAGTCCCTTTCATAGAGCAGGTTTGAAACACTCTTTTTGTAGTATCTGGATGTGGACATTTGGAGCGCTTTCAGGCCTATGGTGAAAAAGGAAATATCTTCCCCTGAAAACTAGACAGAAGCATTCTCAGAAACTTATTTGTGATGTGCGCCCTCAACTAACAGTGTTGAAGCTTTCTTTTGATAGAGCAGTTTTGAAACACTCTTTTTGTGGAATCTGCAAGTGGATATTTGTCTAGCTTTGAGGATTTCGTTGGAAACGGGATTACATATAAAAAGCAGACAGCAGCATTCCCAGAATCTTGTTTGTCATGTTTGCATTCAAGTCACAGAGTTGAACATTCCCTTTCAGAGAGCAGGTTTGAAACACTCTTTTTATAGTATCTGGATGTGGACATTTGGAGCGCTTTCAGGCCTATGGTGAAAAAGGAAATATCTTCTCCTGAAAACTAGACAGAAGCATTCTCAGAAACTTATTTGTGATGTGCGCCCTCAACTAACAGTGTTGAACCTTTCTTTTGATAGAGCAGTTTTGAAACACTCTTTTTGTAAAATCTGCAAGAGGATATTTGGATAGCTTTGAGGATTTCGTTGGAAACGGGATTGTCTTCATATAAACTCTAGAGGGAAGCATTCTCAGAAGCTTCATTGGGATGTTTCAATTGAAGTCACAGTGTTGAACAGTCCCTTTGATAGAGCAGGTTTGAAACACTCTTTTTGTAGTATCTGGATGTGGACATTTGCAGCGCTTTCAGGCATAAGGTGAAAAAGGAAATATCTTCCCCTGAAAACTAGACAGAAGCATTCTCAGAAACTTATTTGTGATGTGCGCCCTCAACTAACAGTGTTGAAGCTTTCTTCTGATAGAGCAGTTTTGAAACACTCTTTTTGTAATATCTGCAAGAGGATATTTGGATAGCTTTGAGGATTTCGTTGGAAACGGGATTGTCTTCATATAAACTCTAGACAGAAGCATTCTCAGAAGCTTCATTGGGATATTTCAATTGAAGTCACAGTGTTGAACAGTCCCTTTCATAGAGCAGGTTTGAAACACTCTTTTTGTAGTATCTGGAAGTGGACATTTGGAGAGATCTCAGGACTACGGTGAAAAAGGAAATATCTTCCAATAAAAGCTAGATAGAAGCAATGTCAGAAACTTTTTCATGATGTATCTACTCAGCTAACAGAGTTGAACCTTTCTTTTGAGAGAGCAGTTTTGAAACACTCTTTTTGTGGAATCTGCAAGTGGATATTTGTCTAGCTTTGCGGATTTCGTTGGAAACGGGATTACATATAAAAAGCAGACAGCAGCATTCCCAGTAACTTCTTTTTGATGTTTGCATTCAAGTCACAGAGTTGAACATTCCCTTTCATAGAGCAGGTTTGAAACACTCTTTTTGTAGTATCTGGATGTGGACATTTGGAGCGCTTTCAGGCCTATGGTGAAAAAGGAAATATCTTCCCCTGAAAACTAGACAGAAGCATTCTCAGAATCTTATTTGTGATGTGCGCCCTCAACTAACAGAGTTGAAGCTTTCTTTTGATAGAGCAGTTTTGAAACACTCTTTTTGTAAAATCTGCAAGAGGATATTTGGATAGCTTTGAGGATTTCGTTGGAAACGGGATTGTCTTCATATAAACTCTAGACAGAAGCATTCTCAGAAGCTTCATTGGGATGTTTCAATTGAAGTCACAGTGTTGAACAGTCCCTTTCATAGAGCAGGTTTGAAACACTCTTTTTGTAGTATCTGGAAGTGGACATTTGGAGCGCTCTCAGGACTACGGTGAAAAAGGAAATATCTTCCAATAAAAGCTACATAGAAGCAATGTCAGAAACTTTTTCATGATGTATCTACTCAGCTAACAGAGTTGAAGCTTTCTTTTGATAGAGCAGTTTTGAAACACTCTTTTTGTGGAATCTGCAAGTGGATATTTGTCTAGCTTTGAGGATTTCGTTGGAAACGGGATTACATATAAAAAGCAGACAGCAGCATTCCCAGTAACTTCTTTGTGATGTTTGCATTCAAGTCACAGAATTGAACATTCCCTTTCATAGAGCAGGTTTGAAACACTCTTTTTGTAGTATCTGGATGTGGACATTTGGAGCGCTTTCAGGCCTATGGTGAAAAAGGAAATATCTTCCCCTGAAAACTAGACAGAAGCATTCTCAGAATCTTATTTGTGATGTGCGCCCTCAACTAACAGTGTTGAAGCTTTCTTTTGATAGAGCAGTTTTGAAACACTCTTTTTGTAAAATCTGCAAGAGGATATTTGGATAGCTTTGAGGATTTCGTTGGAAACGGGATTGTCTTCATATAAACTCTAGACAGAAGCATTCTCAGAAGCTTCATTGGGATGTTTCAATTGAAGTCAAAGTGTTGAACAGTCCCTTTCATAGAGCAGGTTTGAAACACTCTTTTTGTAGCATCTGGAAGTGGACATTTGGAGCATTCTCAGGACTACGGTGAAAAAGGAAATATCTTCCAATAAAGGCTAGATAGAAGAAATGTCAGAAACTTTTTCATGATGTATCTACTCAGCTAAAAGAGTTGAACTTTTCTTTTGAGAGAGCAGTTTTGAAACACTATTTTTGTGGAATCTGCAAGGGGATATTTGTCTAGCTTTGAGGATTTCGTTGGAAACGGGATTACATATAAAAAGCAGACAGCAGCATTCCCAGAAACTTCTTTGTGATGTTTGCATTCAAGTCACAGAGTTGAACATTCCCTTTCATAGAGCAGGTTTGAAACACTCTTTTTGTAGTATCTGGATGTGGACATTTGGAGCGCTTTCAGGCCTATGGTGAAAAAGGAAATATCTTCCCCTGAAAACTACACAGAAGCATTCTCAGAATCTTATTTGTGATGTGCGCCCTCAACTAACAGTGTTGAAGCTTTCTTTTGATAGAGCAGTTTTGAAACACTCTTTTTGTAAAATCTGCAAGAGGATATTTGGATAGCTTTGAGGATTTCGTTGGAAACGGGATTGTCTTCATATAAACTCTAGACAGAAGCATTCTCAGAAGCTTCATTGGGATGTTTCAATTGAAGTCACAGTGTTGAACAGTCCCTTTCATAGAGCAGGTTTCAAACACTCTTTTTGTAGTATCTGGATGTGGACATTTGGAGCGCTTTCAGGCCTATGGTTTAAAAGGAAATATCTTCCCCTGAAAACTAGACAGAAGCATTCTCAGAAACTTATTTGTGATGTGCGCCCTCAACTAACAGTGTTGAAGCATTCTTTTGATAGAGCAGTTTTGAAACACTCTTTTTGTGGAATCTGCAAGTGGATATTTGTCTAGCTTTGAGGATTTCGTTGGAAACGGGATTACATATAAAAAGCAGACAGCAGCATTCCCAGAAACTTCTTTGTGATATTTGCATTCAAGTCACAGACTTGAACATTCTCTTCCATAGAGGAGGTTTGAAACACTCTTTTTGTAGTATCTGGATGTGGACATTTGGAGCGCTTTCAGGCCTATGGTGAAAAAGGAAATATCTTCCCCTGAAAACTAGACAGAAGCATTCTCAGAAACTTATTTGTGATGTGCGCCCTCAACTGACAGTGTTGAAGCTTTCTTTTGATAGAGCAGTTTTGAAACACTCTTTTTGTAAAATCTGCAAGAGGATATTTGGATAGCTTTGAGGATTTCGTTGGAAACGGGATTGTCTTCATATACAATCTAGACAGAAGCATTCTCAGAAGCTTCATTGGGATGTTTCAATTGAAGTCACAGTGTTGAACAGTCCCTTTCATAGAGCAGGTTTGAAACACTCTTTTTGTAGTATCTGGAAGTGGACATTTGGAGCGCTCTCAGGACTGCGGTGAAAAAGGAACTATCTTCCAATAAAAGCTAGATAGAAGCAATGTCAGAAACTTTTTCATGATGTATCTACTCAGCTAACAGAGTTGAACCTTTCCTTTGAGAGAGCAGTTTTGAAACACTCTTTTTGTGGAATCTGCAAGTGGATATTTGTCTAGCTTTGAGGATTTCGTTGGAAACGGGATTACATATAAAAAGCAGACAGCAGCATTCCCAGAATCTTCTTTGTGATGTTTGCATTCAAGTCACAGAGTTGAACATTCCCTTTCATAGAGCAGGTTTGAAACACTCTTTTTGTAGTATCTGGATGTGGACATTTGGAGCGCTTTCAGGCCTATTGTGAAAAAGGAAATATCTTCCCCTGAAAACTAGACAGAAGAATTCTCAGAATCTTATTTGTGATGTGCGCCCTCAACTAACAGTGTTGAAGCTTTCTTTTGATAGAGCAGTTTTGAAACACTCTTTTTGTAAAATCTGCAAGAGGATATTTGGATAGCTTTGAGGATTTCGTTGGAAACGGGATTGTCTTCATATAAACTCTACACAGAAGCATTCTCAGAAGCTTCATTGGGATGTTTCAATTGAAGTCACAGTGTTGAACAGTCCCTTTCATAGAGCAGGTTTGAAACACTCTTTTTGTAGTATCTGGATGTGGACATTTGGAGCGCTTTCAGGCCTATGGTGAAAAAGGAAATATCTTCCCCTGAAAACTAGACAGAAGCATTCTCAGAAACTTATTTGTGATGTGCGCCCTCAACTAACAGTGTTGAAGCTTTCTTTTGATAGAGCAGTTTTGAAACACTCTTTTTGTGGAATCTGCAAGTGGATATTTGTCTAGCTTTGAGGATTTCGTTGGAAACGGGATTACATATAAAAAGCAGACAGCAGCATTCCCAGAAACTTCTTTGTGATGTTTGCATTCAAGTCACAGAGTTGAACATTCCCTTTCAGAGAGCAGGTTTGAAACACTCTTTTTGTAGTATCTGGATGTGGACATTTGGAGCGCTTTCAGGCCTATGGTGAAAAAGGAAATATCTTCCCCTGAAAACTAGACAGAAGCATTCTCAGAAACTTATTTGTGATGTGCGCCCTCAACTAACAGTGTTGAACCTTTCTTTTGATAGAGCAGTTTTGAAACACTCTTTTTGTAATATCTGCAAGAGGATATTTGGATAGCTTTGAGGATTTCGTTGGAAACGGGATTACATATAAAAAGCAGACAGCAGCATTCCCAGAAACTTCTTTGTGATGTTTGCATTCAAGTCACAGAGTTGAACATTCCCTTTCATAGAGCAGGTTTGAAACACTCTTTTTGTAGTATCTGGATGTGGACATTTGCAGCGCTTTCAGGCCTAAGGTGAAAAAGGAAATATCTTCCCCTGAAAACTAGACAGAAGCATTCTCAGAAACTTATTTGTGATGTGCGCCCTCAACTAACAGTGTTGAACCTTTCTTTTGATAGAGCAGTTTTGAAACACTCTTTTTGTAATATCTGCAAGAGGATATTTGGATAGCTTTGAGGATTTCGTTGGAAACGGGATTGTCTTCATATAAACTCTAGACAGAAGCATTCTCAGAAGCTTCATTGGGATGTTTCAACTGAAGTCACAGTGTTGAACAGTCCCTTTCATAGAGCAGGTTTGAAACACTCTTTTTGTAGTATGTGGAAGTGGACATTTGGAGCGCTCTCAGGACTACGGTGAAAAAGGAAATATCTTCCAATAAAAGCTAGATAGAAGCAATGTCACAAACTTTTTCATGATGTATCTACTCAGCTAACAGAGTTGAACCTTTCTTTTGAGAGAGCAGTTTTGAAACACTCTTTTTGTGGAATCTGCAAGTGGATATTTGTCTAGCTTTGAGGATTTCGTTGGAAACGGGATTACATATAAAAAGCAGACAGCAGCATTCCCAGTAACTTCTTTGTGAGGTTTGCATTCAAGTCACAGAGTTGAACATTCCCTTTCATAGAGCAGGTTTGAAACACTCTTTTTGTAGTATCTGGATGTGGACATTTGGAGCGCTTTCAGGCCTATGGTGAAAAAGGAAATATCTTCCAATAAAAGCTAGATAGAAAGCATTCTCAGAAACTTATTTGTGATGTGCGCCCTCAACTAACAGTGTTGAAGCTTTCTTTTGATAGAGCAGTTTTGAAACACTCTTTTTGTAAAATCTGCAAGAGGATATTTCGATAGCTTGGAGGATTTCGTTGGAAACGGGATTGTCTTCATATTAACCCTAGACAGTAGCATTCTCAGAAGCGTCATTGGGATGTTTCAATTGAAGTCACAGTGTTGAAAAGTCCCTTTCATAGAGCAGGTTTGAAACACTCTTTTTGTAGTATCTGGATGTGGACATTTGGAGCGCTTTCAGGCCTATGGTTTAAAAGGAAATATCTTCCCCTGAAAACTAGACAGAAGCATTCTCAGAAACTTATTTGTGATGTGCGCCCTCAACTACCAGTGTTGAAACATTCTTTTGATAGAGCAGTTTTGAAACACTCTTTTTGTGGAATCTGCAAGTGGATATTTGTCTAGCTTTGAGGATTTCGTTGGAAACGGGATTACATATAAAAAGCAGACAGCAGTATGCTCAGAAACTTATTTGTGATGTGTGCCCTCAACTAACAGTGTTGAAGGTTTCTTTTGATAGAGCAGTTTTGAAACATTCTTTTTGTAAAATCTGCAAGAGGATATTTGGATAGCTTTGAGGATTTCGTTGGAAACGGGATTGTCTTCATATTAACCCTAGACAGTAGCATTCTCAGAAGCTTCATTGGGATGTTTCAATTGAAGTCACAGTGTTGAACAGTCCCTTTCATAGAGCAGGTTTGAAACACTCTTTTTGTAGTATCTGGAAGTGGACATTTGGAGCGTTCTCAGGACTACGGTGAAAAAGGAAATATCTTCCAATAAAAGCTAGATAGAAGCAATGTCAGAAAATTTTTCATGATGTATCTACTCAGCTAACAGAGTTGAACCTTTCTTTTGAGAGAGCAGTTTTGAAACACTCTTTTTGTGGAATCTGCAAGTGGATATTTGTCTAGCTTTGAGGATTTCGTTGGAAACGGGATTACATATAAAAAGCAGACAGCAGCATTCCCAGAAACTTCTTTGTGATATTTGCATTCAAGTCACAGACTTGAACATTCCCTTTCATAGAGCAGGTTTGAAACACTCTTTTTGTAGTATCTGGATGTGGACATTTGGAGCGCTTTCAGGCCTATGGTGAAAAAGGAAATATCTTCCCCTGAAAACTAGACAGAAGCATTCTCAGAAACTTATTTGTGATGTGCGCCCTCAACTAACAGTGTTGAACCTTTCTTTTGATAGAGCAGTTTTGAAACACTCTTTTTGTAAAATCTGCAAGAGGATATTTGGATAGCTTTGAGGATTTCGTTGGAAACGGGATTGTCTTCATATAGAATCTAGACAGAAGCATTCTCAGAAGCTTCATTCGGATGTTTCAATTGAAGTCACAGTGTTGAACAGTCCCTTTCATAGAGCATGTTTGAAACACTCTTTTTGTAGCATCTGGAAGTGGACATTTGGAGCGCTCTCAGGACTACAGTGAAAAAGGAAATATCTTCCAATAAAAGCTAGATAGAAGCAATGTCAGAAAATTTTTCATGATGTATCTACTCAGCTAACAGAGTTGAACCTTTCTTTGGAGAGAGTAGTTTTGAAACACTCTTTTTGTGGAATCTGCAAGTGGATATTTGTCTAGTTTTGAGGATTGCGTTGGAAACGGTATTACATATAAAAAGCAGACAGCAGCATTCCCAGAAACTTCTTTGTGATATTTGCATTGAAGTCACAGACTTGAACATTCCGTTTCATAGAGCAGGTTTGAAACACTCTTTTTGTAGTATCTGGATGAGGACATTTGGAGCGCTTTCAGGCCTATGGTGAAAAAGGAAATATCTTCCCCTGAAAACTAGACAGAAGCATTCTCAGAATCTTATTTGTGATGTGCGCCCTCAACTAACAGTGTTGAACCTTTCTTTTGATAGAGCAGTTTTGAAACACTCTTTTTGTAATATCTGCAAGAGGATATTTGGATAGCTTTGAGGATTTCGTTGGAAACGGGATTGTCTTCATATAAACTCTAGACAGAAGCAGTCTCAGAAGCTTCATTGGGATGTTTCAATTGAAGTCACAGTGTTGAACAGTCCCTTTCATAGAGCAGGTTTGAAACACTCTTTTTGTAGTATCTGGAAGTGGACATTTGGAGAGATCTCAGGAATACGGTGATAAAGGAAATATCTTCCAATAAAAGCTAGATAGAAGCAATGTCAGAAACTTTTTCATGATATATCTACTCAGCTAACAGAGTTGAACCTTTCTTTTGAGAGACCAGTTTTGAAACACTCTTTTTGTGGAATCTGCAAGTGGATATTTGTCTAGCTTTGAGGATTTCGTTGGAAACGGGATTACTTATAAAAAGCAGACAGCAGCATTCCCAGTAACTTCTTTGTGATGTTTGCATTCAAGTCACAGAGTTGAACATTCCCTTTCATAGAGCAGGTTTGAAACACTCTTTTTGTAGTATCTGGATGTGGACATTTGGAGCGCTTTCAGGCCTATGGTGAAAAAGGAAATATCTTCCCCTGAAAACTAGACAGAAGAATTCTCAGAATCTTATTTGTGATGTGCGCCCTCAACTAACAGTGTTGAAGCTTTCTTTTGATAGAGCAGTTTTGAAACACTCTTTTTGTAAAATCTGCAAGAGGTTATTTGGATAGCTTTGAGGATTTCGTTGGAAACGGGATTGTCTTCATATAAACTCTAGACAGAAGCATTCTCAGAAGCTTCATTGGGATGTTTCAATTGAAGTCACAGTGTTGAACAGTCCCTTTCATAGAGCAGGTTTGAAACACTCTTTTTGTAGTATCTGGAAGTGGACATTTGGAGCGCTCTCAGGACTGCGGTGAAAAAGGAAATATCTTCCAATAAAAGCTAGATAGAAGCAATGTCAGAAACTTTTTCATGATGTATCTACTCAGCTAACAGAGTTGAACCTTCCTTTGAGAGAGCAGTTTTGAAACACTCGTTTTGTGGAATCTGCAAGTGGATATTTGTCTAGCTTTGAGGATTTCGTTGGAAACGGGATTACATATAAAAAGCAGACAGCAGCATTCCCAGAAAATTCTTTGTGATGTTTGCATTCAAGTCACAGAGTTGAACATTCCCTTTCATAGAGCAGGATTGAAACACTCTTTTTGTAGTATCTGGATGTGGACATTTGGAGCGCTTTCAGGCCTAAGGTGAAAAAGGAAATATCTTCCCCTGAAAACTAGACAGAAGCATTCTCAGAATCTTATTTGTGATGTGCGCCCTCAACTAACAGTGTTGAAGCTTTCTTTTGATAGAGCAGTTTTGAAACACTCTTTTTGTAAAATCTGCAAGAGGATATTTGGATAGCTTTGAGGATTTCGTTGGAAACGGGATTGTCTTCATATAAACTCTAGACAGAAGCATTCTCAGAAGCTTCATTGGGATGTTTCAATTGAAGTCACAGTGTTGAACAGTCCCTTTCATAGAGCAGGTTTGAAACACTCTTTTTGTAGTATCTGGAAGTGGACATTTGGAGCGCTCACAGGACTGCGGTGAAAAAGGAAATATCTTCCAATAAAAGCTAGATAGAAGCAATGTCAGAAACTTTTTCATGATGTATCTACTCAGCTAACAGAGTTGAACCTTTCTTTTGAGAGAGCAGTTTTGAAACACTCGTTTTGTGGAATCTGCAAGTGGATATTTGTCTACATTTGAGGATTTCGTTGGAAACGGGATTACATATAAAAAGCAGACAGCAGCATTCCCAGAATCTTCTTTGTGATGTTTGCATTCAAGTCCCAGAGTTGAACATTCCCTTTCATAGAGCAGGTTTGAAACACTCTTTTTATAGTATCTGGATGTGGACATTTGGAGCGCTTTCAGGCCTGTGGTGAAAAAGGAAATATCTTCTCCTGAAAACTAGACAGAAGCATTCTCAGAAACTTATTTGTGATGTGCGCCCTCAACTAACAGTGTTGAACCTTTCTTTTGATAGAGCAGTTTTGAAACACTCCTTTTGTAAAATCTGCAAGAGGATATTTGGATAGCTTTGAGGATTTCGTTGGAAACGGGATTGTCTTCATATAAACTCTAGACAGAAGCATTCTCAGAAGCTTCATTGGGATGTTTCAATTGAAGTCACAGTGTTGAACAGTCCCTTTCATAGAGCAGGTTTGAAACACTCTTTTTGTAGTATCTGGATGTGGACATTTGGAGCGCTTTCAGGCCTATGGTTTAAAAGGAAATATCTTCCCCTGAAAACTAGACAGAAGCATTCTCAGAAACTTATTTGTGATGTGCGCCCTCAACTAACAGTGTTGAAGCATTCTTTTGATAGAGCAGTTTTGAAACACTCTTTTTGTGGAATCTGCAAGTGGATATTTGTCTAGCTTTGAGGATTTCGTTGGAAACGGGATTACATATAAAAAGCAGACAGCAGCATTCCCAGAATCTTGTTTGTAATGTTTGCATTCAAGTCACAGAGTTGAACATTCCCTTTCAGAGAGCCGGTTTGAAACACTCTTTTTATAGTATCTGGATGTGGACATTTGGAGCGCTTTCAGGCCTATGGTGAAAAAGGAAATATCTTCTCCTGAAAACTAGGCAGAAGCATTCTCAGAATCTTATTTGTGATGTGCGCCCTCAACTAACAGTGTTGAAGCTTTCTTTTGATAGAGCAGTTTTGAAACACTCTTTTTGTAAAATCTGCAAGAGGATATTTGGATAGCTTTGAGGATTTCGTTGGAAACGGGATTGTCTTCATATAAACTCTAGACAGAAGCATTCTCAGAATCTTCATTGGGATGTTTCAATTGAAGTCACAGTGTTGAACAGTCCCTTCCATAGAGCAGGTTTGAAACACTCTTTTTGTAGTATCTGGATGTGGACATTTGGAGCGCTTTCAGGCCTATGGTGAAAAAGGAAATATCTTCCTCTGAAAACTAGACAGAAGCATTCTCAGAAACTTATTTGTGATGTGCGCCCTCAACTAACGGTGTTGAAGCATTCTTTTGATAGAGCAGTTTTGAAACACTCTTTTTGTGGAATCTGCAAGTGGATATTTGTCTAGCTTTGAGGATTTCGTTGGAAACGGGATTACATATAAAAAGCAGACAGCAGCATTCTCAGAAACTTATTTGTGATGTGCGCCCTCAATTAACAGTGTTGAACCTTTCTTTTGATAGAGCAGTTTTGAAACACACTTTTTGAAATATCTGCAAGAGGATATTTGGATAGCTTTGAGGATTTCGTTGGAAACGGGATTGTCTTCATATAAACTCTAGACAGAAGCATTCTCAGAAGCTTCATTGGGATGTTTCAATTGAAGTCACAGTGTTGAACAGTCCCTTTCATAGAGCAGGTTTGAAACACTCTTTTTGTTGTATCTGGAAGTGGACATTTGCAGAGATCTCAGGAATACGGTGACAAAGGAAATATCTTCCAATAAAAGCTAGATAGGAGCAATGTCAGAAAATTTTTCATGATGTATCTACTCACCTAACAGAGTTGAACCTTTCTTTTGAGAGAGCAGTTTTGAAACACTCTTTTTGTGGAATCTGCAAGTGGATATTTGTCTAGCTTTGAGGATTTCGTTGGAAACGGGATTACATATAAAAAGCAGACAGCAGGATTCCCAGAAACTTCTTTGTGATGTTTGCATTCAAGTCACAGAGTTGAACATTCCCTTTCATAGAGCAGGTTTGAAACACTCTTTTTGTAGTATCTGGATGTGGACATTTGCAGCGCTTTCAGGCTTAAGGTGAAAAAGGAAATATCTTCCCCTGAAAACTAGACAGAAGCATTCTCAGAATCTTATTTGTGATGTGCGCCCTCAACTAACAGTGTTGAAGCTTTCTTTTGATAGAGCAGTTTTGAAACACTCTTTTTGTAAAATCTGCAAGAGGATATTTGGATAGCTTTGAGGATTTCGTTGGAAACGGGATTGTCTTCATATAAACTCTAGACAGAAGCATTCTCAGAAGCTTCATTGGGATGTTTCAATTGAAGTCACAGTGTTGAACAGTCCCTTTCATAGAGCAGGTTTGAAACACTCTTTTTGTAGTATCTGGATGTGGACATTTGGAGCGCTTTCAGGCCTATGGTTTAAAAGGAAATATCTTCCCCTGAAAACTAGACAGAAGCATTCTCAGAAACTTATTTGTGATGTGCGCCCTCAACTAACAGTGTTGAACCTTTCTTTTGAGAGAGCAGTTTTGAAACACTCTTTTTGTGGAATCTGCAAGTGGATATTTGTCTAGCTTTGAGGATTTCGTTGGAAACGGGATTACATATAAAAAGCAGACAGCAGCATTCCCAGAAACTTCTTTGTGATGTTTGCATTCAAGTCACAGAGTTGAACATTCCCTTTCATAGAGCAGGTTTGAAACACTCTTTTTGTAGTATCTGGATGTGGACATTTGGAGCGCTTTCAGGCCTATGGTGATAAAGGAAATATCTTCCCCTGAAAACTAGACAGAAGCAATGTCAGAAACTTTTTCATGATGTATCTACTCAGCTAACAGCAGTTGAACCTTTCTTTTGAGAGAGCAGTTTTGAAACACTCTTTTTGTGGAATCTGCAAGTGGATATTTGTCTAGCTTTGAGGATTTCGTTGGAAACAGGATTACATATAAAAAGCAGACAGCAGCATTCCCAGAAACTTCTTTGTGATGTTTGCATTCAAGTCTCAGAGTTGAACATTCCCTTTCATAGAGCAGGTTTGAAACACTCTTTTTGTAGTATCTGGATGTGGACATTTGGAGCGCTTTCAGGCCTATGGTGAAAAAGGAAATATCTTCCCCTGAAAACTAGACAGAAGCATTCTCAGAAACTTATTTGTGATGTGCGCCCTCAACTAACAGTGTTGAACCTTTCTTTTGATAGAGCAGTTTTGAAACACTCTTTTTGTAAAATCTGCAAGAGGATATTTGGATAGCTTTGAGGATTTCGTTGGAAACGGGATTGTCTTCATATAAACTCTAGACAGAAGCATTCTGATAAGCTTCATTGGGATGTATCAATTGAAGTCACAGTGTTGAACAGTCCCTTTCATAGAGCAGGTTTGAAACACTCTTTTTGTAGTATCTGGAATTGGACATTTGGAGCGCTCTCAGGACTACGGTGAAAAAGGAAATATATTCCACTGAAAACTAGACAGAAGCATTCTCAGAAACTTATTTGTGATGTGCGCCTTCAACTAACAGTGTTGAAGCATTCTTTTGATAGAGCAGTTTTGAAACACTCTTTTTGTGGAATCTGCAAGTGGATATTTGTCTAGCTTTGAGGATTTCGTTGGAAACGGGATTACATATAAAAAGCAGACAGCAGCATTCCCAGAAACTTCTTTGTGATGTTTGCATTCAAGTCACAGAGTTGAACATTCCCTTTCATAGAGCAGGTTTGAAACACTCTTTTTGTAGTATCTGGATGTGGACATTTGCAGCGCTTTCAGGCCTAAGGTGAGAAAGGATATATCTTCCCCTGAAAACTAGACAGAAGCATTCTCAGAAACTTATTTGTGATGTGCGCCCTCAACTAACAGTGTTGAAGCTTTCTTTTGATAGAGCAGTTTTGAAACACTCTTTTTGTAATATCTGCAAGAGGATATTTGGATAGCTTTGAGGATTTCGTTGGAAACGGGATTGTCTTCATATAAACTCTAGGCAGAAGCATTCTCAGAAGCTTCATTGGGATGTTTCAATTGAAGTCACAGTGTTGAACAGTCCCTTTCATAGAGCAGGTTTGAAACACTCTTTTTGTAGTATCTGGAAGTGGACATTTGGAACGCTCTCAGGACTGCGGTGAAAAAGGAAATATCTTCCAATAAAAGCTAGATAGAAGCAATGTCAGAAACTTTTTCATGATGTATCTACTCAGCTAACAGAGTTGAACCTTTCTTTTGAGAGAGCAGTTTTGAAACACTCTTTTTGTGGAATCTGCAAGTGGATATTTGTCTAGCATTGAGGATTTCGTTGGAAACGGGATTACATATAAAAAGCAGACAGCAGCATTCCCAGTAATCTTCTTTGTGATGTTTGCATTCACGCTCACAGAGTTGAACATTCCCTTTCATAGAGCAGGTTAGAAACACTCTTTTTGTAGTATCTGGATGTGGACATTTGGAGCGCTTTCAGGCCTATGGTGAAAAAGGAAATATCTTCTCCTGAAAACTAGACAGAAGCATTCTCAGAATCTTATTTGTGATGTGCGCCCTCAACTAACAGTGTTGAAGCTTTCTTTTGATAGAGCAGTTTTGAAACACTCTTTTTGTAAAATCTGCAAGAGGATATTTGGATAGCTTTGAGGATTTCGTTGGAAACGGGATTGTCTTCATATAAACTCTAGACAGAAGCATTCTCAGAAGCTTCATTGGGATGTTTCAATTGAAGTCACAGTGTTGAACAGTCCCTTTCATAGAGCAGGTTTGAAACACTCTTTTTGTAGTATCTGGAAGTGGACATTTGGAGAGATCTCAGGAATACGGTGAAAAAGGAAATATCTTCTCCTGAAAACTAGACAGAAGCATTCTCAGAAACTTATTTGTGATGTGCGCCCTCAACTAACAGTGTTGAAGCTTTCTTTTGATAGAGCAGTTTTGAAACACTCTTTTTGTAATATCTGCAAGAGGATATTTGGATAGCTTTGAGGATTTCGTTGGAAACGGGATTGTCTTCATATAAACTCTAGACAGAAGCATTCTCAGAAGCTTCATTGGGATGTTTCAATTGAAGTCACAGTGTTGAACAGTCCCTTTCATAGAGCAGGTTTGAAACACTCTTTTTGTAGTATCTGGAAGTGGACATTTGGAGCGCTCTCAGGACTACGGTGAAAAAGGAAATATCTTCCAATAAAAGCTAGATAGAAGCAATGTCAGAAACTTTTTCATGATGTATCTACTCAGCTAACAGAGTTGAACCTTTCTTTTGAGAGAGCAGTTTTTGAACACTCTTTTTGTGGAATCTGCAAGTGGATATTTGTCTAGCTTTGAGGATTTCGTTGGAAACGGGATTACATATAAAAAGCAGACAGCAGCATTCCCAGTAACTTCTTTGTGATGTTTGCATTCAAGTCACAGAGTTGAACATTCCCTTTCATAGAGCAGGTTTGAAACACTCTTTTTGTAGTATCTGGATGTGGACATTTGCAGCGCTTTCAGGCCTACGGTGAAAAAGGAAATATCTTCCCCTGAAAACTAGACAGAAGCATTCTCAGAAACTTATTTGCGATGGGCGCCCTCAACTAACAGTGTTGAAGCTTTCTTTTGATAGAGCAGTTTTGAAACACTCTTTTCGTAAAATCTGCAAGAGGATATTTGGATAGCTTTGAGGATTTCGTTGGAAACGGGATTGTCTTCATATAAACTCTAGACAGAAGCATTCTCAGAAGCTTCATTGGGATGTTTCAATTGAAGTCACAGTGTTGAACAGTCCCTTTCATAGAGCAGGTTTGAAACACTCTTTTTGTAGTATCTGGATGTGGACATTTGGAGCGCTTTCAGGCCTATGGTGAAAAAGGAAATATCTTCCCCTGAAAACTAGACAGAAGCATTCTCAGAAACTTATTTGTGATGTGCGCCCTCAACTAACAGTGTTGAAGCTTTCTTTTGATAGAGCAGTTTTGAAACACTCTTTTTGTGGAATCTGCAAGTGGATATTTGTCTAGCTTTGAGGATTTCGTTGGAAACGGGATTACATATAAAAAGCAGACAGCAGCATTCCCAGAATCTTCTTTGTGATGTTTGCATTCAAGTCACAGAGTTGAACATTCCCTTTCATAGAGCAGGTTTGAAACACTCTTTTTGTAGTATCTGGATGTGGACATTTGGAGCGCTTTCAGGCCTATGGTGAAAAAGGAAATATCTTCCCCTGAAAACTAGACAGAAGCATTCTCAGAATCTTATTTGTGATGTGCGCCCTCAACTAACAGTGTTGAACCTTTCTTTTGATAGAGCAGTTTTGAAACACTCTTTTTGTAATATCTGCAAGAGGATATTTGGATAGCTTTGAGGATTTCGTTGGAAACGGGATTGTCTTCATATAAACTCTAGACAGAAGCATTCTCAGAAGCTTCATTGGGATGTTTCAATTGAAGTCACAGTGTTGAACAGTCCCTTTCATAGAGCAGGTTTGAAACACTCCTTTGTAGGATCTGGAAGTGGACATTTGGAGAGATCTCAGGAATACGGTGATAAAGGAAATATCTTCCAATAAAAGCTAGATAGAAGCAATGTCAGAAACTTTTTCATGATGTATCTACTCAGCTAACAGAGTTGAACCTTTCTTTTGAGAGAGCAGTTTTGAAACACTCTTTTTGTGGAATCTGCAAGTGGATATTTGTCTAGGTTTGAGGATTTCGTTGGAAACGGGATTACATATAAAAAGCAGACAGCAGCATTCCCAGAAACTTCTTTGTGAAGTTAGCATTCAAGTCACAGAGTTGAACATTCCCTTTCATAGAGCAGGTTTGAAACACTCTTTTTGTAGTATCTGGATATGGACATTTGGAGCGCTTTCAGGCCTATGGTGAAAAAGGAAATATCTTCCCCTGAAAACTAGACAGAAGCATTCTCAGAATCTTATTTGTGATGTGCGCCCTCAACTAACAGTGTTGAAGCTTTCTTTTGATAGAGCAGTTTTGAAACACTCTTTTTGTAAAATCTGCAAGAGGATATTTGGATAGCTTTGAGGATTTCTTTGGAAACGGGGTTGTCCTCATATAAACTCTAGACAGAAGCATTCTCAGAAGCTTCATTGGGATGTTTCAATTGAAGTCACAGTGTTGAACAGTCCCTTTCATAGAGCAGGTTTGAAACACTCTTTTTGTAGTATCTGGATGTGGACATTTGGAGCGCTTTCAGGCCTATGGTGAAAAAGGAAATATCTTCCCCTGAAAACTAGACAGAAGCATTCTCAGAAACTTATTTGTGATGTGCGCCCTCAACTAACAGTGTTGAAGCTTTCTTTTGATAGAGCAGTTTTGAAACACTCTTTTTGTGGAATCTGCAAGTGGATATTTGTCTAGCTTTGAGGATTTCGTTGGAAACGGGATTACATATAAAAAGCAGACAGCAGCATTCCCAGAAACTTCTTTGTGAAGTTTGCATTCAAGTCACAGAGTTGAACATTCCCTTTCATAGAGCAGGTTTGAAACACTCTTTTTGTAGTATCTGGATGTGGACATTTGGAGCACTTTCAGGCCTATGGTGAAAAAGGAAATATCTTCCCCTGAAAACTAGACAGAAGCATTCTCAGAAACTTATTTGTGATGTGCGCCCTCAACTAACAGTGTTGAAGCTTTCTTTTGATAGAGCAGTTTTGAAACACTCTTTTTGTGGAATCTGCAAGTGGATATTTGTCTAGCTTTGAGGATTTCGTTGGAAACGGGATTACATATAAAAAGCAGACAGCAGCATTCCCAGAAACTTCTTTGTGATATTTGCATTCAAGTCACAGACTTGAACATTCCCTTCCATAGAGCAGGTTTGAAACACTCTTTTTGTAGTATCTGGATGTGGACATTTGGAGCGCTTTCAGGCCTATGGTGAAAAAGGAAGTATCTTCCCCTGAAAACTAGACAGAAGCATTCTCAGAAACTTATTTGTGATGTGCGCCTTCAACTAACAGTGTTAAACCTTTCTTTTGATAGAGTAGTTTTGAAACACTCTTTTTGTAAAATCTGCAAGAGGATATTTGGATAGCTTTGAGGATTTCGTTGGAAACGGGATTGTCTTCATATAAACTCTAGACAGTAGCATTCTCAGAAGCTTCATTGGGATGTTTCAACTGAAGTCACAGTGTTGAACAGTCCCTTTCATAGAGCAGGTTTGAAACACTCTTTTTGTAGTATCTGGAAGTGGACATTTGGAGCGCTCTCAGGACTACGGTGAAAAAGGAAATATCTTCCAATAAAAGCTAGATAGAAGCAATGTCAGAAACTTTTTCATGATGTATCTACTCAGCTAACAGAGTTGAACCTTCATTTGAGAGAGCAGTTTTGGAACACTCTTTTTGTGGAATGTGCAAGTGGATATTTGTCTAGCTTTGAGGATTTCGTTGGAAACGGGATTACATATAAAAAGCAGACAGCAGCATTCCCAGAAACTTCTTTGTGATGTTTGCATTCAAGTCACAGAGTTGAACATTCCCTTTCATAGAGCAGGTTTGAAACACTCTTTTTGTAGTATCTGGATGTGGACATTTGCAGCGCTTTCAGGCCTAAGGTGAAAAAGGAAATATCTTCCCCTGAAAAATAGACAGAAGCATTCTCAGAAACTTATTTGTGATGTGCGCCCTCAACTAACAGTGTTGAAGCTTTCTTTTGATAGAGCAGTTTTGAAACACTCTTTTTGTAATATCTGTAAGAGGATATTTGGATAGCTTTGAGGATTTCGTTGGAAACGGGATTGTCTTCATATAAACTCTAGACAGAAGCATTCTCAGAAGCTTCATTGGGATGTTTCAATTGAAGTCACAGTGTTGAACAGTCCCTTTCATAGAGCAGGTTTGAAACACTCTTTTTGTAGTATCGGGATGTGGACATTTGGAGCGCTTTCAGGCCTATGGTGAAAAAGGAAATATCTTCCCCTGAAAACTAGACAGAAGCATTCTCAGAAACTTATTTGTGATGTGCGCCCTCAACTAACAGTGTTGAAGCTTTCTTTTGATAGAGCAGTTTTGAAACACTCTTTTTGTGGAATCTGCAAGTGGATATTTGTCTAGCTTTGAGGATTTCGTTGGAAACGGGATTGTCTTCATATAAACTCTAGACAGAAGCATTCTCAGAAGCTTCATTGGGATGTTTCAATTGAAGTCACAGTGTTGAACAGTCCCTTTCATAGAACAGGTTTGAAACACTCTTTTTGTAGTACCTGGAAATGGACATTTGGAGCGCTCTCAGGACTATGGTGAAAAAGGAAATATTTTCCAATAAAAGCTAGATAGAAGCATTCTCAGAAACTTATTTGTGATGTGCGCCCTCAACTAACAGTGTTGAAGCATTCTTTTGATAGAGCAGTTTTGAAACACTCTTTTTGTGGAATCTGCAAGTGGATATTTGTCTAGCTTTGAGGATTTCGTTGGAAACGGGATTACATATAAAAAGCAGACAGCAGCGTTCCCAGAAACTTCTTTGTGATGTTTGCATTCAAGTCACAGAGTTGAACATTCCCTTTCATAGAGCAAGTTTGAAACACTCTTTTTGTAGTATCTGGTTGTGGACATTTGCAGCGCTTTCAGGCCTAAGGTGAAAAAGGAAATATCTTCCCCTGAAAACTAGACAGAAGCATTCTCAGAAACTTATTTGTGATGTGCGCCCTCAACTAACAGTGTTGAAGCTTTCTTTTGATAGAGCAGTTTTGAAACACTCTTTTTGTAATATCTGCAAGAGGATATTTGGATAGCTTTGAGGATTTCGTTGGAAACGGGATTGTCTTCATATAAACTCTAGGCAGAAGCATTCTCAGAAGCTTCGTTGGGATGTTTCAATTGAAGTCACAGTGTTGAACAGTTCCTTTCATAGAACAGGTTTGAAACACTCTTTTTGTAGTATCTGGAAGTGGATATTTGGAGCGCTCTCAGGACTGCGGTGAAAAAGGATATATCTTCCAATAAAAGCTAGATAGAAGCAATGTCAGAAACTTTTTCATGATGTATCTACTCAGCTAACAGAGTTGAACCTTTCTTTTGAGAGAGCAGTTTTGAAACACTCTTTTTGTGGAATCTGCAAGTGGATATTTGTCTAGCATTGAGGATTTCGTTGGAAACGGGATTACATATAAAAAGCAGACAGCAGCATTCCCAGAAACTTCTTTGTGAAGTTAGCATTCAAGTCACAGAGTTGAACATTCCCTTTCATAGAGCAGGTTTGAAACACTCTTTTTGTAGTATCTGGATGTGGACATTTGGAGCGCTTTCAGGCCTATGGTGAAAAAGGAAATATCTTCCCCTGAAAACTAGACAGAAGCATTCTCAGAATCTTATTTGTGATGTGCGCCCTCAACTAACAGTGTTGAAGCTTTCTTTTGATAGAGCAGTTTTGAAACACTCTTTTTGTAAAATCTGCAAGAGGATATTTGGATAGCTTTGAGGATTTCTTTGGAAACTGGATTGTCTTCATATAAACTCTAGACAGAAGCATTCTCAGAAGCTTCATTGGGATGTTTCAATTGAAGTCACAGTGTTGAACAGTCCCTTTCATAGAGCAGGTTTGAAACACTCTTTTTTTAGTATCTGGATGTGGACATTTGGAGCGCTTTCAGGCCTATGGTGAAAAAGGAAATATCTTCCCCTGAAAACTAGACAGAAGCATTCTCAGAAACTTATTTGTGATGTGCGCCCTCAACTAACAGTGTTGAAGCATTCTTTTGATAGAGCAGTATTGAAACACTCTTTTTGTGGAATCTGCTAGTGGATATTTGTCTAGCTTTGAGGATTTCGTTGGAAACGGGATTACATATAAAAAGCAGACAGCAGCATTCTCAGTAAACTTATTTGTGATGTGCGCCCTCAACTAACAGTGTTGAACCTTTCTTTTGATAGAGCAGTTTTGAAACACTCTTTTTGTAATATCTGCAAGAGGATATTTGGATAGCTTTGAGGATTTCGTTGGAAACGGGATTGTCTTCATATAAACTCTAGACAGAAGCATTCTCAGAAGCTTCATTGGGATGTTTCAATTGAAGTCACAGTGTTGAACAGTCCCTTTCATAGAGCAGGTTTGAAACACTCTTTTTGTAGTATCTGGAAGTGGACATTTGGAGCGCTCTCAGGAATACGGTGAAAAAGGAAATATCTTCCAATAAAAGCTAGATAGAAGCAATGTCAGAAACTTTTTCATGATGTATCTACTCAGCTAACAGAGTTGAACCTTTCTTTTGAGAGAGCAGTTTTGAAACACTCTTTTTGTGGAATATGCAAGTGGATATTTGTCTAGCTTTGAGGATTTCGTTGGAAACGGGATTACATATAAAAAGCAGACCCCAGCATTCCCAGTAACTTCTTTGTGATGTTTGCATTCAAGTCACAGAGTTGAACATTCCCTTTCATAGAGCAGGTTTGAAACACTCTTTTTGTAGTATCTGGATGTGGACATTTGGAGCGCTTTCAGGCCTATGGTGAAAAAGGAAATATCTTCCCCTGAAAACTAGACAGAAGCATTCTCAGAAACTTATTTGTGATGTGCGCCCTCAACTAACAGTGTTGAACCTTTCTTTTGATAGAGCAGTTTTGAAACACTCTTTTTGTAATATCTGCAAGAGGATATTTGGATAGCTTTGAGGATTTCGTTGGAAACGGGATTACATATAAAAAGCAGACAGCAGCATTCCCAGAAACTTCTTTGTGATGTTTGCATTCAAGTCACAGAGTTGAACATTCCCTTTCATAGAGCAGGTTTGAAACACTCTTTTTGTAGTATCTGGATGTGGACATTTGGAGCGCTTTCAGGCCTATGGTGAAAAGGGAAATATCTTCCCCTGAAAACTAGACAGAAGCATTCTCAGAATCTTATTTGTGATGTGCGCCCTCAACTAACAGTGTTGAAGCTTTCTTTTGATAGAGCAGTTTTGAAACACTCTTTTTGTAAAATCTGCAAGAGGATATTTGGATAGCTTTGAGGATTTCGTTGGAAACGGGATTGTCTTCATATAAACTCCTAGACAGAAGCATTCTCAGAAGCTTCATTGGGATGTTTCAATTGAAGTCACAGTGTTGAACAGTCCCTTTCATAGAGCAGGTTTGAAACACTCTTTTTGTATTATCTGGAAGTGGACATTTGGAGCGCTGTCAGGACTGCGGTGAAAAAGGAATTATCTTCCAATAAAAGCTAGAGAGAAGCAATGTCAGAAACTTTTTCATGATGTATCTACTCAGCTAACAGAGTTGAACCTTTCCTTTGAGAGAGCAGTTTTGAAACACTCTTTTTGTGGAATCTGCAAGTGGAAATTTGTCTAGCTTTGAGGATTTCGTTGGAAACGGGATTACATATAAAAAGCAGACAGCAGCATTCCCAGAAACTTCTTTGTGATGTTTGCATTCAAGTCACAGAGTTGAACATTCCCTTTCATAGAGCAGGTTTGAAACACTCTTTTTGTAGTATCTGGATGTGGACATTTGGAGCTCTTTCAGGCCTATGGTGAAAAAGGAAATATCTTCCCCTGAAAACTAGACAGAAGCATTCTCAGAATCTTATTTGTGATGTGCGCCCTCAACTAACAGTGTTGAAGCTTTTTTTTGATAGAGTAGTTTTGAAACACTCTTTTTGTAAAATTTGTAAGAGGATATTAGGATAGCTTTGAGGATTTCGTTGGAAACGGGATTGTCTTCATATAAACTCTAGACAGAAGCATTCTCAGAAGCTTCATTGGGATGTTTCAATTGAAGTTGCAGTGTTGAACAGTCCCTTTCATAGAGCAGGTTTGAAACACTCTTTTTGTAGTATCTGGATGTGGACATTTGGAGCGCTTTCAGGGCTATGTTTTAAAAGGAAATATCTTCCCCTGAAAACTAGACAGAAGCATTCTCAGAAACTTATTTGTGATGTGCGCCCTCAGCTAAGAGTGTTGAAGCATTCTTTTGATAGAGCAGTTTTGAAACACTCTTTTTGTGGAATCTGCAAGTGGATATTTGTCTAGCTTTGAGGATTTCGTTGGAAACGGGATTACATATAAAAAGCAGACAGCAGCATTCCCAGAAACTTCTTTGTGATGTTTGCATTCACGTCACAGAGTTGAACATTCCCTTTCATAGAGCAGGTTTGAAACACTCTTTTTGTAGTATCTGGATGTGGACATTTGGAGCGCTTTCAGGCCTATGGTGAAAAAGGAAATATCTTCCCCTGAAAACTAGACAGAAGCATTCTCAGAAACTTATTTGTGATGTGCGCCCTCAACTAACAGTGTTGAAGCTTTCTTTTGATAGAGCAGTTTTGAAACACTCTTTTTGTAATATCTGCAAGAGGATATTTGGATAGCTTTGAGGATTTCGTTGGAAACGGGATTAATTATAAAAAGCAGACAGCAGCATTCCCAGAATCTTGTTTGTGATGTTTGCATTCAAGTGACAGAGTTGAACATTCCCTTTCAGAGAGCAGGTTGGAAACACTCTTTTTATAGTATCTGGATGTGGACATTTGGAGCGCTTTCAGGCCTATGGTGAAAAAGGAAATATCTTCTCCTGAAAACTAGACAGAAAGCATTCTCAGTAAACTTATTTGTGATGTGCGCCCTCAACTAACAGTGTTGAACCTTTCTTTTGATAGAGCAGTTTTGAAACACTCTTTTTGTAATATCTGCAAGAGGATATTTGGATAGCTTTGAGGATTTCGTTGGAAACGGGATTGTCTTCATATAAACTCTAGACAGAAGCATTCTCAGATGCTTCATTGGGATGTTTCAATTGAAGTCACAGTGTTGAACAGTCCCTTTCATAGAGCAGGTTTGAAACACTCTTTTTGTAGTATCTGGATGTGGACATTTGGAGCGCTTTCAGGCCTATGGTGAAAAAGGAAATATCTTCCCCTGAAAACTAGACAGAAGCATTCTCAGAAACTTATTTGTGATGTGCCCCCTCAACTAACAGTGTTGAAGCTTTCTTTTGATAGAGCAGTTTTGAAACACTCTTTTTGTGGAATCTGCAAGTGGATATTTGTCTAGCTTTGAGGATTTCGTTGGAAACGGGATTACATATAAAAAGCAGACAGCAGCATTCCCAGAATCTTCTTTGTGATGTTTGCATTCAAGTCACAGAGTTGAACATTCCCTTTCATAGAGCAGGTTTGAAACACTCTTTTTGTAGTATCTGGATGTGGACATTTGGAGCGCTTTCAGGCCTATGGTGAAAAAGGAAATATCTTCCCCTGAAAACTAGACAGAAGCATTCTCAGAATCTTATTTGTGATGTGCGCCCTCAACTAACAGAGTTGAAGCTTTCTTTTGATAGAGCAGTTTTGAAACACTCTTTTTGTAAAATCTGCAAGAGGATATTTGGATAGCTTTGAGGATTTCGTTGGAAACGGGATTGTCTTCATATAAACTCTAGACAGAAGCATTCTCAGAAGCTTCATTGGGATGTTTCAATTGAAGTCACAGTGTTGAACAGTCCCTTTCATAGAGCAGGTTTGAAACACTCTTTTTGTAGTATCTGGAAGTGGACATTTGGAGCGCTCTCAGGACTACGGTGAAAAAGGAAATATCTTCCAATAAAAGCTACATAGAAGCAAAGTCAGAAACTTTTTCATGATGTATCTACTCAGCTAACAGAGTTGAACCTTTCTTTTGAGAGAGCAGTTTTGAAACACTCTTTTTGTGGAATCTGCAAGTGGATATTTGTCTAGCTTTGAGGATTTCGTTGGAAATGGGATTACATATAAAAAGCAGACAGCAGCATTCCCAGAAACTTCTTTGTGATGTTTGCATTCAAGTCACAGAGTGGAACATTCCCTTTCATAGAGCAGGTTTGAAACACTCTTTTTGTAGTATCTGGATGTGGACATTTGGAGCGCTTTCAGGCCTAAGGTGAAAAAGGAAATATCTTCCCCTGAAAACTAGACAGAAGCATTCTCAGAAACTTATTTGTGATGTGCGCCCTCAACTAACAGTGTTGAAGCTTTCTTTTGATAGAGCAGTTTTGAAACACTCTTTTTGTAATATCTGCAAGAGGATATTTGGATAGCTTTGAGGATTTCGTTGGAAACGGGATTGTCTTCATATAAACTCTAGACAGAAGCATTCTCAGAAGCTTCATTGGGATGTTTCAATTGAAGTTACAGTGTTGAACAGTCCCTTTCATAGAGCAGGTTTGAAACACTCTTTTTGTAGTATCTGGATGTGGACATTTGGAGCGCTTTCAGGCCTATGGTTTAAAAGGAAATATCTTCCCCTGAAAACTAGACAGAAGCATTCTCAGAAACTTATTTGTGATGTGCGCCCTCAACTAACAGTGTTGAAGCATTCTTTTGATAGAGCAGTTTTGAAACACTCTTTTTGTGGAATCTGCAAGTGGATATTTGTCTAGCTTTGAGGATTTCGTTGGAAACGGGATTACATATAAAAAGCAGACAGCAGCATTCCCAGAAACTTCTTTGTGATGTTTGCATTCACGTCACAGAGTTGAACATTCCCTTTCATAGAGCAGGTTTGAAACACTCTTTTTGTAGTATCTGGATGTGGACATTTGGAGCGCTTTCAGGCCTATGGTGAAAAAGGAAATATCTTCCCCTGAAAACTAGACAGAAGCATTCTCAGAATCTTATTTGTGATGTGCGCCCTCAACTAACAGTATTGAAGCTTTCTTTTGATAGAGCAGTTTTGAAACACTCTTTTTGTAAAATCTGCAAGAGGATATTTGGATAGCTTTGAGGATTTCTTTGGAAACGGGATTGTCTTCATATAAATTCTAGACAGAAGCATTCTCAGAAGCTTCATTGGGATGTTTCAATTGAAGTCACAGTGTTGAACAGTCCCTTTCATAGAGCAGGTTTGAAACACTCTTTTTGTAGTATCTGGATGTGGACATTTGGAGCGCTTTCAGGCCTATGGTGAAAAAGGAAATATCTTCCCCTGAAAACTAGACAGAAGCATTCTCAGAAACTTATTTGTGATGTGCGCCCTCAACTAACAGTGTTGAAGCTTTCTTTTGATAGAGCAGATTTGAAACACTCTTTTTGTGGAATCTGCAAGTGGATGTTTGTCTAGCTTTGAGGATTTCGTTGGAAACGGGATTACATATAAAAAGCAGACAGCAGCATTCCCAGAATCTTGTTTGTGATGTTTGCATTCAAGTCACAGAGTTGAACATTCCCTTTCATAGAGCAGGTTTGAAACACTCTTTTTATAGTATCTGGATGTGAACATTTGGAGCGCTTTCAGGCCTATGGTGAAAAAGGAAATATCTTCTCCTGAAAACTAGACAGAAGCATTCTCAGAAACTTATTTGTGATGTGCGCCCTCAACTAACAGTGTTGAAGCTTTCTTTTGATAGAGCAGTTTTGAAACACTCTTTTTGTAATATCTGCAACAGGATATTTGGATAGCTTTGAGGATTTCGTTGGAAACGGGATTGTCTTCATATAAACTCTAGACAGAAGCATTCTCAGAAGCTTCATTGGGATGTTTCAATTGAAGTCACAGTGTTGAACAGTCCCTTTCATAGAGCAGGTTTGAAACACTCCTTTTGTAGTATCTGGATGTGGACATTTGGAGCGCTTTCAGGCCTATGGTGAAAAAGGAAATATCTTCCCCTGAAAACTAGACAGAAGCATTCTCAGAATCTTATTTGTGATGTGCGCCCTCAACTAACAGTGTTGAAGCTTTCTTTTGATAGAGCAGTTTTGAAACACTCTTTTTGTAATATCTGCAAGAGGATATTTGGATAGCTTTGAGGATTTCGTTGGAAACGGGATTAATTATAAAAAGCAGACAGCAGCATTCTCAGTAAACTTATTTGTGATGTGCGCCCTCAACTAACAGTGTTGAACCTTTCTTTTGATAGAGCAGTTTTGAAACACTCTTTTTGTAATATCTGCAAGAGGATATTTGGATAGCTTTGAGGATTTCGTTGGAAACGGGATTGTCTTCATATAAACTCTAGACAGAAGCATTCTGATAAGCTTCTTTGGGATGTTTCAATTGAAGTCACAGTGTTGAACAGTCCCTTTCATAGAGCATGTTTGAAACACTCTTTTTGTAGTATCTGGAAGTGGACATTTGGAGCGTTCTCAGGACTACGGTGAAAAAGGAAATATCTTCCAAATAAAGCTAGATAGAAGCAATGTCAGAGAATTTTTCATGATGTATCTACTCAGCTAACAGAGTTCAACCTTTCTTTTGAGAGAGCCGTTTTGAAACACTCCTTTTGTGGAATCTGCAAGTGGATATTTGTCTAGATTTGAGGATTTCGTTGGAAACGGGATTACATATAAAAAGCAGACAGCAGCATTCCCAGTAACTTCTTTGTGATGTTTGCATTCAAGTCACAGAGTTGAACATTCCCTTTCATAGAGCAGGTTTGAAACACTCTTTTTGTAGTATCTGGATGTGGACATTTGGAGCGCTTTCAGGCCTATGGTGAAAAAGGAAATATCTTCCCCTGAAAACTAGACAGAAGCATTCTCAGAATCTTATTTGTGATGTCCGCCCTCAACTAACAGTGTTGAAGCTTTCTTTTGATAGAGCAGTTTTGAAACACTCTTTTTGTAAAATCTGCAACAGGATATTTGGATAGCTTTGAGGATTTCGTTGGAAACGGGATTGTCTTCATATAAACTCTAGACAGAAGCATTCTCAGAAGCTTCATTGGGATGTTTCAATTGAAGTCACAGTGTTGAACAGTCCCTTTCATAGAGCAGGTTTGAAACACTCTTTTTGTAGTATCTGGATGTGGACATTTGGAGCGCTTTCAGGCCTATGGTTTAAAAGGAAATATCTTCCCCTGAAAACTAGACAGAAGCATTCTCAGAAACTTATTTGTGATGTGCGCCCTCAACTAACAGTGTTGAAGCATTCTTTTGATAGAGCAGTTTTGAAACACTCTTTTTGTGGAATCTGCAAGTGGATGTTTGTCTAGCTTTGAGGATTTCGTTGGAAACGGGATTACATATAAAAAGCAGACAGCAGCATTCTCAGAAACTTATTTGTGATGTGCGCCCTCAACTAACAGTGTTGAAGCTTTCTTTTGATAGAGCAGTTTTGAAACACTCTTTTTGTAATATCTGCAAGAGGATATTTGGATAGCTTTGAGGATTTCGTTGGAAACGGGATTAATTATACAAAGCAGACAGCAGCATTCTCAGAAGCTTCATTGGGATGTTTCAATTGAAGTCACAGTGTTGAACAGTCCCTTTCATAGAGCAGGTTTGAAACACTCTTTTTGTAGTATCTGGAAGTGGACATTTGGAGAGATCTCAGCAATACGGTGATAAAGGTAATATCTTCCAATAAAAGCTAGATAGAAGCAATGTCAGAAACTTTTTCATCATGTATCTACTCAGCTAAAAGAATTGAACCTTTCTTTTGAGAGAGCAGTTTTGAAACACTCTTTTTGTAAAATCTGGAAGAGGATATTTGGATAGCTTTGAGGATTTCGTTGGAAACGGGATTGTCTTCATATAGAATCTAGACAGAAGCATTCCCAGTAACTTCTTTGTGATGTTTGCATTCAAGTCACAGAGTTGAACATTCCCTTTCATAGAGCAGGTTTGAAACACTCTTTTTGTAGTATCTGGATGTGGACATTTGGAGCGCTTTCAGGCCTATGGTGAAAAAGGAAATATGTTCCCCTGAAAACTAGACAGAAGCATTCTCAGAATCTTATTTGTGATGTGCGCCCTCAACTAACAGTGTTGAAGCTTTCTTTTGATAGAGCAGTTTTGAAACACTCTTTTTGTAAAATCTGCAAGAGGATATTTGGATAGCTTTGAGGATTTCGTTGGAAACGGGATTGTCTTCATATAAACTCTAGACAGAAGCATTCTCAGAAGCTTCATTGGGATGTTTCAATTGAAGTCACAGTGTTGAACAGTCCCTTTCATAGAGCAGGTTTGAAACACTCTTTTTGTAGTATCTGGAAGTGGACATTTTGAGCGCACTCAGGACTATGGCGAAAAAGCAAATATCTTCCAATAAAAGCTACATAGAAGCAATGTCAGAAACACTGTCATGATGTATCTACTCAGCTAACAGAGTTGTAACTTTCTTTTGAGAGAGCAGTTTTGAAACACTCTTTTTGTGGAATCTGCAAGTGGATATTTGTCTAGCTTTGAGGATTTCGTTGGAAACGGGATTACATATAAAAAGCAGACTGCAGCATTCCCAGAAACTTCTTTGTGATGTTTGCATTCAAGTCACAGAGTTGAACATTCCCTTTCATAGAGCAGGTTTGAAACACTCTTTTTGTAGTATCTGGATTTGGACATTTGGAGCGCTTTTAGGCCTATGGTGAAAAAGGAAATATCTTCCCCTGAAAACTAGACAGAAGCATTCTCAGAAACTTATTTGTGATGTGCGCAATCAACTAACAGTGTTGAAGCTTTCTTTTGATAGAGCAGTTTTGAAACACTCTTTTTGTGGAATCTGGAAGTGGATATTTGTCTAGCTTTGAGGATTTCGTTGGAAACGGGATTACATATAAAAAGCAGACAGCAGCATTCCCAGTAACTTCTTTGTGATGTTTGCATTCAAGTCACAGAGTTGAACATTCCCTTTCATAGAGCAGGTTTGAAACACTCTTTTTGTAGTATCTGGATGTGGACATTTGGAGCGCTTTCAGGCCTATGGTGAAAAAGGAAATATCTTCCCCTGAAAACTAGACAGAAGCATTCTCAGAATCTTATTTGTGATGTGCGCCCTCAACTAACAGTGTTGAAGCTTTCTTTTGATAGAGCAGTTTTGAAACACTCTTTTTGTAAAATCTGCAAGAGGATATTTGGATAGCTTTGAGGATTTCGTTGGAAACCGGATTGTCTTCATATAAACTCTAGACAGAAGCATTCTCAGAAGCTTCATTGGGATGTTTCAATTGAAGTCACAGTGTTGAACAGTCCCTTTCATAGAGCAGGTTTGAAACACTCTTTTTGTAGTATCTGGATGTGGACATTTGGAGCGCTTTCGGGCCTATGGTGAAAAAGGAAATATCTTCCCCTGAAAACTAGACAGAAGCATTCTCAGAAACTTATTTGTGATGTGCGCCCTCAACTAACAGTGTTGAAGCATTCTTTTGATAGAGCAGTTTTGAAACACTCTTTTTGTGGAATCTGCAAGTGGATATTTGTCTAGCTTTGAGGATTTCGTTGGAAACGGGATTAATTATAAAAAGCAGACAGCAGCATTCCCAGAATCTTGTTTGTGATGTTTGCATTCAAGTCACAGAGTTGAACATTCCCTTTCATAGAGCAGGTTTGAAACACTCTTTTTGTAGTATCTGGATGTGGACATTTGGAGCGCTTTCAGGCCTATGGTGAAAAAGGAAATATCTTCCCCTGAAAACTAGACAGAAGCATTCTCAGAATCTTATTTGTGATATGCGCTCTCAACTAACAGTGTTGAAGCTTTCTTTTGATAGAACAGTTTTGAAACACTCTTTTTGTAAAATCTGCAAGAGGATATTTGGATAGCTTTGAGGATTTCGTTGGAAACGGGATTGTCTTCATATAAACTCTAGACAGAAGCATTCTCAGAAGCTTCATTGGGATTTTTCAATTGAAGTCTCAGTGTTGAACAGTCCCTTTCATAGAGCAGGTTTGAAACACTCTTTTTGTAGTATCTGGAAGTGGACATTTGGAGAGATCTCAGGAATACGGTGATAAAGGAAATATCTTCCAATAAAAGCTAGATAGAAGCAATGTCAGAAACTTTTTCATGATGTATCTACTCACCTAACAGAGTTGAACCTTTCTTTTGAGAGAGCAGTTTTGAAACACTCTTTTTGTGGAATCTGCAAGTGTATATTTGTCTAGCTTTGAGGATTTCGTTGGAAACGGGATTACATATAAAAAGCAGACAGCAGCATTCCCAGTAACTTCTTTGTGATGTTTGCATTCAAGTCACAGAGTTGAACATGCCCTTTCATAGAGCAGGTTTGAAACACTCTTTTTGTAGTATCTGGATGTGGACATTTGGAGCGCTTTCAGGCCTATGGTGAAAAAGGAAATATCTTCCCCTGAAAACTAGACAGAAGTAGTCTCAGAAACTTATTTGTGATGTGCGCCCTCAACTAACAGTGTTGAAGCTTTCTTTTGATAGAGCAGTTTTGAAACATTCTTTTTGTAAAATCTGCAAGAGGATATTTGGATAGCTTTGAGGATTTCGTTGGAAACGGGATTGTCTTCATATTAACCCTAGACAGTAGCATTTTCAGAAGCTTCATTGGGATGTTTCAATTGAAGTCACAGTGTTGAACAGTCCCTTTCATAGAGCAGGTTTGAAACACTCTTTTTGCAGCATCTGGAAGTGGACATTTGGAGCGTTCTCAGGACTACGGTGAAAAAGGAAATATCTTCCAATAAAAGCTAGATAGAAGCAATGTCAGAAAATTTTTCATGATGTATCTACTCAGCTAACAGAGTTGAACCTTTCTTTGGAGAGAGTAGTTTTGAAACACTCTTTTTGTGGAATCTGCAAGTGGATATTTGTGTAGTTTTGAGGATTGCGTTGGAAACGGTATTACATATAAAAAGCAGACAGCAGCGTTGTGAGAAACTTCTTTGTGATGTTTGCATTCAAGTCACAGAGTTGAACGTTCCGTATCATAGAGCAGGTTGGAAACATGCCTTTTGTCATATCTGGAAGTGTCCATTTGAAGCGCATTCAACCTTGTGTTGAAAAAGGAAATACCTTCCAATAGAAACCAGACAGAAGCATTCTCAGAAACTTATTTGTGATGTGCTCCCTCAACTAACAGTGTTGAACCTTTCTTTTGATAGAGCAGTTTTGAAACACTCTTTTTGTAATATCTGCAAGAGGATATTTGGATAGCTTTAAGGATTTCGTTGGAAACGGGATTGTCTTCATATAAACTCTAGACAGAAGCATTCTCAGAAGCTTCATTGGGATGTTTCAATTGAAGTCACAGTGTTGAACAGTTCCTTTCATAGAACAGGTATGAAACACTCTTTTTGTAGTATCTGGAAGTGGACATTTGGAGCGCTCTCAGGACTACGGTGAAAAAGGAAATATCTTCCAATAAAAGCTACATAGAAGCAATGTTAGAAACTTTTTCATGATGTATCTACTCAGCTAACAGGGTTGAACCTTTCCTTTGAGAGAGCAGTTTTGAAACACTCTTTTTGTGGAATCTGCAAGTGGATATTTGTCTAGCTTTGAGGATTTCGTTGGAAACGGGATTACATATAAAAAGCAGACAGCAGCATTCCCAGTAACTTCTTTGTGATGTTTGCATTCAAGTCACAGAGTTGAACATTCCCTTTCATAGAGCAGGTTTGAAACACTCTTTTTGAAGTATCTGGATGTGGACATTTGGAGCGCTTTCAGGCCTATGGTGAAAAACGAAATATCTTCCCCTGAAAACTAGACAGAAGCATTCTCAGAAACTTATTTGTGATGTGCGCCCTCAACTAACAGTGTTGAACCTTTCTTTTGATAGAGCAGTTTTGAAACACTCTTTTTGTAATATCTGCAAGAGGATATTTGGATAGCTTTGAGGATTTCGTTGGAAACGGGATTGTCTTCATATAAACTCTAGACAGAAGCATTCTCAGAAGCTTCATTTGGATGTTTCAATTGAAGTCACAGTGTTAAACAGTCCCTTTCATAGAGCAGGTTTGAAACACTCTTTTTGTAGTATCTGGAAGTGGACATTTGGAGAGATCTCAGGAATACGGTGATAAAGGAAATATCTTCCAATAAAAGCTAGATAGAAGCAATGTCAGAAACTTTTTCATGATGTATCTACTCAGCTAACAGAGTTGAACCTTTCTTTTGAGAGAGCAGTTTTGAAACACTCTTTTTGTGGAATGTGCAAGTGGATATTTGTCTAGCTTTGAGGATTTCGTTGGAAACGGGATTACATATAAAAAGCAGACAGCAGCATTCCCGGAAACTTCTTTGTGATGTTTGCATTCAAGTCACACAGTTGAACATTCCCTTTCATAGAGCAGGTTTGAAACACTCTTTTTGTAGTATCTGTATGTGGACATTTGGAGCGCTTTCAGGCCTATGGTGAAAAAGGAAATATCTTCCCCTGAAAACTAGACAAAAGCATTCTCAGAAACTTATTTGTGATGTGCGCCCTCAACTAACAGTGTTGAACCTTTCTTTTGATAGAGCAGTTTTGAAACACTCTTTTTGTAATATCTGCAAGAGGATATTTGGATAGCTTTGAGGATTTCGTTGGAAACGGGATTGTCTTCATATAAACTCTAGACAGAAGCATTCTCAGAAGCTTCATTGGGATGTTTCAATTGAAGTCACAGTGTTGAACATTCCCTTTCATAGAGCAGGTTTGAAACACTCTTTTTGTAGTATCTGGAAGTGGACATTTGGAGCGCTCTCAGGACTACGGTGATAAAGGAAATATCTTCCAATAAAAGCTAGATAGAAGCAATGTCAGAAACTTTTTCATGATCTATCCACTCAGCTAACAGGGTTGAACCTTTCTTTTGAGAGAGCAGTTTTGAACCACTCTTTTGGTGGAATCTGCAAGTGGATATTTGTCTAGCTTTGAGGATTTCGTTGGAAACGGGATTACATATAAAAAGCAGACAGCAGCATTCCCAGAAACTTCTTTGTGATGTTTGCATTCAAGTCACACAGTTGAACATTCCCTTTCATAGAGCAGGTTTGAAACACTCTTTTTGTAGTATCTGGATGTGGACATTTGGAGCGCTTTCAGGCCTATGGTGAAAAAGGAAATATCTTCCCCTGAAAACTAGACAGAAGCATTCTCAGAAACTTATTTGTGATGTGCGCCCTCAACTAACAGTGTTGAAGCTTTCTTTTGATAGAGCAGTTTTGAAACACTCTTTTTGTAATATCTGCAAGAGGATATTTGGATAGCTTTGAGGATTTCGTTGGAAACGGGATTGTCTTCATATAAACTCTAGACAGAAGCATTCTCAGTAGCTTCATTGGGATGTTTCAATTGAAGTCACAGTGTTGAACAGTCCCTTTCATAGAGCAGGTTTGAAACACTCTTTTTGTAGTATCTGGAAGTGGACATTTGGAGCGCTCTCAGGACTCCGGTGATAAAGGAAATATCTTCCAATAAAAGCTAGATAGAAGCAATCTCAGAAACTTTTTCATGATGTATCTACTCAGCTAACAGAGTTGAACCTTTCTTTTGGGAGAGCAGTTTTGAAACACTCTTTTTGTGGAATCTGCAAGTGGATATTTGTCTAGCTTTGAGGATTTCGTTGGAAACGGCATTACATATAAAAAGCAGACAGCAGCATTCACAGAAACTTCTTTGTGATGTTTGCATTCAAGTCACAGAGTTGAACATTCCCTTTCATAGAGCAGGTTTGAAACACTCTTTTTGTAGTATCTGGATGTGGACATTTGGAGCGCTTTCAGGCCTATGGTGAAAAAGGAAATATCTTCCCCTGAAAACTAGACAGAAGCATTCTCAGAATTTTATTTGTGATGTGCGCCCTCAACTAACAGTGTTGAAGCTTTCTATTGATAGAGCAGTTTTGAAACACTCTTTTTGTAAAATCTGCTAGAGGATATTTGGATACCTTTGAGGATTTCTTTGGAAACGGGATTGTCTTCATATAAACTCTAGACAGAAGCATTCTCAGAAGCTTCATTGGGATGTTTCAGTTGAAGTCACAGTGTTGAACAGTCCCTTTCATAGAGCAGGTTTGAAACAGTCTTTTTGTAGTATCTGGAAGTGGACATTTGGAGCGCTCTCAGGACTGCGGTGAAAAAGGAAATATCTTCCAATAAAAGTTAGATAGAAGCAATGTCAGAAACTTTTTCATGATGTATCTACTCAGCTAACAGAGTTGAACCTTCCTTTGAGAGAGCAGTTTTGAAACACTCTTTTTGTGGAATCTGCAAGTGGATATTTGTCTAGCTTTGAGGATTTCGTTGGAAACGGGATTACATGTAAAAAGCAGACAGCAGCATTCCCAGAAACTTCTTTGTGATGTTTGCATTCAAGTCACACAGTTGAACATTCCCTTTCATAGAGCAGGTTTGAAACACTCTTTTTGTAGTATCTGGATGTGGACATTTGGAGCGCTTTCAGGCCTATGGTGAAAAAGGAAATATCTTCCCCTGAAAACTAGACAGAAGCATTCTCAGAAACTTATTTGTGATGTGCGCCCTCAACTAACACTGTTGAACCTTTCTTTTGATAGAGCAGTTTTGAAACACTCTTTTTGTAATATCTGCAAGAGGATATTTGGATAGCTTTGAGGATTTCGTTGGAAACGGGATTGTCTTCATATAAACTCTAGACAGAAGCATTCTCAGAAGCTTCATTGGGATGTTTCAATTGAAGTCACAGTGTTGAACAGTCCCTTTCATAGAGCAGGTTTGAAACACTCTTTTTGTAGTATCTGGAAGTGGACATTTGGAGCGCTCTCAGGACTATGGTGAAAAAGGAAATATCTTCCTATAAAAGCTACATAGAAGCAATGTCAGAAACTTTTTCATGACGTATCTACTCAGCTAACAGAGTTGAACCTTTCTTTTGAGAGAGCAGTTTTGAAACACTCTTTTTGTGGAATCTGCAAGTGGATATTTGTCTAGCTTTGAGGATTTCGTTTGAAACGGGATTACATATAAAAAGCAGACAGCAGCATTCCCAGAAACTTCTTTGTGAAGTTTGCATTGAAGTCACAGAGTTGAACATTCCCTTTCATAGAGCAGGTTTGAAACACTCTTTTTGTAGTATCTGTATGTGGACATTTTGAGCGCTTTCAGGCCTATGGTGAAAAAGGAAATATCTTCCCCTGAAAACTAGACAGAAGCATTCTCAGAAACTTATTTGTGATGTGCGCCCTCAACTAACAGTGTTGAAGCTTTCTTTTGATAGAGCAGTTTTGAAACACTCTTTTTGTAATATCTGCAAGAGGATATTTGGATAGCTTTGAGGATTTCGTTGGAAACGGGATTGTCTTCATATAAACTCTAGACAGAAGCATTCTCAGAAGCTTCATTGGGATGTTTCAATTGAAGTCACAGTGTTGAACAGTCCCTTTCATAGAGCAGGTTTGAAACACTCTTTTTGTAGTATCTGGAAGTGGACATTTGGAACGCTCTCAGGACTGCGGTGAAAAAGGAAATATCTTCCAATAAAAGCTAGATAGAAGCAATGTCAGAAACTTTTTCATGATGTATCTACTCAGCTAACAGAGTTGAACCTTTCTTTTGAGAGAGCAGTTTTGAAACACTCGTTTTGTGGAATCTGCAAGTGGATATTTGTCTACCTTTGAGGATTTCGTTGGAAACGGGATTACATATAAAAAGCAGACAGCAGCATTCCCAGAAACTTCTTTGTGATGTTTGCATTCAAGTCACAGAGTTGAACATTCCCTTTCATAGAGCAGGTTTGAAACACTCTTTTTGTAGTATCTGGATGTGGACATTTGCAGCGCTTTCAGGCCTAAGGTGAAAAAGGAAATATCTTCCCCTGAAAACTAGACAGAAGCATTCTCAGAAACTTATTTGTGATGTGCGCCCTCAACTAACAGTGTTGAAGCTTTCTTTTGATAGAGCAGTTTTGAAACACTCTTTTTGTGGAATCTGCAAGTGGATATTTGTCTAGCTTTGAGGATTTCGTTGGAAACGGGATTACATATAAAAAGCAGACAGCAGCATTCCCAGAAACTTCTTTGTGATATTTGCATTCAAGTCACAGAGTTGAACATTCCCTTTCATAGAGCATGTTTGAAACACTCTTTTTGTAGTATCTGGATGTGGACATTTGGAGCGCTTTCAGGCCTATGGTGAAAACGGAAATATCTTCCCCTGAAAACTAGACAGAAGCATTCTCAGAATCTTATTTGTGATGTGCGCCCTCAACTAACAGTGTTGAAGCTTTCTTTTGATAGAGCAGTTTTGAAACACTCTTTTTGTAAAATCTGCAAGAGGATATTTGGATAGCTTTGAGGATTTCGTTGGAAACGGGATTGTCTTCATATAAACTCTAGACAGAAGCATTCTCAGAAGCTTCATTGGGATGTTTCAGTTGAAGTCACAGTGTTGAACAGTCCCTTTCATAGAGCAGGTTTGAAACACTCTTTTTGTAGTATCTGGAAGTGGACATTTGGAGCGCTCTCAGGACTGCGGTGAAAAAGGAAATATCTTCCAAAGAAAGCTAGATAGAAGCAATGTCAGAAACTTTTTCATGATGTATCTACTCAGCTAACAGAGTTGAACCTTCCTTTGAGAGAGCAGTTTTGAAACACTCTTTTTGTGGAATCTGCAAGTGGATATTTGTCTAGCTTTGAGGATTTCGTTGGAAACGGGATTACATATAAAAAGCAGACAGCAGCATTCCCAGAAACTTCTTTGTGATGTTTGCATTCAAGTCACAGAGTTGAACATTCCCTTTCATAGAGCAGGTTTGAAACACTCTTTTTGTAGTATCTGGATGTGGACATTTGCAGCGCTTTCAGGCCTAAGGTGAAAAAGGAAATATCTTCCCCTGAAAACTAGACAAAAGCATTCTCAGAAACTTATTTGTGATGTGCGCCCTCAACTAACAGTGTTGAAGCTTTCTTTTGATAGAGCAGTTTTGAAACACTCTTTTTGTGGAATCTGCAAGTGGATATTTGTCTAGCTTTGAGGATTTCGTTGGAAACGGGATTACATATAAAAAGCAGACAGCAGCATTCTCAGAAGCTTCATTGGGATGTTTCAATAGAAGTCACAGTGTTGAACAGTTCCTTTCATAGAGCAGGTTTGAAACACTCTTTTTGTAGTATCTGGAAGTGGACATTTGGAGCGCCCTCAGGACTACGGTGAAAAAGGAAATATCTTCCAATAAAAGCTACATAGAAGCAATGTGAGAAACTTTTTCATGATGTATCTACTCAGTTAAAAGAGTTGAACCTTTCTTTTGAGAGAGCAGTTTTGAAACACTCTTTTTGTGGAATCTGCAAGTGGATATTTGTCTAGATTTGAGGATTTCTTTGGAAACGGGATTACATATAAAAAGCAGACAGCAGCATTCCCAGACACTTCTTTGTGATGTTTGCATTCAAGTCACAGAGTTGAACATTCCCTTTCATAGAGCAGGTTTGAAACACTCTTTTTGTAGAATCTGGATGTGGACATTTACAGCGCTTTCAGGCCTAAGGAGAAAAAGGAAATATCTTCCCCTGAAAACTAGACAGAAGCATTCTCAGAATCTTATTTGTGATGTGCGCCCTCAACTAACAGTGTTGAAGCTTTCTTTTGATAGAGCAGTTTTGAAACACTCTTTTTGTAAAATCTGCAAGAGGATATTTGGATAGCTTCGAGGATATCGTTGGAAACGGGATTGTCTTCATATAAAATCTAGACAGAAGCGTTCTCAGAAGCTTCATTGGGATGTTTCAATTGAAGTCACAGTGTTGAACAGTCCCTTTCATAGAGCAGGTTTGAAACACTCTTTTTGTAATATCTGGAAGTGGACATTTGGAGCGCTCTCAGGAATACGGTGAAAAAGGAAATATCTTCCAATAAAAGCTAGATAGAAGCAATGTCAGAAACTTTTTCATGATGTATCTACTCAGCTAACAGAGTTGAAGCTTTCTTTTGAGAGAGGAGTTTTGAAACACTCTTTTTGTGGAATCTGCAAGTGGATATTTGTCTAGCTTTGAGGATTTCGTTGGAAACGGGATTATATATAAAAAGCAGACAGCAGCATTCCCAGAAATTTCTTTGTGATGTTTGCATTCAGGTCACAGAGTTGAACATTCCCTTTCTTAGAGCAGGTTTGAAACACTCTTTTTGTAGTATCTGGATGTGGACATTTGGAGCGCTTTCAGGCCTATGGTGAAAAAGGGAATATGTTCCCCTGAAAACTAGAGAGAAGCATTCTCAGAATCTTATTTGTGATGTGCGCCCTCAACTAACAGTGTTGAAGCTCTCTTTTGATAGAGCAGTTTTGAAACACACTTTTTGTAAAATCTGCAAGAGGATATTTGATTAGCTTTGAGGATTACGTTGGAAACGGGATTGTCTTCATATAAACTCTAGACAGAAGCATTCTCAGAAGCTTCATTGGGATGTTTCAATTGAAGTCACAGTGTTGAACAGTCCCTTTCATAGAGCAGGTTTGAAACACTCTTTTTGTAGTATCTGGATGTGGACATTTGGAGCGCTTTCAGGCCTATGGTTTAAAAGGAAATATCTTCCCCTGAAAACTAGACAGAAGCATTCTCAGAAACTTATTTGTGATGTGCGCCCTCAACTAACAGTGTTGAAGCATTCTTTTGATAGAGCAGTTTTGAAACACTCTTTTTGTGGAATCTGCAAGTGGATATTTGTCTAGCTTTGAGGATTTCGTTGGAAACGGGATTACATATAAAAAGCAGACAGCAGCATTCCCAGAAACTTCTTTGTGATGTTTGCATTCAAGTCACAGAGTTGAACATTCCCCTTTCATAGAGCAGGTTTGAAACACTCTTTTTGTAGTATCTGGATGTGGACATTTGGAGCGCTTTCAGGCCTATGGTGAAAAAGGAAATATCTTCCCCTGTAAACTAGACAGAAGAATTCTCAGAATCTTATTTGTGATGTGCGCCCTCAACTAACAGTGTTGAAGCTTTCTTTTGATAGAGCAGTTTTGAAACACTCTTTTCGTAAAATCTGCAAGAGGATATTTGGATAGCTTTGAGGATTTCGTTGGAAACGGGATTGTCTTCATATAAACTCTAGACAGAAGCATTCTCAGAAGCTTCATTGGGATGTTTCAATTGAAGTCACAGTGTTGAACAGTCCCTTTCATAGAGCAGGTTTGAAACACTCTTTTTGTAGTATCTGGATGTGGACATTTGGAGCGCTTTCAGGCCTATGGTTTAAAAGGAAATATCTTCCCCTGAAAACTAGACAGAAGCATTCTCAGAAACTTATTTGTGATGTGCGCCCTCAACTAACAGAGTTGAAGCATTCTTTTGATAGAGCAGTTTTGAAACACTCTTTTTGTGGAATCTGCAAGTAGATATTGTCTAGCTTTGAGGATTTCGTTGGAAACGGGATTACATATAAAAAGCAGACAGCAGCATTCCCAGAAACTTCTTTGTGATGTTTGCATTCAAGTCACAGAGTTGAACATTCCCTTTCATAGAGCAGGTTTGAAACACTCTTTTTATAGTATCTGGATGTGGACATTTGGAGCGCTTTCAGGCCTATGGTGAAAAAGGAAATATCTTCCCCTGAAAACTAGACAGAAGCATTCTCAGAATCTTATTTGTGATGTGCGCCCTCAACTAACAGTGTTGAAGCTTTCTTTTGATAGAGCAGTTTTGAAACACTCTTTTTGTAAAATCTGCAAGAGGATATTTGGATAGCTTTGAGGATTTCTTTGGAAACGGGATTGTCCTCATATAAACTCTAGACAGAAGCATTCTCAGAAGCTTCATTGGGATGTTTCAATTGAAGTCACAGTGTTGAACAGTCCCTTTCATAGAGCAGGTTTGAAACACTCTTTTTGTAGTATCTGGATGTGGACATTTCGAGCGCTTTCAGGCCTATGGTGAAAAAGGAAATATCTTCCCCTGAAAACTAGACAGAAGCATTCTCAGAAACTTATTTGTGATGTGCGCCCTCAACTAACAGTGTTGAAGCTTTCTCTTGATAGAGCAGTTTTGAAACACTCTTTTTGTGGAATCTGCACGTGGATATTTGTCTAGCTTTGAGGATTTCGTTGGAAACGGGATTACATATAAAAAGCAGACAGCAGCATTCCCAGAATCTTCTTTGTGATGTTTGCATTCAAGTCACAGAGTTGAACATTCCCTTTCATAGAGCAGGTTTGAAACACTCTTTTTATAGTATCTGGATGTGGACATTTGGAGCGCTTTCAGGCCTATGGTGAAAAAGGAAATATATTCTCCTGAAAACTAGACAGAAGCATTCTCAGAATCTTATTTGTGATGTGCGCCCTCAACTAACAGTGTTGAAGCTTTCTTTTGATAGAGCAGTTTTGAAACACTCTTTTTGTAAAATCTGCAAGAGGATATTTGGATAGCTTTGAGGATTTCGTTGGAAACGGGATTGTCTTCATATAAACTCTAGACAGAAGCATTCTCAGAAGCTTCATTGGGATGTTTCAATTGAAGTCACAGTGTTGAACAGTCCCTTTCATAGAGCAGGTTTGAAACACTCTTTTTGTAGTATCTGGAAGTGGACATTTGGAGCGCTCTCAGGACTACGGTGAAAAAGGAAATATCTTCCAATAAAAGCTAGATAGAAGCAATGTCAGAAACTTTTTCATGATGTATCTACTCAGCTAACAGAGTTGAACCTTTTTTTTGAGAGAGCAGTTTTGAAACACTCTTTTTGTTGGATCTGCAGGTGGATATTTGTCTAGCTTTGAGGATTTCGTTGGAAACGGGATTACATATAAAAAGCAGACAGCAGCATTCCCAGAAAGTTCTTGGTGAAATTTGCATTCAAGTCACAGACTTGAACATTCCCTTTCATAGAGCAGGTTTGAAACACTCTTTTTGTAGTATCTGGATGTGGACATTTGGAGCGCTTCCAGGCCTATGGTGAAAAAGGAAATATCTTCCCCTGAAAACTAGACAGAAGCATTCTCAGAATCTTATTTGTGATGTGCGCCCTCAACTAACAGTGTTGAAGCTTTCTTTTGATAGAGCAGTTTTCAAACACTCTTTTTGTAAAATCTGCAAGAGGATATTTGGATAGCTTTGAGGATTTCGTTGGAAACGGGATTGTCTTCATATAAACTCTAGACAGAAGCATTCTCAGAAGCTTCATTGGGATGTTTCAATTGAAGTCACAGTGTTGAACAGTCCCTTTCATAGAGCAGGTTTGAAGCACTCTTTTTGTAGTATCTGGAAGTGGACATTTGGAGCGCTCTCAGGACTACGGTGATAAAGGAAATATCTTCCAATAAAAGCTAGATAGAAGCAATGTCAGAAACTTTTTCATGATGTATCTACTCAGCTAACAGAGTTGAACCTTTCTTTTGAGAGAGCAGTTTTGAAACACTCTTTTTGTGTAATCTGAAAGTGGATATTTGTCTAGCTTTGAGGATTTCGTTGGAAACGGGATTACATATAAAAAGGAGACAGCAGCATTCCCAGTAACTTCTTTGTGAAGTTTGCATTCAAGTCACAGAGTTGAACATTCCCTTTCATAGAGCAGGTTTGAAACACTCTTTTTGTAGTATCTGGATGTGGACATTTGGAGCGCTTTCAGGCCTATGGTGAAAAAGGAAATATCTTCCCCTGAAAACTAGACAGAAGCATTCTCAGAAACTTATTTGTGATGTGCGCCCTCAACTAACAGTGTTGAAGCATTCTTTTGATAGAGCAGTTTTGAAACACTCTTTTTGTGGAATCTGCAAGTGGATATTTATCTAGCTTTGAGGATTTCGTTGGAAACGGGATTACATATAAAAAGCAGACAGCAGCATTCCCAGTAACTTCTTTGTGATGTTTGCATTCAAGTCAGAGAGTTGAACATTCCCTTTCATAGAGCAGGTTTGAAACACTCTTTTTGAAGTATCTGGTTGTGGACATTTGGAGCGCTTTCTGGCCTAAGGTGAAAAAGGAAATATCTTCTCCTGAAAACTAGACAGAAGCATTCTCAGAATCTTATTTGTGATGTGCGCCCTCAACTAACAGTGTTGAAGCTTTCTTTTGATAGAGCAGTTTTGAAACACTCTTTTCGTAAAATCTGCAAGAGGATATTTGGATAGCTTTGAGGATTTCGTTGGAAACGGGATTGTCTTCATATAAACTCTAGACAGAAGCATTCTCAGAAGCTTCATTGGGATGTTTCAATTGAAGTCACAGTGTTGAACAGTCCCTTTCATAGAGCAGGTTTGAAACACTCTTTTTGTAGTATCTGGAAGTGGACATTTGGAGAGATCTCAGGAATAAGGTGACAAAGGAAATATCTTCCAATAAAAGCTAGATAGAAGCAATGTCAGAAAGTTTTTCATGATGTATCTACTCAGCTAACACAGTTGAACCTTTCTTTTGAGAGAGCAGTTTTGAAACACTCTTTTTGTGGAATCTGCAAGTGGATATTTGTCTAGCTTTGAGGATTGCGTTGGAAACGGGATTACATATAAAAAGCAGACAGCAGCATTCCCAGTAACTTCTTTGTGATGTTTGCATTCAAGTCACAGAGTTGAACATTCCCTTTCATAGAGCAGGTTTGAAACACTCTTTTTGTAGTATCTGGATGTGGACATTTGGAGCGCTTTCAGGCCTATGGTGAAAAAGGAAATATCTTCCCCAGAAAACTAGACAGAAGCATTCTCAGAAACTTATTTGTGATGTGCGCCCTCAACTAACAATGTTGAACCTTTCTTTTGATAGAGCAGTTTTGAAACACCCTTTTTGTAAAATCTGCAAGAGGATATTTGGATAGCTTTGAGGATTTCGTTGGAAACGGGATTGTCTTCATATAGAATCTAGACAGAAGCATTCTCAGAAGCTTCATTGGGATGTTTCAATTGAAGTTACAGTGTTGAACAGTCCCTTTCATAGAGCAGGTTTCAAACACTCTTTTTGTAGTATCTGGATGTGGACATTTGGAGCGCTTTCAGGCCTATGGTTTAAAAGGAAATATCTTCCCCTGAAAACTAGACAGAAGCATTCTCAGAAACTTATTTGTGATGTGCGCCCTCAACTAACAGTGTTGAACCTTTCTTTTGATAGAGCAGTTTTGAAACACTCTTTTTGTGGAATCTGTAAGTGGATATTTGACTAGCTTTGAGGATTTCGTTGGAAACGGGATTACATATAAAAAGCAGACAGCAGTATGCTCAGAAACTTATTTGTGATGTGTGCCCTCAACTAACAGTGTTGAAGCTTTCTTTTGATAGAGCAGTTTTGAAACATTCTTTTTGTAAAATCTGCAAGAGGATATTTGGATAGCTTTGAGGATTTCGTTGGAAACGGGATTGTCTTCATATTAACCCTAGACAGTAGCATTCTCAGAAGCTTCATTGGGATGTTTCAATTGAAGTCACAGTGTTGAACAGTCCCTTTCATAGAGCAGGTTTGAAACACTCTTTTTGTAGTATCTGGAAGTGGACATTTGGAGCGCTCTCAGGACTACGGTGAAAAAGGAAATATCTTCCAATAAAAGCTACATAGAAGCAATGTCAGAAACTTTTTCATGATGTATCTACTCAGCTAACAGAGTTGAACCTTTCTTTTGAGAGAGCAGTTTTGAAACACTCTTTTTGTGGAATCTGGAAGTGGATATTTGTCTAGCATTGAGGATTTCGTTGGAAACGGGATTACATATAAAAAGCAGACAGCAGCATTCCCAGTAACATCTTTGTGATGTTTGCATTCAAGTCACAGTGTTGAACATTCCCTTTCATAGAGCAGGTTTGAAACACTCTTTTTGTAGTATCTGGATGTGGACATTTGGAGCACTTTCAGGCCTATGGTGAAAAAGGAAATATCTTCCCCTGAAAACTAGACAGAAGCAGTCTCAGAATCTTATTTGTGATGTGCGCCCTCAACTAACAGTGTTGAACCTTTCTTTTGATAGAGCAGTTTTGAAACACTCTTTTCGTAAAATCTGCAAGAGGATATTTGGATAGCTTTGAAGATTTCGTTGGAAACGGGATTGTCTTCATATAAACTCTAGACAGAAGCATTCTCAGAAGCTTCATTGGGATGTTTCAATTGAAGTCACAGTGTTGAACAGTCCCTTTCATAGAGGAGGTTTGAAACACTCTTTTGGTAGTATCTGGAAGTGGACATTTGGAGTGATCTCAGGAATACGGTGATAAAGGAAATATCTTCCAATAAAAGCTAGATAGAAGCAATGTCAGAAACTTTTTCATGATGTATCTACTCAGCTAACAGAGTTGAACCTTTCTTTTGAGAGAGCAGTTTTGAAACACTCTTTTTGTGGAATCTGCAAGAGGATATTTGTCTAGCTTTGAGGATTTCGTTGGAAACGGGATTACATATAAAAAGCAGACAGCAGCATTCCCAGTAACTTATTTGTGATGTTTGCATTCAAGTCACAGTAGTTGAACATTCCCTTTCATAGAGCAGGTTTGAAACACTCTTTTTGTAGTATCTGGATGCGGACATTTGGAGCGCTTTCAGGCCTATGGTGAAAAAGGAAATATCTTCCCCTGAAAACTAGACAGAAGCATTCTCAGAATCTTATTTGTGATGTGCGCCCTCAACTAACAGTGTTGAAGCTTTCTTTTGATAGAGCAGTTTTGAAACACTCTTTTTGTAAAATCTGCAAGAGGATATTTGGATAGCTTTGAGGATTTCGTTGGAAACGGGATTGTCTTCATATAAACTCTAGACAGAAGCATTCTCAGAAGCTTCATTGGGATGTTTCAATTGAAGTCACAGTGTTGAACAGTCCCTTTCATAGAGCAGGTTTGAAACACTCTTTTTGTAGTATCTGGAAGTGGACATTTGGAGCGCTCTCAGGACTGCGGTGAAAAAGGAACTATCTTCCAATAAAAGCTAGATAGAAGCAATGTCAGAAACTTTTTCATGATGTATCTACTCAGCTAACAGAGTTGAACCTTCCTTTGAGAGAGCAGTTTGAAACACTCTTTTTGTGGAATCTGCAAGTGGATATTTGTCTAGCTTTGAGGATTTCGTTGGAAACGGGATTACATATAAAAAGCAGACAGCAGCATTCCCAGAAACTTCTTTGTGATGTTTGCATTCAAGTCACAGAGTTGAACATTCCCTTTCATAGAGCAGGTTTGAAACACTCTTTTTGTAGTATCTGGATGTGGACATTTGCAGCGCTTTCAGGCCTAAGGTGAAAAAGGAAATATCTTCCCCTGAAAACTAGACAGAAACATTCTCAGAAACTTATTTGTGATGTGCGCCCTCAACTAACAGTGTTGAAGCTTTCTTTTGATAGAGCAGTTTTGAAACACTCTTTTTGTAATATCTGCAAGAGGATATTTGCATAGCTTTGAGGATTTCGTTGGAAACGGGATTGTCTTCATATAAACTCTAGACAGAAGCATTCTCAGAAGCTTCATTGGGATGTTTCAATTGAAGTCACAGTGTTGAACAGTTCCTTTCATAGAACAGGTTTGAAACACTCTTTTTGTAGTATCTGGAAGTGGACATTTGGAGCGCTCTCAGGACTACGGTGAAAAAGGAAATATCTTCCAATAAAAGCTACATAGAAGCAATGTCAGAAACTTTTTCATGATGTATCTACTCAGCTAACAGAGTTGAACCTTTCCTTTGAGAGAGCAGTTTTGAAACACTCTTTTTGTGGAATCTGCAAGTGGATATTTGTCTAGCTTTGAGGATTTCGTTGGAAACGGGATTACATATAAAAAGCAGACAGCAGCATTCCCAGAAACTTCTTTGAGATGTTTGCATTCAAGTCACAGAGTTGAACATTCCCTTTCATAGAGCAGGTTTGAAACACTCTTTTTGTAGTATCTGGATGTGGACATTTGGAGCGCTTTCAGGCCTATGGTGAAAAAGGAAATATCTTCCCCAGAAAACTAGACTGAAGCATTCTCAGAATCTTATTTGTGATGTGCGCCCTCAACTAACAGTGTTGAAGCTTTCTTTTGATAGAGCAGTTTTGAAACACTCTTTTTGTAAAATCTGCAAGAGGATATTTGGATAGCTTTGAGGATTTCGTTGGAAACGGGATTGTCTTCATATAAACTCTAGACAGAAGCATTCTCAGAAGCTTCATTGGGATGTTTCAATTGAAGTCACAGTGTTGAACAGTCCCTTTCATAAAGCAGGTTTCAAACACTCTTTTTGTAGTATCTGGATGTGGACATTTGGAGCGCTTTCAGGCCTCTGGTTTAAAAGGAAATATCTTCCCCTGAAAACTAGACAGAAGCATTCTCAGAAACTTATTTGTGATGTGCGCCCTCAACTAACAGTGTTGAAGCTTTCTTTTGATAGAGCAGTTTTGAAACACTCTTTTTGTGGAATCTGCAAGTGGATATTTGTCTAGCTTTGAGGATTTCGTTGGAAACGGGATTACATATAAAAAGCAGACAGCAGCATTCCCAGAAACTTCTTTGTGATATTTGCATTCAAGTCACAGACTTGAACATTCCCTTTCATACAGCAGGTTTGAAACACTCTTTTTGTAGTATCTGGATGTGGACATTTGGAGCGCTTTCAGGCCTATGGTGAAAAAGGAAATATCTTCCCCTGCAAACTAGACAGAAGCATTCTCAGAAACTTATTTTGATGTGCGCCCTCAAGTAACAGTGTTGAACATTTCTTTTGATAGAGCAGTTTTGAAACACTCTTTTTGTAGAATCTGCAAGTGGATATTTGGATAGCCTAGAGGATTTCGTTGGAAACGGGAATATGTCCATACAAAACCTAGACAGAAGCATTCTCAGAAAAATCTCTGTGAGGATTGCATTCAAGTCCCAGTGTTGAACATTCCCTTTCATAAAGCAGGTGTGAACACAAGATTTTGTAGTATATGGAACTGGACATTTGGAGTGCTTTGTGACCTATTGTGAAAAAGGAAATATCTTCCCATATAAACTAGGAAGAAGCATTCTCAGAAACCAGTTTGTGATGTGCGTACTCAACTAACAGGGTTGAACCTTTCTTTTGAGAGAGCATGCTTGAAAAACTCTTTTTGTAGACTCTGCAAGGGGATATTTGGACAGCTTTGAGGATTTCGTTGGAAACGGGATATCTTCATATAAAATCTCGACAGAAGCATTCTCAGATGCTTCATTGGGATGTTTCAATTGAAGTCACAGTGTTGAACAGTCCCTTTCATAGAGCAGGTTTGAAACACTCTTTTTGTAGTATCTGGATGTGGACATTTGGAGCGCTTTCAGGCCTATGGTGAAAAAGGAAATATCTTCCCCTGAAAACTAGACAGAAGCATTCTCAGAAACTTATTTGTGATGTGCCCCCTCAACTAACAGTGTTGAAGCTTTCTTTTGATAGAGCAGTTTTGAAACACTCTTTTTGTGGAATCTGCAAGTGGATATTTGTCTAGCTTTGAGGATTTCGTTGGAAACGGGATTACATATAAAAAGCAGACAGCAGCATTCCCAGAATCTTCTTTGTGATGTTTGCATTCAAGTCACAGAGTTGAACATTCCCTTTCATACAGCAGGTTTGAAACACTCTTTTTGTAGTATCTCGATGTGGACATTTGGAGCGCTTTCAGGCCTATGGTGAAAAAGGAATTATCTTCTCCTGAAAACCAGACAGAAGCATTCTCAGAAGCTTCATTGGGATGTTTCAATTGAAGTCACAGTGTTGAACAGTCCCTTTCATAGAGCAGGTTTGAAACACTCTTTTTGTAGTATCTGGAAGTGGACATTTGGAGCGCTCTCAGGACTACGGTGAAAAAGGATATATCTTCCAATAAAAGCTACATAGAAGCAATGTCAGAAACTTTTTCATGATGTATCTACTCAGCTAACAGAGTTGAACCTTTCTTTTGAGAGAGCAGTTTTGAAACACTCTTTTTGTGGAATCTGCAAGTGGATATTTGTCTAGCTTTGAGGATTTCGTTGGAAACAGGATTACATATAAAAAGCAGACAGCAGCATTCCCAGAATCTTCGTTGTGATGTTTGCATTCAAGTCACAGAGTTGAACATTCCCTTTCATAGAGCAGGTTTGAAACACTCTTTTTGTAGTATCTGGATGTGGACATTTGGAGCGCTTTCAGGCCTATGGTGAAAAAGGAAATATCTTCCCCTGAAAACTAGACAGAAGCATTCTCAGAATCTTATTTGTGATGTGCGCCCTCAACTAACAGTGTTGAAGCTTTCTTTTGATAGAGCAGTTTTGAAACACTCTTTTTGTAAAATCTGCAAGAGGATATTTGGATAGCTTTGAGGATTTCGTTGGAAACGGGATTGTCTTCATATAAACTCTAGACAGAAGCATTCTCAGAAGCTTCATTGGGATGTTTCAATTGAAGTCACAGTGTTGAACAGTCCCTTTCATAGAGCAGGTTTGAAACACTCTTTTTGTAGTATCTGGAAGTTGACATTTGGAGAGATCTCAGGAATACGGTGATAAAGGAAATATCTTCCAATAAAAGCTAGATAGAAGCAATGTCAGAAACTTTTTCATGATGTATCTACTCAGCTACCAGAGTTGAACCTTTCTTTTGAGAGAGCAGTTTTGAAACACTCTTTTTGTGGGATCTGCAAGTGGATATTTGTCTAGCTTTGAGGATTTCGTTGGAAACGGGATTACATATAAAAAGCAGACAGCAGCATTCCCAGAAACTTCTTTGTGATGTTTGCATTCCAGTCACAGAGTTGAACATTCCCTTTCATAGAGCAGGTTTGAAACACTCTTTTTGTAGTATCTGTATGTGGACATTTGGAGCGCTTTCAGGCCTATGGTGAAAAAGGAAATATCTTCCCCTGAAAACTAGACAGAAGCATTCTCAGAAACTTATTTGTGATGTGCGCCCTCAACTAACAGTGTTGAAGCTTTCTTTTGATAGAGCAGTTTTGAAACACTCTTTTTGTAAAATCTGCAAGAGGATATTTGGATAGCTTTGAGGATTTCGTTGGAAACGGGATTGTCTTCATATAAACTCTAGACAGAAGCATTCTCAGAAGCTTCATTGGGATGTTTCAGTTGAAGTCACAGTGTTGAACAGTCCCTTTCATAGAGCAGGTTTGAAACACTCTTTTTGTAGGATCTGGAAGTGGACATTTGGAGAGATCTAAGGAATACGGTGATAAAGGAAATATCTTCCAATAAAAGCTAGATAGAAGCAATGTCAGAAACTTTTTCATGATGTATCCACTCAGCTAACAGAGTTGAACCTTTCTTTTGAGAGAGCAGTTTTGAAACACTCTTTTTGTGGAATCTGCAAGTGGATATTTGTCTAGCTTTGAGGATTTCGTTGGAAACGGGATTACATATAAAAAGCAGACAGCAGCATTCCCAGTAAACTTCTTTGTGATGTTTGCATTCAAGTCACAGAGTTGAACATTCCCTTTCATAGAGCAGGTTTGAAACACTCTTTTTGTAGTATCCGGATGTGGACATTTGGAGCGCTTTCAGGCCTATGGTGAAAAAGGAAATATCTTCCCCTGAAAACTAGACAGAAGCATTCTCAGAATCTTATTTGTGATGTGCGCCCTCAACTAACAGTGTTGAAGCTTTCTTTTGATAGAGCAGTTTTGAAACACTCTTTTTGTAAAATCTGCAAGAGGATATTTGGATAGCTTTGAGGATTTCGTTGGAAACGGGATTGTCTTCATATAAACTCTAGACAGAAGCATTCTCAGAAGCTTCATTGGGATGTTGCAATTGAAGTCACAGTGTTGAACAGTTCCTTTCATAGAACAGGTTTGAAACACTCTTTTTGTAGTATCTGGAAGTGGACATTTGGGGCGCTCTCAGGACTATGGTGAAAAAGGAAATATCTTCCAATAAAAGCTACATAGAAGCAATGTCAGAAACTTTTTCATGATGTATCTACTCAGCTAACAGAGTTGAACCTTTCCTTTGAGAGAGCAGTTTTGAAACACTCTTTTTGTGGAATCTGCAAGTGGATATTTGTCTAGCTTTGAGGATTTCGTTGGAAACGGGATTACATATAAAAAGCAGACAGCAGCATTCCCAGAATCTTCTTTGTGATGTTTTCATTCAAGTCACAGAGTTGAACATTCCCTTTCATAGAGCAGGTTTGAAACACTCTTTTTGTAGTATCTGGATGTGGACATTTGGAGCGCTTTCAGGCCTATGGTGAAAAAGGAAATATCTTCCCCTGAAAACTAGACAGAAGCATTCTCAGAATCTTATTTGTGATGTGCGCCCTCAACTAACAGTGTTGAAGCTTTCTTTTGATAGAGCAGTTTTGAAACACTCTTTTTGTAAAATCTGCAAGAGGATATTTGGATAGCTTTGAGGATTTCGTTGGAAACGGGATTGTCTTCATATAAACTCTAGACAGAAGCATTCTCAGAAGCTTCATTGGGATGTTTCAATTGAAGTCACAGTGTTGAACAGTCCCTTTCATAGAGCAGGTTTGAAACACTCTTTTTGTAGTATCTGGAAGTGGACATTTGGAGCGCTCTCAGGACTGCGGTGAAAAAGGAAATATCTTCCAATAAAAGCTAGATAGAAGCAATGTCAGAAAATTTTCATGATGTATCTACTCAGCTAACAGAGTTGAACCTTCCTTTGAGAGAGCAGTTTTGAAACACTCTTTTTGTGGAATCTGCAAGTGGATATTTGTCTAGCTTTGAGGATTTCGTTGGAAACGGGATTACATATAAAAAGCAGACAGCAGCATTCCCAGAAACTTCTTTGTGAAGTTTGCATTCAAGTCACAGAGTTGAACATTCCCTTTCAGAGAGCAGGTTTGAAACACTGTTTTTATAGTATCTGGATGTGGACATTTGGAGCGCTTTCAGGCCTATGGTGAAAAAGGAAATATCTTCCCCTGAAAACTAGACAGAAGCATTCTCAGAATCTTATTTGTGATGTGCGCCCTCAACTAACAGTGTTGAAGCTTTCTTTTGATAGAGCAGTTTTGAAACACTCTTTTTGTAAAATCTGCAAGAGGATATTTGGATAGCTTTGAGGATTTCGTTGGAAACGGGATTGTCTTCATATAAACTCTAGACAGAAGCATTCTCAGAAGCTTCATTGGGATGTTTCAATTGAAGTCACAGTGTTGAACAGTCCCTTTCATAGAGCAGGTTTGAAACACTCTTTTTGTAGTATCTGGAAGTGGACATTTGGAGCGCTCTCAGGACTACGGTGAAAAAGGAAATATCTTCCAATAAAAGCTAGATAGAAAGCAATGTCAGAAACTTTTTCATGATGTATCTACTCAGCTAACAGAGTTGAACATTTTTTTTGAGAGAGCAGTTTTGAAACACTCTTTTTGTGGAATCTGCAGGTGGATATTTGTCTAGCTTTCAGGATTTCGTTGGAAACGGGATTACATATAAAAAGCAGACAGCAGCATTCCCAGTAAACTTCTTTGTGATGTTTGCATTCAAGTCACAGAGTTGAACATTCCCTTTCATGGAGCAGGTTTGAAACACTCTTTTTGTAGTATCTGGAAGTGGACATTTGGAGCGCTCTCAGGACTACGGTGAAAAAGGAAATATCTTCCAATAAAAGCTAGATAGAAGCATTCTCAGAAACTTATTTGTGATGTGCGCCCTCAACTAACAGTGTTAAACCTTTCTTTTGATAGAGTAGTTTTGAAACACTCTTTGTAAAATCTGCAAGAGGATATTTTTATAGCTTTGAGGAATTCTTTGGAAACGGGATTGTCTTCATATAAAATCTAGACAAAAGCATTCTCAGAAGCTTCATTGGGATGTTTCAATTGAAGTCACAGTGTTGAACAGTCCCTTTCATAGAGCAGGTTTGAAACACTCTTTTTGTAGTATCTGGAAGTGGACATTTGGAGCGCTCTCAGGACTACGGTGAAAAAGGAAATATCTTCCAATAAAAGCTACATAGAAGCAATGTCAGAAACTTTTTCATGATGTATCTACTCAGCTAACAGAGTTGAACCTTTCTTTTGAGAGAGCAGTTTTGAAACACTCTTTTTGTGGAATCTGCAAGTGGATATTTGTCTAGCTTTGAGGATTTCGTTGGAAACAGGATTACATATAAAAATCAGACAGCAGCATTCCCCAGTAACTTCTTTGTGATGTTTGCATTCAAGTCACAGAGTTGAACATGCCCTTTCATAGAGCAGGTTTGAAACACTCTTTTTGTAGTATCTGGATGTGGACATTTGGAGCGCTTTCAGGCCTATGGTGAAAAAGGAAATATCTTCCCCTGAAAACTAGACAGAAGCATTCTCAGAATCTTATTTGTGATGTGCGCCCTCAACTAACAGTGTTGAAGCTTTCTTTTGATAGAGCAGTTTTGAAACACTCTTTTTGTAAAATCTGCAAGAGGATATTTGGATAGCTTTGAGGATTTCATTGGAAACGGGATTGTCTTCATATAAACTCTAGACAGAAGCATTCTCAGAAGCTTCATTGGGATGTTTCAATTGAAGTCACAGTGTTGAACAGTCCCTTTCATAGAGCAGGTTTGAAACACTCTTTTTGTAGTATCTGGAAGTGGACATTTGGAGAGTTCTCAGGAATATGGTCAAAAAGGAAATATCTTCCAATAAAAGCTAGATAGAAGCAATGTCAGAAAATTGTTCATGATGTATCTACCCAGCTAACAGAGTTGAACCTTTCTTTTGCGAGAGCAGTTTTGAAACACTCTTTTTGTGGAATCTGCAAGTGGATATTTGTCTAGCTTTGAGGATTTCGTTGGAAACGGGATTACATATAAAAAGCAGACAGCAGCATTCCCAGAAACTTCTTTGTGATGTTTGCATTCAAGTCACAGAGTTGAACATTCCCTTTCATAGAGCAGGTTTGAAACACTCTTTTTGTAGTATCTGGATGTGGACATTTGGAGTGCTTTCAAGCCTATGGTGAAAAAGGAAATATCTTCCCCTGAAAACTAGACAGAAGCATTCTCAGAAACTTATTTGTGATGTGCGCCCTCAACTAACAGTGTTGAAGCTTTCTTTTGATAGAGCAGTTTTGAAACACTCTTTTTGTAATATCTGCAAGAGGATATTTGGATAGCTTTGAGGATTTCGTTGGAAACGGGATTGTCTTCATATAAACTCTAGACAGAAGCATTCTCAGAAGCTTCATTGGGATGTTTCAATTGAAGTCACAGTGTTGAACAGTTCCTTTCATAGAACAGGTTTGAAACACTCTTTTTGTAGTATCTGGAAGTGGACATTTGGAGCGCTCTCAGGACTACGGTGAAAATGGAAATATCTTCCAATAAAAGCTACATAGAAGCAATGTCAGAAACTTTTTCATGATGTATCTACTCAGCTAACAGAGTTGAACCTTTCCTTTGAGAGAGCAGTTTTGAAACACTCTTTTTGTGGAATCTGCAAGTGGATATTTGTCTAGCTTTGAGGATTTCGTTGGAAACGGGATTACATATAAAAAGCAGACAGCAGCATTCCCAGAAACTTCTTTGTGATGTTTGCATTCAAGTCACAGAGTTGAACATTCCCTTTCATAGAGCAGGTTTGAAACACTCTTTTTGTAGTATCTGGATGTGGACATTTGCAGCGCTTTCAGGCCTAAGGTGAAAAAGGAAATATCTTCCCCTGAAAACTAGACAGAAGCATTCTCAGAAACTTATTTGTGATGTGCGCCCTCAACTAACAGTGTTGAAGCTTTCTTTTGATAGAGCAGTTTTGAAACACTCTTTTTGTGGAATCTGCAAGTGGATATTTGTCTAGCTTTGAGAATTTCGTTGGAAACGGGATTACATATAAAAAGCAGACAGCAGCATTCCCAGAATCTTGTTTGTGATGTTTGCATTCAAGTCACAGAGTTGAACATTCCCTTTCAGAGAGCAGGTTTGAAACACTCTTTTTATAGTATCTGGATGTGGACATTTGGAGCGCTTTCAGGCCTATGGTGAAAAAGGAAATATCTTCTCCTGAAAACTAGACAGAAGCATTCTCAGAATCTTATTTGTGATGTGCGCCCTCAACTAACAGTGTTGAAGCTTTCTTTTGATAGAGCAGTTTTGAGACACACTTTTCGTAAAATCTGCAAGAGGATATTTTGATAGCTTTGAGGATTTCGTTGGAAACGTGATTGTCTTCATATAAACTCTAGACAGAAGCATTCTCAGAAGCTTCATTGGGAAGTTTCAATTGAAGTCACAGTGTTGAACAGTTCCTTTCATAGAACAGGTTTCAAACACTCTTTTTGTAGTATCTGGAAGTGGATATTTGGAGCGCTCTCAGGACTACGGTGAAAAAGGAAATATCTTCCAATAAAAGCTACATAGAAGCAATGTCAGAAACTTTTTCATGATGTATCTACTCAGCTAACAGAGTTGAACCTTTCTTTTGAGAGAGCAGTTTTGAAACACTCTTTTTGTGGAATCTGCAAGTGGATATTGGTCTACCTTTGAGGATTTCGTTGGAAACGGGATTATATATAGAAAGCAGACAGCAGCATTCCCAGTAACTTCTTTGTGATGTTTGCATTCAAGTCACAGAGTTGAACATTCCCTTTCATAGAGCAGGTTTGAAACACTTTTTTTGTAGTATCTGGATGTGGACATTTGGAGCGCTTTCAGGCCTATGGTGAAAAAGGAAATATCTTCCAATAAAAGCTACATAGAAGCAATGTCAGAAACTTTTTCATGATGTATCTACTCAGCTAACAGAGTTGAACCTTTCTTTTGAGAGAGCAGTTTTGAAACACTCTTTTTGTGGAATCTGGAAGTGGATATTTTTCTAGCTTTGAGGATTTCGTTGGAAACGGGATTACATATAAAAAGCAGACAGCAGCATTCCCAGAAACTTCTTTGTGATGTTTGCATTCAAGTCACAGAGTTGAACATTCCCTTTCATAGAGCAGGTTTGAAACACTCTTTTTGTAGTATCTGGATGTGGACATTTGGAGTGCTTTCAAGCCTATGGTGAAAAAGGAAATATCTTCCCCTGAAAACTAGACAGAGGCATTCTAAGAAACTTATTTGTGATGTGCGCCCTCAACTAACAGTGTTGAACCTTTCTTTTGATAGAGCAGTTTTGAAACACTCTTTTTGTAATATCTCCAAGAGGATATTTGGATAGCTTTGAGGATTTCGTTGGAAACGGGATTGTCTTCATATAAACTCTAGACAGAAGCATTCCCAGAAGCTTCATTGGGATGTTTCAATTGAAGTCACAGTGTTGAACAGTCCCTTTCATAGAGCATGTTTGAAACAATCTTTTTGTAGTATCTGGAAGTGGACATTTGGAGCGTACTCAGGACTACGGTGAAAAAGGAAATATCTTCCAAATAAAGCTAGATAGAAGCAATGTCAGAAAATTTTTCATGATGTGCCTACTCAGCTAACAGAGTTGAACCGTTCTTGTGAGAGAGCCGTTTTGAAACACTCTTTTTGTGGAATCTGCAAGTGGATATTTGTCTAGCTTTGAGGATTGCGTTTGAAACGGGATTACATATAAAAAGCAGACAGCAGCATTCCCAGAAACTTCTTTGTGATATTTGCATTCAAGTCACAGACTTGAACATTCCCTTCCATAGAGCAGGTTTGAAACACTCTTTTTGTAGTATCTGGATGTGGACATTTGGAGCGCTTTCAGGCCTATGATGAAAAAGGTAATATCTTCCCCTGAAAACTAGACAGAAGCATTCTCAGAAACTTATTTGTGATGTGCGCCCTCAACTAACAGTGTTGAAGCTTTCTTTTGATAGAGCAGTTTTGAAACACTCTTTTTGTAATATCTGCAAGAGGATATTTGGATAGCTTTGAGGATTTCGTTGGAAACGGGATTGTCTTCATATAAACTCTAGACAGAAGCATTCTCAGAAGCTTCATTGGGATGTTTCAATTGAAGTCACAGTGTTGAACAGTCCCTTTCATAGAGCAGGTTTGAAACACTCTTTTTGTAGTATCTGGAAGTGGACATTTGGAACGCTCTCAGGACTGCGGTGAAAAAGGAAATATCTTCCAATAAAAGCTAGATAGAAGCAATGTCAGAAACTTTTTCATGATGTATCTACTCAGCTAACAGAGTTGAACCTTTCTTTTGAGAGCTCAGTTTTGAAACACTCTTTTTGTGGAATCTGCAAGTGGATATTTGTCTAGCTTTGAGGATTTCGTTGGAAACGGGATTACATATAAAAAGCAGACAGCAGCATTCCCAGAAACTACTTTGTGAAATTTGCATTCAAGTCACAGACTTGAACATTCCCTTTCATAGAGCAGGTTTGAAACACTCTTTTTGTAGTATCTGGATGTGGACGTTTGGAGCGCTTTCAGGCCTACGGTGAAAAAGGAAATATCTTCCCCTGAAAACTATACAGAAGCATTCTCAGAAACTTATTTGTGATGTGCGCCCTCAACTAACAGTGTTGAAGCTTTCTTTTGATAGAGCAGTTTTGAAACACTCTTTTTGTAATATCTGCAAGAGGATATTTGGATAGCTTTGAGGATTTCGTTGGAAACGGGATTGTCTTCATATAAACTCTAGGCAGAAGCATTCTCAGAAGCTTCATTGGGATGTTTCAATTGAAGTCACAGTGTTGAACAGTCCCTTTCATAGAGCAGGTTTGAAACACTCTTTTTGCAGCATCTGGAAGTGGACATTTGGAGCGTTCTCAGGACTACGGTGAAAAAGGAAATATCTTCCAATAAAAGCTAGATAGAAGCAATGTCAGAAACTTTTTCATGATGTATCTACTCAGCTAACAGAGTTGAACCTTCCTTTGAGAGAGCAGTTTTGAAACACTCTTTTTGTGGAATCTGCAAGTGGATATTTGTCTAGCTTTGAGGATTTCGTTGGAAACGGGATTACATATAAAAAGCAGACAGCAGCATTCCCAGAAACTTCTTTGTGATGTTTGCATTCAAGTCACAGAGTTGAACACTCCCTTTCATAGAGCAGGTTTGAAACACTCTTTTTGTAGTATCTGGATGTGGACATTTGCAGCGCTTTCAGGCCTAAGGTGAAAAAGGAAATATCTTCCCCTGAAAACTAGACAGAAGCATTCTCAGAAACTAATTTGTGATGTGCGCCCTCAACTAACAGTGTTGAAGCTTTCTTTTGATAGAGCAGTTTTGAAACACTCTTTTTGTAATATCTGCAAGAGGATATTTGGATAGCTTTGAGGATTTCGTTGGAAACGGGATTGTCTTCATATAAACTCTAGACAGAAGCATTCTCAGAAGCTTCATTGGGATGTTTCAATTGAAGTCACAGTGTTGAACAGTCCCTTTCATAGAGCATGTTTGAAACACTCTTTTTGTAGTATCTGGAAGTGGACATTTGGAGCATTCTCAGGACTACGGTGAAAAAGGAAATATCTTCCAAATAAAGCTAGATAGAAGCAATGTCAGAAACTTTTTCATGATGTATCTACTCAGCTAACAGAGTTGAACCTTTCTTTTGAGAGAGCAGTTTTGAAACACTCTTTTTGTTGAATCTGCAAGTGGATATTTGTCTATCTTTGAGGATTTCGTTGGAATCGGGATTACATATAAAAAGCAGACAGCCAGCATTCCCAGTAACTTCTTTGTGATGTTTGCATTCAAGTCACAGAGTTGAACATTCCCTTTCATAGAGCAGGTTTGAAACACTCTTTTTGAAGTATCTGGTTGTGGACATTTGGAGCGCTTTCAGGCCTATGGTGAAAAAGGAAATATCTTCCCCTGAAAACTAGACAGAGCATTCTCAGAAATCTTATTTGTGATGTGCGCCCTCAACTAACAGTGTTGAACCTTTCTTTTGATAGAGCAGTTTTGAAACACTCTTTTCGTAAAATCTGCAAGAGGATATTTTGATAGATTTGAGGATTTCGTTGGAAACGGGATTGTCTTCATATAAACTCTAGACAGAAGCATTCTCAGAAGCTTCATTGGGATGTTTCAATTGAAGTCACAGTGTTGAACAGTCCCTTTCATAGAGCAGGTTTGAAACACTCTTTTTGTAGTATCTGGAAGTGGACATTTTGAGAGATCTCAGGAATACGGTGATAAAGGAAATATCTTCCAATAAAAGCTAGATAGAAGCAATGTCAGAAACTTTTTCATGATGTATCTACTCAGCTAACAGAGTTGAACCTTTCTTTTGAGAGAGCAGTTTTGAAACACTCTTTTTGTGGAATCTGCAAGTGGATATTTGTCTAGCATTGAGGATTTCGTTGGAAACGGGATTACATATAAAAAGCAGACAGCAGCATTCCCAGAAACTTCTTTGTGAAGTTAGCATTCAAGTCACAGAGTTGAACATTCCCTTTCATAGAGCAGGTTTGAAACACTCTTTTTGTAGTATCTGGATGTGGACATTTGGAGCGCTTTCAGGCCTATGGTGAAAAAGGAAATATCTTCCCCTGAAAACTAGACAGAAGCATTCTCAGAATCTTATTTGTGATGTGCGCCCTCAACTAACAGTGTTGAAGCTTTCTTTTGATAGAGCAGTTTTGAAACACTCTTTTTGTAAAATCTGCAAGAGGATATTTGGATAGCTTTGAGGATTTCGTTGGAAACGGGATTGTCTTCATATAAACTCTAGACAGAAGCATTCTCAGAAGCTTCATTGGGATGTTTCAATTGAAGTCACAGTGTTGAACAGTCCCTTTCATAGAGCAGGTTTGAAACACTCTTTGTAGTATCTGGAAGTGGACCTTTGGAGCGCTCTCAGGACTACGGTGGAAAAGGAAGTATCTTCCAATAAAAGCTAGATAGAAGCAATGTCAGGAAACATTTTCATGATGTATCTACTCAGCTAACAGAGTTGAACCTTTCTTTTGAGAGAGCAGTTTTGAAACACTCTTTTTGTGGAATCTGCAAGTGGATATTTGTCTAGCTTTGAGGATTTCGTTGGAAACGGGATTACATATAAAAAGCAGACAGCAGCATTCCCAGTAACTTCTTTGTGATGTTTGCATTCAAGTCACAGAGTTGAACATTCCCTTTCATAGAGCAGGTTTGAAACACTCTTTTTGTAGTATCTGGATGTGGACATTTGGAGCGCTTTCAGACCTATGGTGAAAAAGGAAATATCTTCCCCTGAAAACTAGACAGAAGCATTCTCAGAAACTTATTTGTGATGTGCGCCCTCAACTAACAGTGTTGAACCTTTCTTTTGATAGAGCAGTTTTGAAACACTCTTTTTGTAATATCTGCAAGAGGATATTTGGATAGCTTTGAGGATTTCGTTGGAAACGGGATTGTCTTCATATAAACTCTAGACAGAAGCATTCTCAGAAGCTTCATTGGGATGTTTCAATTGAAGTCACAGTGTTGAACAGTCCCTTTCATAGAGCAGGTTTCAAACACTCTTTTTGTAGTATCTGGAAGTGGACATTTGGAGCGCTCTCAGGACTGCGGTGAAAAAGGAAATATCTTCCAATAAAAGCTAGATAGAAGCAATGTCAGAAACTTTTTCATGATGTATCTACTCAGCTAACAGAGTTGAACCTTCCTTTGAGAGAGCAGTTTTGAAACACTCTTTTTGTGGAATCTGCAAGTGGATATTTGTCTAGCTTTGAGGATTTCGTTGGAAACGGGATTACATATAAAAAGCAGACAGCAGCATTCCCAGAAACTTCTTTGTGATGTTTGCATTCAAGTCACAGAGTTGAACACTCCCTTTCATAGAGCAGGTTTGAAACACTCTTTTTGTAGTATCTGGATGTGGACATTTGCAGCGCATTCAGGCCTAAGGTGAAAAAGGAAATATCTTCCCCTGAAAACTAGACAGAAGCATTCTCAGAAACTTATTTGTGATGTGCGCCCTCAACTAACAGTGTTGAACCTTTCTTTTGATAGAGCAGTTTTGAAACACTCTTTTTGTAATATCTGCAAGAGGATATTTGGATAGCTTTGAGGATTTCGTTGGAAACGGAATTGTCTTCATATAAACTCTAGACAGAAGCATTCTCAGAAGTTTCATTGGGATGTTACAATTGAAGTCACAGTGTTGAACAGTCCCTTTCATAGAGCAGGTTTGAAACACTCTTTTTGTAGTATCTGGAAGTGGACATTTGGAGAGATCTCAGGACTACGGTGAAAAAGGAAATATCTTCCAATAAAAGCTAGAAAGAAGCAATGTCAGAAACTTTTTCATGATGTATCTACTCAGCTAACACAGTTGAACCTTTCTTTTCAGAGAGCAGTTTTGAAACACTCTTTTTGTGGAATCTGCAAGTGGATATTTGTCTAGCTTTGAGGATTTCGTTGCAAACGGGATTACATATAAAAAGCAGACAGCAGCATTCCCAGAATCTTGTTTGTGATGTTTGCATTCAAGTGACAGAGTTGAACATTCCCTTTCAGAGAGCAGGTTTGAAACACTCTTTTTATAGTATCTGGATGTGGACATTTGGAGCGCTTTCAGGCCTATGGTGAAAACGGAAATATCTTCTCCTGAAAACTAGACACAAGCCTTCTCAGAAACTTATTTGTGATGTGCGCCCTCAACTAACAGTGTTGAACCTTTCTTTTGATACAGCAGTTTTGAAACACTCTTTTTGTAATATCTGCAAGAGGATATTTGGATAGCTTTGAGGATTTCGTTGGAAACGGGATTGTCTTCATATAAACTCTAGACAGAAGCATTCTCAGAAGCGTCATTGGGATGTTTCAATTGAAGTCACAGTGTTGAACAGTCCCTTTCATAGAGCAGGTTTGAAACACTCTTTTTGTAGTATCTGGATGTGGACATTTGGAGCGCTTTCAGCCCTATGGTGAAAAAGGAAATATCTTCCCCTGAAAACTAGACAGAAGCATTCTCAGAAACTTATTTGTGATGTGCGCCCTCAACTAACAGTGTTGAAGCATTCTTTTGATAGAGCAGTTTTGAAACACTCTTTTTGTGGAATCTGCAAGTGGATATTTGTCTAGCTTTGAGGATTTCGTTGGAAACGGGATTACATATGAAAAGCAGACAGCAGCATTCCCAGAAACTTCTTTGTGATGTTTGCATTCAACTCACAGAGTTGAACATTCCCTTTCATAGAGCAGGTTTGAAACACTCTTTTTGTAGTATCTGGATGTGGACATTTGGAGCGCTTTCAGGCCTATGGTGAAAAAGGAAATATCTTCCCCTGAAAACTAGACAGAAGCATTCTCAGACACTTATTTGTGATGTGCGCCCTCAACTAACAGTGTTGAAGCTTTCTTTTGATAGAGCAGTTTTGAAACACTCTTTTTGTAATATCTGCAAGAGGATATTTGGATAGCTTTGAGGATTTCGTTGGAAACGGGATTAATTATAAAAAGCAGACAGCAGCATTCCCAGAATCTTGTTTGTGATGTTTGCATTCAAGTCACAGAGTTGAACATTCCCTTTCAGAGAGCAGGTTTGAAACACTCTTTTTATAGTATCTGGATGTGGACATTTGGAGCGCTTTCAGGCCTATGGTGAAAAAGGAAATATCTTCTCCTGAAAACTAGACAGAAGCATTCTCAGAAACTTATTTGTGATGTGCGCCCTCAACTAACAGTGTTGAAGCTTTCTTTTGATAGAGCAGTTTTGAAACACTCTTTTTGTAATATCTGCAAGAGGATATTTGGATAGCTTTGAGGATTTCGTTGGAAACGGGATTGTCTTCATATAAACTCTAGACAGAAGCATTCTCAGAAGCTTCATTGGGATGTTTCAATTGAAGTCACAGTGTTGAACAGTCCCTTTCATAGAGCAGGTTTGAAACACTCTTTTTGTAGTATCTGGAAGTGGACATTTGGAGCGCTCTCAGGACTACGGTGAAAAAGGAAATATCTTCCAATAAAAGCTAGATAGAAGCAATGTCAGAAACATTTTCATGATGTATCTACTCAGCTAACAGAGTTGAACCTTTCTCTTGAGAGAGAAGTTTTGAAACCCTCTTTTGGTGGAATCTGCAAGTGGATATTTGTCTAGCTTTGAGGATTTCGTTGAAAACGGGATTACATATAAAAAGCAGACAGTAGCATTCCCAGAAACTTCTTTGTGATGTTTGCATTCAAGTCACAGAGTTGAACATTCCCTTTCAGAGAGCAGGTCTGAAACACTCTTTTTGTAGTATCTGGATGTGGACATTTGGAGCGCTTTCAGGCCTATGGTGAAAAAGGAAATATCTTCCCCTGAAAACTAGACAGAAGCATTCTCAGAATCTTATTTGTGATGTGCGCCCTCAACTAACAGTGTTGAAGCTTTCTTTTGATAGAGCAGTTTTGAAACACTCTTTTTGTAAAATCTGCAAGAGGATATTTGGATAGCTTTGAGGATTTCGTTGGAAACGGGATTGTCTTCATATAAACTCTAGACAGAAGCATTCTCAGAAGCTTCATTGGGATGTTTCAATTGAAGTCACAGTGTTGAACAGTCCCTTTCATAGAGCAGGTTTGAAACACTCTTTTTGTAGTATCTGGAAGTGGACATTTGGAGCGCTCTCAGGACTACGGTGAAAAAGGAAGTATCTTCCAATAAAAGCTAGATAGAAGCAGTGTCAGAAACTTTTTCATGATGCATCTACTCAGCTAACAGAGTTGAACCTTTCTTTTGAGAGAGCAGTTTTGAAACACTCTTTTTGTGGAATCTGCAAGTGGATATCTGTCTAGCTTTGAGGATTTCGTTGGAAACGGGATTACATATAAAAAGCAGACAGCAGCATTCCCAGTAACTTCTTTGTGATGTTTGCATTCAAGTCACAGAGTTGAACATTCCCTTTCATACAGCAGGTTTGAAACACTCTTTTTGTAGTATCTGGATGTGGACATTTGGAGCGCTTTCAGGCCTATGGTGAAAAAGGAAATATCTTCCCCTGAAAACTAGACAGAAGCATTCTCAGAATCTTATTTGTGATGTGCGCCCTCAACTAACAGTGTTGAAGCTTTCTTTTGATAGAGCAGTTTTGAAACACTCTTTTCGTAAAATCTGCAAGAGGATATTTGGATAGCTTTGAGGATTTCGTTGGAAACGGGATTGTCTTCATATAAACTCCAGACAGAAGCATTCTCAGAAGCTTCATTGGGATGTTTCAATTGAAGTCACAGTGTTGAACAGTCCCTTTCATAGAGCAGGTTTGAAACACTCTTTTTGTAGTATCTGGAAGTGGACATTTGGAGCGCTCTCAGGACTGCGGTGAAAAAGGAAATATCTTCCAATAAAAGCTAGATAGAAGCAATGTCAGAAACTTTTTCATGATGTATCTACTCAGCTAACAGAGTTGAACCTTTCTTTTGAGAGAGCAGTTTTGAAACACTCTTTTTGTGGAATCTGCAAGTGGATATTTGTCTAGCTTTGAGGATTGCGTTGGAAACGGGATTACATATAAAAAGCAGACAGCAGCATTCCCAGAAACTTCTTTGTGATGTTTGCATTCAAGTCACAGAGTTGAACATTCCCTTTCATAGAGCAGGTTTGAGACACTCTTTTTGTAGTATCTGGATGTGGACATTTGGAGCGCTTTCAGGCCTATGGTGAAAAAGGAAATATCTTCCCCTGAAAACTAGACAGAAGCATTCTCAGAAACTTATTTGTGATGTGCGCCCTCAACTAACAGTGTTGAACCTTTCTTTTGATAGAGCAGTTTTGAAACACTCTTTTTGTAATATCTGCAAGAGGATATTTGGATAGCTTTGAGGATTTCGTTGGAAACGGGATTGTCTTCATATAAACTCTAGACAGAAGCATTCTCAGAAGCTTCATTGGGAGGTTTCAATTGAAGTCACAGTGTTGAACAGTTCCTTTCATAGAACAGATTTGAAACACTCTTTTTGTAGTATCTGGAAGTGGACATTTGGAGCGCTCTCAGGACTATGGTGAAAAAGGAAATATCTTCCAATAAAAGCTACATAGAAGCATTCTCAGAAACTTATTTGTGATGTGCGCCCTCAAGTAAGAGTGTTGAAGCATTCTTTTGATAGAGCAGTTTTGAAACACTCTTTTTGTGGAATCTGCAAGTGGATATTTGTCTAGCTTTGAGGATTTCGTTGGAAACGGGATTACATATAAAAAGCAGACAGCAGCATTCTCAGCAAACTTATTTGTGATGTGCGCCCTCAACTAACAGTGTGGAACTTTTCTTTTGATAGAGCAGTTTTGAAACACTCTTTTTGTAAAATCTGCAAGAGGATATTTGGATAGCTTTGAGGATTTCGTTGGAAACGGGATTGTCTTCATATAGAATCTAGACAGAAGCATTCTCAGAAGCTTCATTGGGATGTTTCAATTGAAGTTACAGTGTTGAACACTCCCTTTCGTAGAGCAGGTTTGAAACACTCTTTTTGTAATATCTGGAAGTGGACATTTGGAGCGTTCTCAGGACTATGGTGAAAAAGGAAATAACTTCCAATAAAAGCTAGATAGAAGCAATGTCAGAAACTTTTTCATGATGTATCTACTCAGCTAACAGAGTTGAACCTTTCTTTTGAGAGAGCAGTTTTGAAACACTCTTTTTGTGGAATCTGCAAGTGGATATTTGTCTAGCTTTGAGGATTTCGTTGGAAACGGGATTACATATAAAAACCAGACAGCAGCATTCCCAGTAACTTCTTTGTGGTGTTTGCATTCAAGTCACAGAGTTGAACATTCCCTTTCATAGAGCAGGCTTGAAACACTCTTTTTGTAGTATCTGGATGTGGACATTTGGAGCGCTTTCAGGCCTATGGTGTAAAAGGAAATATCTTCCCCTGAAAACTAGACAGAAGCATTCTCAGAATCTTATTTGTGATGTGCGCCCTCAACTAACAGTGTTGAAGCTTTCTTTTGATAGAGCAGTTTTGAAACACTCTTTTTGTAAAATCTGCAAGAGGATATTTGGATAGCTTTGAGGATTTCGTTGGAAACGGGATTGTCTTCATATAAACTCCAGACAGAAGCATTCTCAGAAGCTTCATTGGGATGTTTCAGTTGAAGTCACAGTGTTGAACAGTCCCTTTCATAGAGCAGGTTTGAAACACTCTTTTTGTAGTATCTGGAAGTGGACATTTGGAGCGCTCTCAGGACTGCGGTGAAAAAGGAAATATCTTCCAATAAAAGCTAGATAGAAGCAATGTCAGAAACTTTTTCATGATGTATCTACTCAGCTAACAGAGTTGAACCTTCCTTTGAGAGAGCAGTTTTGAAACACTCGTTTTGTGGAATCTGCAAGTGGATATTTGTCTAGCTTTGAGGATTTCGTTGGAAACGGGATTACATATAAAAAGCAGACAGCAGCATTCCCAGAAACTTCTTTGTGATGTTTGCATTCAAGTCACAGAGTTGAACATTCCCTTTCATAGAGCAGGTTTGAAACACTCTTTTTGTAGTATCTGGATGTGGACATTTGCAGCGCTTTCAGGCCTAAGGTGAAAAAGGAAATATCTTCCCCTGAAAACTAGACAAAAGCATTCTCAGAATCTTATTTGTGATGTGCGCCCTCAACTAACAGTGTTGAACCTTTCTTTTGATAGAGCAGTTTTGAAACACTCTTTTTGTAAAATCTGCAAGAGGATATTTGGATAGCTTTGAAGATTTCGTTGGAAACGGGATTGTCTTCATATAAACTCTAGACAGAAGCATTCTCAGAAGCTTCATTGGGATGTTTCAATTGAAGTCACAGTGTTGAACAGTCCCTTTCATAGAGGAGGTTTGAAACACTCTTTTGGTAGTATCTGGAAGTGGACATTTGGAGTGATCTCAGGAATACGGTGATAAAGGAAATATCTTCCAATAAAAGCTAGATAGAAGCAATGTCAGAAACTTTTTCATGATGTATCTACTCAGCTAACAGAGTTGAACCTTTCTTTTGAGAGAGCAGTTTTGAAACACTCTTTTTGTGGAATCTGCAAGTGGATATTTGTCTAGATTTGAGGATTGCGTTGGAAACGGGATTACATATAAAAAGCAGACAGCAGCATTCCCAGAAACTTCTTTGTGAAGTTTGCATTCAAGTCACAGGGTTGAACATTCCCTTTCATAGAGCAGGTTTGAAACACTCTTTTTGTAGTATCTGGATGTGGACATTTGTAGCGCTTTCAGGCCTATGGTGAAAAACGAAATATCTTCCCCTGAAAACTAGACAGAAGCATTCTCAGAAACTTATTTGTGATGTGCGCCCTCAACTAACAGTGTTGAACCTTTCTTTTGATAGAGCAGTTTTGAAACACTCTTTTTGTAATATCTGCAAGAGGATATTTGGATAGCTTTGAGGATTTCGTTGGAAACGGGATTACATATAAAAAGCAGACAGCAGCATTCCCAGAATCTTGTTTGTGATGTTTGCATTCAAGTCACAGAGTTGAACATTCCCTTTCAGAGAGCAGGTTTGAAACACTCTTTTTATAGTATCTGGATGTGGACATTTGGAGCGCTTTCAGGCCTATGGTGAAAAAGGAAATATCTTCTCCTGAAAACTAGACAGAAGCTTTCTCAGAATCTTATTTGTGATGTGCGCCCTCAACTAACAGTGTTGAAGCTTTCTTTTGATAGAGCAGTTTTGAAACACTCTTTTCGTAAAATCTGCAAGAGGATATTTTTATAGCTTTGAGGATTTCGTTGGAAACGGGATTGTCTTCATATAAACTCTAGACAGAAGCATTCTCAGAAGCTTCATTGGGATGTTTCAATTGAAGTCACAGCGTTGAACAGTCCCTTTCATAGAGCAGGTTTGAAACACTCTTTTTGTAGTACCTGGAAGTGGGCATTTGGAGCGCTCTCAGGACTACGGTGAAAAAGGAAATATCTTCCAATAAAAGCTAGATAGAAGCAATGTCAGAAACTTTTTCATGATGTATCTACTCAGCCAAAAGAGTTGAACCTTTCTTTTGAGAGAGCAGTTTTGAAACACTCTTTTTGTGGAATCTGCAAGTGGATATTTGTCTAGCTTTGAGGATTGCGTTGAAAACGGGATTACATATAAAAAGCAGACAGCAGCATTCCCAGAAACTTCTTTGTGACGTTTGCATTCAAGTCACAGAGTTGAACATTCCCTTTCATAGAGCAGGTTTGAAACACTCTTTTTGTAGTATCTGGATGTGGACATTTGGAGCGCTTTCAGGCCTATGGTGAAAAAGGAAATATCTTCCCCTGAAAACTAGACAGAAGCATTCTCAGAAACTTATTTGTGATGTGCGCCCTCAACTAACAGTGTTGAAGCTTTCTTTTGATAGAGCAGTTTTGAAACACTCTTTTTGTAATATCTGCAAGAGGATATTTGGATAGCTTTGAGGATTTCGTTGGAAACGGGATTGTCTTCATATAAACTCTAGACAGAAGCATTCTCAGAAGCTTCATTGGGATGTTTCAATTGAAGTCACAGTGTTGAACAGTCCCTTTCATAGAGCAGGTTTGAAACACTCTTTTTGTAGTATCTGGAAGTGGACATTTGGAGCGCTCTCAGGACTCCGGTGATAAAGGAAATATCTTCCAATAAAAGCTAGATAGAAGCAATGTCAGAAACTTTTTCATGATGTATCTACTCAGCTAACAGAGTTGAACCTTTCTTTTGAGAGAGCAGTTTTGAAACACTCTTTTTGTGGAATCTGCAAGTGGATATTTGTCTAGCTTTGAGGATTTCGTTGGAAACGGGATTATATATAAAAAGCAGACAGCAGCATTCCCAAAATCTTCTTTGTGATGTTTGCATTCAAGTCACAGAGTTGAACATTCCCTTTCATAGAGCAGGTTTGAAACACTCTTTTTGTAGTATCTGGAAGTGGACATTTGGAGCGCTCTCAGGACTCCGGTGATAAAGGAAATATCTTCCAATAAAAGCTAGATAGAAGCAATGTCAGAAACTTTCTCATGATGTATCTACTCAGCTAACAGAGTTGAACCTTTCTTTTGAGAGAGCAGTTTTGAAACACTCTTTTTGTGGAATCTGCAAGTGGATATTTGTCTAGCTTTGAGGATTTCGTTGGAAACGGGATTACATATAAAAAGCAGACAGCAGCATTCCCAGAAACTTCTTTGTGATGTTTGCATTCAAGTCACAGAGTTGAACATTCCCTTTCATAGAGCAGGTTTGAAACACTCTTTTTGTAGTATCTGGATGTGGACATTTGCAGCGCTTTCAGGCCTAAGGTGAAAAAGGAAATATCTTCCCCTGAAAACTAGACAAAAGCATTCTCAGAAACTTATTTGTGATGTGCGCCCTCAACTAACAGTGTTGAAGCTTTCTTTTGATAGAGCAGTTTTGAAACACTCTTTTTGTGGAATCTGCAAGTGGATATTTGTCTAGCTTTGAGGATTTCGATGGAAACGGGATTACATATAAAAAGCAGACAGCAGCATTCCCAGAATCTTGTTTGTGATGTTTGCATTCAAGTGACAGAGTTGAACATTCCCTTTCAGAGAGCAGGTTTGAAACACTCTTTTTATAGTATCTGGATGTGGACATTTGGAGTGCTTTCAGGCCTATGGTGAAAAAGGAAATATCTTCTCCTGAAATCTAGACAGAAGCATTCTCAGAATCTTATTTGTGATGTGCACCCTCAAGTAACAGTGTTGAAGCTTTCTTTTGATAGAGCAGTTTTGAAACACTCTTTTCGTAAAATCTGCAAGAGGACATTTGGATAGCTTTGAGGATTTCGTTGGAAACGGGATTGACTTCATATAAACTCTAGACAGAAGCATTCTCAGAAGCATCATGGGGATGTTTCAATTGAAGTCACAATGTTGAACAGTCCCTTTCATAGAGCAGGTTTGAAACACTCTTTTTGTAGTATCTGGATGTGGACATTTGAGCGCTTTCAGGCCTATGGTTTAAAAGGAAATATCTTCCCCTGAAAACTAGACAGAAGCATTCTCAGAAACTTATTTGTGATGTGCGCCCTCAACTAACAGTGTTGAAGCATTCTTTTGATAGAGCAGTTTTGAAACACTCTTTTTGTGGAATCTGCAAGTGGATATTTGTCTAGCTTTGAGGATTTCGTTGGAAACGGGATTACATATAAAAAGCAGACAGCAGCATTCTCAGAAGCTTCATTGGGATGTTTCAATTGAAGACACAGTGTTGAACAGTCCCTTTCATAGAGCAGGTTTGAAACACTCTTTTTGTAGTATCTGGAAGTGGACATTTGGAGCGCTTTCAGGCCTATGGTTTAAAAGGAAATATCTTCCCCTGAAAACTAGACAGAAGCATTCTCTGAAACTTATTTGTGATGTGCGCCCTCAACTAACAGTGTTGAAGCTTTCTTTTGATAGAGCAGTTTTGAAACACACTTTTTGTAAAATCTGCAAGAGGATATTTGGATAGCTTTGAGGATTTCGTTGGAAACGGGATTGTCTTCATATAAACTCTAGACAGAAGCATTCTCAGAAGCTTCATTGGGATGTTTCAATTGAAGTCACAGTGTTGAACAGTCCCTTTCATAGAGCAGGTTTGAAACACTCTTTTTGTAGTATCTGGATGTGGACATTTGGAGCGCTTTCAGGCCTATGGTTTAAAAGGAAATATCTTCCCCTGAAAACTAGACAGAAGCATTCTCAGAAACTTATTTGTGATGTGCGCCCTCAACTAACAGTGTTGAAGCTTTCTTTTGATAGAGCAGTTTTGAAAAACTCTTTTTGTGGAATCTGCAAGTGGATATTTGTCTAGCTTTGAGGATTTCGTTGGAAACGGGATTACATATAAAAAGCAGACAGCAGCATTCCCAGAAACTTCTTTGTGATGTTTGCATTCAAGTCACAGAGTTGAACATTCCCTTTCATAGAGCAGGTTTGAAACACTCTTTTTGTAGTATCTGGATGTGGACATTTGGAGCGCTTTCAGGCCTATGGTGAAAAAGGAAATATCTTCCCATGAAAACTAGACAGAAGCATTCTCAGAAACTTATTTGTGATGTGCGCCCTCAACTAACAGTGTTGAACCTTTCTTTTGATAGAGCAGTTTTGAAACACTCTTTTTGTAATATCTGCAAGAGGATATTTGGATAGCTTTGAGGATTTCGTTGGAAACGGGATTGTCTTCATATAAACTCTAGACAGAAGCATTCTCAGAAGCTTCATTGGGATGTTTCAATTGAAGTCACAGTGTTGAACAGTCCCTTTCATAGAGCAGGTTTGAAACACTCTTTTTGTAGTATCTGGAAGTGGACATTTGGAGAGATCTCAGGAATACGGTGATAAAGGAAATATCTTCCAATAAAAGCTAGATAGAAGCAATGTCAGAAACTTTTTCATGATGTATCTACTCAGCTAACAGAGTTGAACCTTTCTTTTGAGAGAGCAGTTTTGAAACACTCTTTTTGTGGAATCTGGAAGTGGATATTTGTCTAGCTATGAGGATTTCGTTGGAAACGGGATTACATATAAAAAGCAGACAGCAGCATTCCCAGAATCTTCTTTGTGATGTTTGCATTCAAGTCACAGAGTTGAACATTCCCTTTCATAGAGCAGGGTTGAAACACTCTTTTTGTAGTATCTGGATGTGGACATTTGGAGCGCTTTCAGGCCTATGGTGAAAAACGAAATATCTTCCCCTGAAAACTAGACAGAAGCATTCTCAGAATCTTATTTGTGATGTGCGCCCTCAACTAACAGAGTTGAAGCTTTCTTTTGATAGAGCAGTTTTGAAACACTCTTTTTGTAAAATCTGCAAGAGGATATTTGGATAGCTTTGAGGATTTCGTTGGAAACGGGATTGTCTTCATATAAACTCTAGACAGAAGCATTCTCAGAAGCTTCATTGGGATGTTTCAATTGAAGTCACAGTGTTGAACAGTCCCTTTCATAGAGCAGGTTTGAAACACTCTTTTTGTAGTTTCTGGAAGTGGACATTTGGAGAGATCTCATTAATAGGGTGATAAAGGAAATATCTTCCAATAAAAGGTAGATAGAAGCAATGTCAGAAAATTTTTCATGATGTATCTACTCAGCTAACAGAGTTGAACCTTTCTTTTGAGAGAGCAGTTTTGAAACACTCTTTTTGTGTAATCTGCAAGTGGATATTTGTCTAGTTTTGAGGATTGCGTTGGAAACGGGATTACATATAAAAAGCAGACAGCAGCATTCCCAGAAACTTCTTTGTGAAGTTAGCATTCAAGTCACAATGTTGAAAATTCCCTTTCATAGAGCAGGTTTGAAACACTCTTTTTGTACTATCTGGATGTGGACATTTGGAGCGCTTTCAGGCCTATGGTGAAAAAGGAAATATCTTCCCCTGAAAACTAGACAGAAGCATTCTCAGAAACTTATTTGTGATGTGCGCCCTCAACTAACAGTGTTGAAGCTTTCTTTTGATAGAGCAGTTTTGAAACACTCTTTTTGTAATATCTGCAAGAGGATATTTGGATAGCTTTGAGGATTTCGTTGGAAACGGGATTGTCTTCATATAAACTCTAGACAGAAGCATTCTCAGAAGCTTCATTGGGATATTTCAATTGAAGTCACAGTGTTGAACAGTCCCTTTCATAGAGCATGTTTGAAACACTCTTTTTGTAGTATCTGGAAGTTGACATTTGGAGCGTTTTCAGGACTACGGTGAAAAAGGAAATATCTTCCAAATAAAGCTAGATAGAAGCAATGTCAGAAAATTTTTCATGATGTATCTACTCAGCTAACAGAATTTAACCTTTCTTTTGAGAGAGCAGTTTTGAAACACTCTTTTTGTGGAATCTGCAAGTGGATATTTGTCTAGGTTTGAGGATTTCGTTGGAAACGGGATTGCATATAAAAAGCAGACAGCAGCGTTCCCAGAAACTTCTTTGTGATGTTTGCATTCAAGTCACAGAGTTGAACATTCCCTTTCATAGAGCAGGTTTGAAACACTCTTTTTGTAGTATCTGGTTGTGGACATTTGGAGCGCTTTCAGGCCTAAGGTGAAAAAGGAAATATCTTCCCCTGAAAACTAGACAGAAGCATTCTCAGAAACTTATTTGTGATGTGCGCCCTCAACTAACAGTGTTGAAGCTTTCTTTTGATAGAGCAGTTTTGAAACACTCTTTTTGTAATATCTGCAAGAGGATATTTGGATAGCTTTGAGGATTTCGTTGGAAACGGGATTGTCTTCATATAAACTCTAGACAGAAGCATTCTCAGAAGCTTCATTGGGATGTTTCAATTGAAGTCACAGTGTTGAACAGTTCCTTTCATAGAACAGGTTTGAAACACTCTTTTTGTAGTATCTGGAAGTGGACATTTGGAGCGCTCTCAGGACTATGGTGAAAAAGGAAATATCTTCCAATAAAAGCTACATAGAAGCAATGTCAGAAACTTTTTCATGATGTATCTACTCAGCTAACAGAGTTGAACCTTTCCTTTGAGAGAGCAGTTTTGAAACACTCTTTTTGTGGAATCTGCAAGTGGATATTTGTCTAGCTTTGAGGATTTCGTTGGAAACGGGATTACATATAAAAAGCAGACAGCAGCATTCCCAGTAACTTCTTTGTGATGTTTGCATTCAAGTCACAGAGTTGAACATTGCCTTTCATAGAGCAGGTTTCAAACACTCTTTTTGTAGTATCTGGATGTGGACATTTGGAGCGCTTTCAGGCCTATGGTGAAAAAGGAAATATCTTCCCCTGAAAACTAGACAGAAGCATTCTCAGAATCTTATTTGTGATGTGCGCCCTCAACTAACAGTGTTGAAGCTTTCTTTTGATAGAGCAGTTTTGAAACACTCTTTTTGTAAAATCTGCAAGAGGATATTTGGATAGCTTTGAGGATTTCGTTGGAAACGGGATTGTCTTCCTATAAACTCTAGACAGAAGCATTCTCAGAAGCTTCATTGGGATGTTTCAATTGAAGTCACAGTGTTGAACAGTCCCTTTCATAAAGCAGGTTTCAAACACTCTTTTTGTAGTATCTGGATGTGGACATTTGGAGCGCTTTCAGGCCTCTGGTTTAAAAGGAAATATCTTCCCCTGAAAACTAGACAGAAGCATTCTCAGAAACTTATTTGTGATGTGCGCCCTCAACTCACAGTGTTGAAGCATTCTTTTGATAGAGCAGTTTTGAAACACTCTTTTTGTGGAATCTGCAAGTGGATATTTGTCTAGCTTTGAGGATTTCGTTGGAAACGGGATTACATATGAAAAGCAGACAGCAGCATTCCCAGAAACTTCTTTGTGATGTTTGCATTCAACTCACAGAGTTGAACATTCCCTTTCATAGAGCAGGTTTGAAACACTCTTTTTGTAGTATCTGGATGTGGACATTTGGAGCGCTTTCAGGCCTATGGTGAAAAAGGAAATATCTTCCCCTGAAAACTAGACAGAAGCATTCTCAGAAACTTATTTGTGATGTGCGCCCTCAACTAACAGTGTTGAAGCTTTCTTTTGATAGAGCAGTTTTGAAACACTCTTTTTGTAATATCTGCAAGAGGATATTTGGATAGCTTTGAGGATTTCGTTGGAAACGGGATTAATTATAAAAAGCAGACAGCAGCATTCCCAGAATCTTGTTTGTGATGTTTGCATTCAAGTCACAGAGTTGAACATTCCCTTTCAGAGAGCAGGTTGGAAACACTCTTTTTATAGTATCTGGATGTGGACATTTGGAGCGCTTTCAGGCCTATGGTGAAAAAGGAAATATCTTCTCCTGAAAACTAGAGAGAAGCATTCTCAGAATCTTATTTGTGATGTGCGCCCTCAACTAACAGTGTTGAAGCTTTCTTTTGATAGAGCAGTTTTGAAACACTCTTTTTGTAAAATCTGCAAGAGGATATTTGGATAGCTTTGAGGATTTCGTTGGAAACGGGATTGTCTTCATATAAACTCTAGACAGAAGCATTCTCAGAAGCTTCATTGGGATGTTTCAATTGAAGTCACAGTGTTGAACAGTCCCTTTCATAGAGCAGGTTTGAAACACTCTTTTTGTAGTATCTGGAAGTGGACATTTGGAACGCTCTCAGGACTGCGGTGAAAAAGGAAATATCTTCCAATAAAAGCTAGATAGAAGCAATGTCAGAAACTTTTTCATGATGTATCTACTCAGCTAACAGAGTTGAACCTTTCTTTTGAGAGAGCAGTTTTGAAACACTCTTTTTGTGGAATCTGCAAGTGGATATTAGTCTAGCTTTGAGGATTTCGTTGGAAACGGGATTACATATAAAAAGCAGACAGCAGCATTCCCAGTAACTTCTTTGTGATGTTTGCATTCAAGTCACAGAGTTGAACATTCCCTTTCATAGAGCAGGTTTGAAACACTTTTTTTGTAGTATCTGGATGTGGATATTTGGAGCGCTTTCAGGCCTATGGTGAAAAAGGAAATATCTTCCAATAAAAGCTACATAGAAGCAATGTCAGAAACTTTTTCATGATGTATCTACTCAGCTAACAGAGTTGAACCTTTCTTTTGAGAGAGCAGTTTTGAAACACTCTTTTTGTGTAATCTGAAAGTGGATATTTGTCTAGCTTTGAGGATTTCGTTGGAAACGGGATTACATATAAAAAGCAGACAGCAGCATTCCCAGTAACTTCTTTGTGATGTTTGCATTCAAGTCACAGAGTTGAACATTCCCTTTCATAGAGCAGGTTTGAAACACTTTTTTTGTAGTATCTGGATGTGGACATTGGGAGCGCTTTCAGGCCTATGGTGAAAAAGGAAATATCTTCCAATAAAAGCTACATAAAAGCAATGTCAGAAACTTTTTCATGATGTATCTACTCAGCTAACAGAGTTGAACCTTTCTTTTGAGAGAGCAGTTTTGAAACACTCTTTTTGTGGAATCTGGAAGTGGATATTTGTCTAGCTTTGAGGATTTCGTTGGAAACGGGATTACATATAAAAAGCAGACAGCATCATTCCCAGTAAGTTCTTTGTGGTGTTTGCATTCAAGTCACAGAGTTGAACATTCCCTTTCATAGAGCAGGTTTGAAACACTCTTTTTGTAGTATCTGGATGTGGACATTTGGAGCGCTTTCAGGCCTATGGTGAAAAAGGAAATATCTTCCCCTGAAAACTAGACAGAAGCATTCTCAGAATCTTATTTGTGATGTGCGCCCTCAACTAACAGTGTTGAAGCTTTCTTTTGATAGAGCAGTTTTGAAACACTCTTTTTGTAAAATCTGCAAGAGGATATTTGGATAGCTTTGAGGATTTCGTTGGAAACGGGATTGTCTTCATATAAACTCTAGACAGAAGCATTCTCAGAAGCTTCATTGGGATGTTTCAATTGAAGTCACAGTGTTGAACAGTCCCTTTCATAGAGCAGGTTTGAAACACTCTTTTTGTAGTATCTGGAAGTGGACATTTGGAGCGCTCTCAGGACTACGGTGAAAAAGGAAATATCTTCCAATAAAAGCTAGATAGAAGCAATGTCAGAAACTTTTTCATGATGTATCTACTCAGCTAACAGAGTTGAACCTTCCTTTGAGAGAGCAGTTTTGAAACACTCTTTTTGTGGAATCTGCAAGTGGATATTTGTCTAGCTTTGAGGATTTCGTTGGAAACGGGATTGTCTTCATATAAACTCTAGACAGAAGCATTCTCAGAAGCTTCATTGGGATGTTTCAATTGAAGTCACAGTGTTGAACAGTTCCTTTCATAGAACAGGTTTGAAACACTCTTTTTGTAGTATCTGGAAGTGGACATTTGGAGCGCTCTCAGGACTATGGTGAAAAAGGAAATATCTTCCAATAAAAGCTACATAGAAGCAATGTCAGAAACTTTTTCATGATGTATCTACTCAGCTAACAGAGTTGAACCTTTCCTTTGAGAGAGCAGTTTTGAAACACTCTTTTTGTGGAATCTGCAAGTGGATATTTGTCTAGCTTTGAGGATTTCGTTGGAAACGGGATTACATATAAAAAGCAGACAGCAGCATTCCCAGAATCTTCTTTGTGATGTTTGCATTCAAGTCACAGAGTTGAACATTCCCTTTCATAGAGCAGGTTTGAAACACTCTTTTTGTAGTATCTGGATGTGGACATTTGGAGCGCTTTCAGGCCTATGGTGAAAAAGGAAATATCTTCCCCTGAAAACTAGACAGAAGCATTCTCAGAAACTTATTTGTGATGTGCACCCTCAACTAACAGTGTTGAAGCTTTCTTTTGACAGAGCTGTTTGAAACACTCTTTTTGTAGAATCTGCAAGAGGATATTTGGATAGCTTTGAGGATTTCGGTGGAAACGGGATTGTCTTCATATAAACTCTAGACAGAAGCATTCTCAGAAGCTTCATTGGGATGTTTCAATTGAAGTCACAGTGTTGAACAGTCCCTTTCATAGAGCAGGTTTGAAACACTCTTTTTGTAGTATCTGGAAGTGGACATTTGGAGCGCTCTCAGGACTACGGTGATAAAGGAAATATCTTCCAATAAAAGCTAGATAGAAGCAATGTCAGAAACTTTTTCATGATGTATCTACTCAGCTAACAGAGTTGAACCTTTCTTTTGAGAGAGCAGTTTTGAAACACTCTTTTTGTGGAATCTGCAAGTGGATATTTGTCTAGCTTTGAGGATTTCGTTGGAAACGGGTTTACATATAAAAAGCAGACAGCAGCATTCCCAGAATCTTCTTTGTGATGTTTGCATTCAAGTCACAGAGTTGAACATTCCCTTTCATAGAGCAGGTTTGAAACACTCTTTTTGTAGTATCTGGATGTGGACATTTGGAGCGCTTTCAGGCCTATGGTGAAAAAGGAAATATCTTCCCCTGAAAACTAGACAGAAGCATTCTCAGAATCTTATTTGTGATGTGCGCCCTCAACTAACAGTGTTGAAGCTTTCTTTTGATAGAGCAGTTTTGAAACACTCTTTTTGTGAAATCTGCAAGAGGATATTTGGATAGATTTGAGGATTTCTTTGGAAACGGTATTGTCTTCATATAAACTCTAGACAGAAGCATTCTCAGAAGCTTCATTGGGATGTTTCAATTGAAGTCACAGTGTTGAACAGTCCCTTTCATAGAGCAGGTTTCAAACACTCTTTTTGTAGTATCTGGATGTGGACATTTGGAGCGCTTTCAGGCCTATGGTTTAAAAGGAAATATCTTCCCCTGAAAACTAGACAGAAGCATTCTCAGAAACTTATTTGTGATGTGCGCCCTCAACTAACAGTGTTGAAGCATTCTTTTGATAGAGCAGTTTTGAAACACTCTTTTTGTGGAATCTGCAAGTGGATATTTGTCTAGCTTTGAGGATTTCGTTGGAAACGGGATTACATATAAAAAGCAGACAGCAGCATTCCCAGAAACTTCTTTGTGATGTTTGCATTCACGTCACAGAGTTGAACATTCCCTTTCATAGAGCAGGTTTGAAACACTCTTTTTGTAGTATCTGGATGTGGACATTTGGAGCGCTTTCAGGCCTATGGTGAAAAAGGAAATATCTTCCCCTGAAAACTAGACAGAAGCATTCTCAGAAACTTATTTGTGATGTGCGCCCTCAACTAACAGTGTTGAACCTTTCTTTTGATAGAGCAGTTTTGAAATCCTCTTTTTGTAAAATCTGCAAAAGGATATTTGGATAGCTTTGAGGATTTCGTTGGAAACGGGATTGTCTTCATACAAAATCTAGACAGAAGCATTCTCAGAAGCGTCATTGGGATGTTTCAATTGAAGTCACAGTGTTGAACAGTCCCTTTCATAGAGCAGGTTTGAAACACTCTTTTTGTAGGATCTGGATGTGGACATTTGGAGCGCTTCCAGGCCTATGGTTTAAAAGGAAATATCTTCCCCTGAAAACTAGACAGAAGCATTCTCAGAAACTTATTTCTGATGTGCCCCCTCAACTAACAGTGTTGAAGCTTTCTTTTGATAGAGCAGTTTTGAAACACTCTTTTTGTGGAATCTGCAAGTGGATATTTGTCTAGCTTTGAGGATTTCGTTGGAAACGGGATTACATATAAAAAGCAGACAGCAGCATTCCCAGAATCTTCTTTGTGATGTTTGCATTCAAGTCACAGAGTTGAACATTCCCTTTCATAGAGCAGGTTTGAAACACTCTTTTTGTAGTATCTCGATGTGGACATTTGGAGCGCTTTCAGGCCTATGGTGAAAAAGGAAATATCTTCTCCTGAAAACTAGACAGAAGCATTCGCAGAATCTTATTTGTGATGTGCGCCCTCAACTAACAGTGTTGAAGCTTTCTTTTGATAGAGCAGTTTTGAAACACTCTTTTTGTAAAATCTGCAAGAGGATATTTGGATAGCTTTGAGGATTTCGGTTGGAAACGGGATTGTCTTCATATAAACTCTAGACAGAAGCATTCTCAGAAGCTTCATTGGGATGTTTCAATTGAAGTCACAGTGTTGAACAGTCCCTTTCATAGAGCAGGTTTGAAACACTCTTTTTGTAGTATCTGGATGTGGACATTTGGAGTGCTTTCAGGCCTATGGTTTAAAAGGAAATATCTTCCCCTGAAAACTGGACAGAAGCATTCTCAGAAACTTATTTGTGATGTGCGCCCTCAACTAACAGTGTTGAAGCTTTCTTTTGATAGAGCAGTTTTGAAACACTCTTTTTGTGGAATCTGCAAGTGGATATTTCTCTAGCTTTGAGGATTTCGTTGGAAACGGGATTACATATAAAAAGCAGACAGCAGCATTCTCAGAAACTTATTTGTGATGTGCGCCCTCAACTAACAGTGTTGAAGCTTTATTTTGATAGAGCAGTTTTGAAACACTCTTTTTGTAATATCTGCAAGAGAATATTTGGATAGCTTTGAGGATTTCGTTGGAAACGGGATTGTCTTCATATAAACTCTAGAAAGAAGCATTCTCAGAAGCTTCATTGGGATGTTTCAATTGAAGTCACAGTGTTGAACAGTCCCTTTCATAGAGCAGGTTTGAAACACTCTTTTTGTAGTATCTGGAAGTGGACATTTGGAGAGATCTCAGGACTACGGTGAAAAAGGAAATATCTTCCAATAAAAGCTAGATAGAAGAAATGTCAGAAACTTTTTCATGATGTATCTACTCAGCTAACAGAGTTGAACCTTTCTTTTGAGAGAGCAGTTTTGAAACACTCTTTTTGTGGAATCTGCAAGTGGATATTTGTCTACCTTTGAGGATTTCGTTGGAAACGGGATTACATATAAAAAGCAGACAGCAGCATTCCCAGAAACTTCTTTGTGATGTTTGCATTCAAGTCACAGAGTTGAACATTCCCTTTCAGAGAGCAGGTTTGAAACACTCTTTTTGTAGTATCTGGATGTGGACATTTGGAGCGCTTTCAGGCCTATGGTGAAAAAGGAAATATCTTCCCCTGAAAACTAGACAGAAGCATTCTCAGAACCTTATTTGTCATGTGCGCCCTCAACTAACAGTGTTGAAGCTTTCTTTTGATAGAGCAGTTTTGAAACACTCTTTTTGTAAAATCTGCAAGAGGATATTTGGATAGCTTTGAGGATTTCGTTGGAAACGGGACTGTCTTCATATAAACTCTAGAGAGAATCATTCTCAGAAGCTTCATTGGGATGTTTCAATTGAAGTCACAGTGTTGAACAGTCCCTTTCATAGAGCAGATTTGAAACACTCTTTTTGTAGTATCTGGAAGTGGACATTTGCAGCGTTCTCAGGACTACGGTGAAAAAGGAAATATCTTCCAATAAAAGCTAGATAGAAGCAGTGTCAGAAACTTTTTCATGATGCATCTACTCAGCTAACAGAGTTGAACCTTTCTTTTGAGAGAGCAGTTTTGAAACACTCTTTTTGTGGAATCTGCAAGTGGATATTTGTCTAGCTTTGAGGATTTCGTTGGAAACGGGATTACATATAAAAAGCAGACAGCAGCATTACCAGTAACTTCTTTGTGGTGTTTGCATTCAAGTCACAGAGTTGAACATTCCCTTTCATAGAGCAGGTTTGAAACACTCTTTTTGTAGTATCTGGATGTGGACATTTGGAGCGCTTTCAGGTCTATGGTGAAAAAGGAAATATCTTCCCCTGAAAACTAGACAGAAGCATTCTCAGAATCTTATTTGTGATGTGCGCCCTCAACTAACAGTGTTGAAGCTTTCTTTTGATAGAGCAGTTTTGAAACACTCTTTTTGTAAAATCTGCAAGAGGATATTTGGATAGCTTTGAGGATTTCGTTGGAAACGGGATTGTCTTCATATAAACTCCAGACAGAAGCATTCTCAGAAGCTTCATTGGGATGTTTCAATTGAAGTCACAGTGTTGAACAGTCCCTTTCATAGAGCAGGTTTGAAACACTCTTTTTGTAGTATCTGGATGTGGACATTTGGAGCGCTTTCAGGCCTATGGTGAAAAAGGAAATATCTTCCCCTGAAAACTAGACAGAAGCATTCTCAGAAACTTATTTGTGATGTGCGCCCTCAACTAACAGTGTTGAAGCTTTCTTTTGATAGAGCAGTTTTGAAACACTCTTTTTGTGGAATCTGCAAGTGGATATTTGTCTAGCTTTGAGGATTTCGTTGGAAACGGGATTACATATAAAAAGCAGACAGCAGCATTCCCAGAATCTTGTTTGTGATGTTTGCATTCAAGTCACTGAGTTGAACATTCCCTTTCAGAGAGCAGGTTTGAAACACTCTTTTTATAGTATCTGGATGTGGACATTTTGAGCGCTTTCAGGCCTATGGTGAAAAAGGAAATATCTTCTCCTGAAAACTAGACAGAAGCATTCTCAGAATCTTATTTGTGATGTGCGCCCTCAACTAACAGTGTTGAAGCTTTCTTTTGATAGAGCAGTTTTGAAACACTCTTTTCGTAAAATCTGCAAGAGGATATTTTGATAGCTTTGAGGATTTCGTTGGAAACGGGATTGTCTTCATATAAACTCTAGACAGAAGCATTCTCAGAAGCTTCATTGGGATGTTTCAATTGAAGTCACAGTGTTGAACAGTCCCTTTCATAGAGCAGGTTTGAAACACTCTTTTTGTAGTATCTGGAAGTGGACATTTGGAGAGATCTCAGGAATACGGTGATAAAGGAAATATCTTCCAATAAAAGCTAGATAGAAGCAATGTCAGAAACTTTTTCATGATGTATCTACTCAGCTAACAGAGTTGAACCTTTCTTTTGAGAGAGCAGTTTTGAAACACTCTTTTTGTGGAATCTGCAAGTGGATATTTGGATAGCTTTGAGGATTTCGTTGGAAACGGGATTACATATAAAAAGCAGACAGCAGCATTCCCAGTAACTTCTTTGTGATGTTTGCATTCAAGTCACAGAGTTGAACATTGCCTTTCATAGAGCAGGTTTTAAACACTCTTTTTGTAGTATCTGGATGTGGACATTTGGAGCGCTTTCAGGCCTATGGTGAAAAAGGAAATATCTTCCCCTGAAAACTAGACAGAAGCATTCTCAGAATCTTATTTGTGATGTGCGCCCTCAACTAACAGTGTTGAAGCTTTCTTTTGATAGAGCAGTTTTGAAACACTCTTTTTGTAAAATCTGCAAGAGGATATTTGGATAGCTTTGAGGATTTCGTTGGAAACGGGATTGTCTTCATATAAACTCTAGACAGAAGCATTCTCAGAAGCTTCATTGGGATGTTTCAATTGAAGTCACAGAGTTGAACAGTCCCTTTCATAGAGCAGGTTTGAAACACTCTTTCTGTAGTATCTCGAAGTGGACATTTGGAGCGCTCTCAGGACTACGGTGAAAAAGGAAGTATCTTCCAATAAAAGCTAGATAGAAAGCAATGTCAGAAACTTTTTCATGATGTATCTACTCAGCTAACAGAGTTGAACCTTTCTTTTGAGAGAGCAGTTTTGAAACACTCTTTTTGTGGAATCTGCAAGTGGATATTTATCTACCTTTGAGGATTTCGTTGGAAACGGGATTACATATAAAAAGCAGGCAGCAGCATTCCCAGAAACTTCTTTGTGATGTTTGCATTCAAGTCACAGAGTTGAACATTCCCTTTCATAGAGCAGGTTTGAAACACTCTTTTTGTAGTATCTGGATTTGGACATTAGGAGCGCTTTCAGGCCCATGGTGAAAAAGGAAATATCTTCCACTGAAAACTAGACAGAAGCATTCTCAGAATCTTATTTGTGATGTGCGCCCTCAACTAACAGTGTTGAAGCTTTCTTTTGATAGAGCAGTTTTGAAACAGTCTTTTTGTAAAATCTGCAAGAGGATATTTGGATAGCTTTGAGGATTTCGTTGGAAACGGGATTGTCTTCATATAAACTCTAGACAGAAGCATTCTCAGAAGCTTCATTGGGATGTTTCAGTTGAAGTCACAGTGTTGAACAGTCCCTTTCATAGAGCAGGTTTGAAACACTCTTTTTGTAGTATCTGGAAGTGGACATTTGGAGCGCACTCAGGACTGCGGTGAAAAAGGAAATATCTTCCAATAAAAGCTAGATAGAAGCAATGTCAGAAACTTTTTCATGATGTATCTACTCAGCTAACAGAGTTGGACCTTCCTTTGAGAGAGCAGTTTTGAAACACTCTTTTTGTGGAATCTGCAAGTGGATATTTGTCTAGCTTTGAGGATTTCGTTGGAAACGGGATTACATATAAAAAGCAGACAGCAGCATTCCCAGAAACTTCTTTGTGAAATTTGCATTCAAGTCACAGACTTGAACATTCCCTTTCATAGAGCAGGTTTGAAACACTCTTTTTGTAGTATCTGGATGTGGACGTTTGGAACGCTTTCAGGCCTATGGTGAAAAAGGAAATATCTTCCCCTGAAAACTAGACAGAAGCATTCTCAGAAACTTATTTGTGATGTGCGCCCTCAACTAACAGTGTTGAAGCTTTCTTTTGATAGAGCAGTTTTGAAACACTCTTTTTGTAATATCTGCAAGAGGATATTTGGATAGCTTTGAGGATTTCGTTGGAAACGGGATTGTCTTCATATAAACTCTAGACAGAAGCATTCTCAGAAGCTTCATTGGGATGTTTCAATTGAAGTCACAGTGTTGAACAGTTCCTTTCATAGAACAGGTTTGAAACACTGTTTTTGTAGTATCTGGAAGTGGACATTTGGAGCGCTCTCAGGACTACGGTGAAAATGGAAATATCTTCCAATAAAAGCTACATAGAAGCAATGTCAGAAACTTTTTCATGATGTATCTACTCAGCTAACAGAGTTGAACCTTTCCTTTGAGAGAGCAGTTTTGAAACACTCTTTTTGTGGAATCTGCAAGTGGATATTTGTCTAGCTTTGAGGATTTCGTTGGAAACGGGATTACATATAAAAAGCAGACAGCAGCATTCCCAGTAACTTCTTTGTGATGTTTGCATTCAAGTCACAGAGTTGAACATTCCCTTTCATAGAGCAGGTTTGAAACACTCTTTTTGTAGTATCTGGATGTGGACATTTGGAGCGCTTTCAGGCCTATGGTGAAAAAGGAAGTATCTTCCCCTGAAAACTAGACAGAAGCATTCTCAGAATCTTATTTGTGATGTGCGCCCTCAACTAACAGTGTTGAAGCTTTCTTTTGATAGAGCAGTTTTGAAACACTCTTTTTGTAAAATCTGCAAGAGGATATTTGGATAGCTTTGAGGATTTCGTTGGAAACGGGATTGTCTTCATATAAACTCTAGACAGAAGCATTCTCAGAAGCTTCATTGGGATGTTTCAATTGAAGTCACAGTGTTGAACTGTCCCTTTCATAGAGCAGGTTTGAAACACTCTTTTTGTAGTTTCTGGAAGTGGACATTTGGAGAGATCTCATTAATACGGTGATAAAGGAAATATCTTCCAATAAAAGCTAGATAGAAGCAATGTCAGAAACTTTTTCATGATGTATCTACTCAGCTAACAGAGTTGAACCTTTCTTTTGAGAGAGCAGTTTTGAAACACTCTTTTTGTGGAATCTGCAAGTGGATATTTGTCTAGATTTGAGGATTTCGTTGGAAACGGGATTACATATAAAAAGCAGACAGCAGCATTCCCAGAAACTTCTTTGTGATGTTTGCATTCAAGTCACAGAGTTGAACATTCCCTTTCATAGAGCAGGTTTGAAACACTCTTTTTGTAATATCTGGTTGTGGACATTTGGAGCGCTTTCAGGCCTATGGTGAAAAAGGAAATATCTTCCCCTGAAAACTAGACAGAAGCATTCTCAGAATCTTATTTGTGATGTGCGCCCTCAACTAACAGTGTTGAAGCTTTCTTTTGATAGAGCAGTTTTGAAACACTCTTTTTGTAAAATCTGCAAGAGGATATTTGGATAGCTTTGAGGATTTCGTTGGAAACGGGATTGTCTTCATATAAACTCTAGACAGAAGCATTCTCAGAAGCTTCATTGGGATGTTTCAATTGAAGTCACAGTGTTGAACAGTCCCTTTCATAGAGCAGGTTTGAAACACTCTTTGTAGTATCTGGAAGTGGACATTTGGAGCGCTCTCAGGACTACGGTGGAAAAGGAAGTATCTTCCAATAAAAGCTAGATAGAAGAAATGTCAGAAAATTTTTCATGATGTATCTACTCAGCTAACAGAGTTGAACCTTTCTTTTGAGAGAGCAGTTTTGAAACACTCTTTTTGTGGAATCTGCAAGTGGATATTTGTCTAGCTTTGAGGATTTCGTTGGAAACATGATTACATATAAAAAGCAGACAGCAGCATTCCCAGAAACTTCTTTGTGATGTTTGCATTCAAGTCACAGAGTTGAACATTCCCTTTCATAGAGTAGGTTTGAAACACTCTTTTTGTAGTATCTGGATGTGGACATTTGGAGCGCTTTCAGGCTTATGGTGAAAAAGGAAATATCTTCCCCTGAAAACTAGACAGAAGCACTCTCAGAATTTTATTTGTGATGTGCGCCCTCAACTAACAGTGTTGAAGCTTTCTTTTGATAGAGCAGTTTTGAAACACTCTTTTTGTAAAATCTGCAAGAGGATATTTGGATAGCTTTGAGGATTTCTTTGGAAACTGGATTGTCTTCATATAAACTCTAGACAGAAGCATTCTCAGAAGCTTCATTGGGATGTTTCAATTGAAGTCACAGTGTTGAACAGTCCCTTTCATAGAGCAGGTTTGAAACACTCTTTTTGTAGTATCTGGATGTGGACATTTGGAGCGCTTTCAGGCCTATGGTGAAAAAGGAAATATCTTCCCCTGAAAACTAGACAGAAGCATTCTCAGAAACTTATTTGTGATGTGCGCCCTCAACTAACAGTGTTGAAGCTTTCTTTTGATAGAGCAGTTTTGAAACACTCTTTTTGTGGAATCTGCAAGTGGATATTTGTCTAGCTTTGAGGATTTCGTTGGAAACGGGATTACATATAAAAAGCAGACAGCAGCATTCCCAGAATCTTGTTTGTGATGTTTGCATTCAAGTCACAGAGTTGAACATTCCCTTTCAGAGAGCAGGTTTGAAACACTCTTTTTATAGTATCTGGATGTGGACATTTGGAGCGCTTTCAGGCCTATGGTGAAAAAGGAAATATCTTCTCCTGAAAACTAGACAGAAGCATTCTCAGAATCTTATTTTTGATGTGCGCCCTCAACTAACAGTGTTGAAGCTTTCTTTTGATAGAGCAGTTTTGAAACACTCTTTTCGTAAAATCTGCAAGAGGATATTTGGATAGCTTTGAGGATTTCGTTGGAAACGGGATTGTCTTCATATAAACTCTAGACAGAAGCATTCTCAGAAGCTTCATTGGGATGTTTCAATTGAAGTCACAGTGTTGAACAGTCCCTTTCATAGAGCAGGTTTGAAACACTCTTTTTGTAGTATCTGGATGTGGACATTTGGAGCGCTTTCAGGCCTATGGTTTAAAAGGAAATATCTTCCCCTGAAAACTAGACAGAAGCATTCTCAGAAACTTATTTGTGATGTGCGCCCTCAACTAACAGTGTTGAAGCATTCTTTTGATAGAGCAGTTTTGAAATACTCTTTTTGTGGAATCTGCAAGTAGATATTTGTCTAGCTTTGAGGATTTCGTTGGAAACGGGATTACATATAAAAAGCAGACAGCAGCATTCCCACAAACTTCTTTGTGATGTTTGCATTCAAGTCACAGAGTTAAACATTCCCTTTCATAGAGCAGGTTTGAAACACTCTTTTTGTAGTATCTGGATGTGGACATTTGGAGCGCTTTCAGGCCTATGGTGAAAAAGGAAATATCTTCCCCTGAAAACTAGACAGACAAGCATTCTCAGCAATCTTATTTGTGATGTGCGCCCTCAACTAACAATGTTGAAGCTTTCTTTTGATAGAGCAGTTTTGAAACACTCTTTTTGTAAAATCTGCAAGAGGATATTTGGATGGCTTTGAGGATTTCTTTGGAAACGGGATTGTCTTCATATAAACTCTAGACAGAAGCATTCTCAGAAGCGTCATTGGGATGTTTCAATTGAAGTCACAGTGTTGAACATTCCCTTTCATAGAGCAGGTTTGAAACACTCTTTTTGTAGTATCTGGATGTGGACATTTGGAGCGCTTTCAGGCCTATGGTTTAAAAGGAAGTATCTTCCCCTGAAAACTAGACAGAAGCATTCTCAGAAACTTATTTGTGATGTGCGCCCTCAACTAACAGTGTTGAAGCTTTCTTTTGATAGAGCAGTTTTGAAACACTCTTTTTGTGGAATCTGCAAGTGGATATTTGTCTAGCTTTGAGGATTTCGTTGGAAACGGGATTACATATAAAAAGCAGACAGCAGCATTCCCAGTAACTTCTTTGTGATGTTTGCATTCAAGTCACAGAGTTGAACATTCCCTTTCATAGAGCAGGTTTGAAACACTCTTTTTGCAGTATCTGGATGTGGACATTTGGAGCGCTTTCAGGCCTATGGTGAAAAAGGAAATATCTTCCCCTGAAAACTAGACAGAAGCATTCTCAGAAACTTATTTGTGATGTGCGCCCTCAACTAACAGTGTTGAAGCTTTCTTTTGATAGAGCAGTTTTGAAACACTCTTTTTGTAATATCTGCAAGAGGATATTTGGATAGCTTTGAGGATTTCGTTGGAAACGGGATTGTCTTCATATAAACTCTAGGCAGAAGCATTCTCAGAAGCTTCATTGGGATGTTTCAATTGAAGTCACAGTGTTGAACAGTCCCTTTCATAGAGCAGGTTTGAAACACTCTTTTTGTAGTATCTGGAAGTGGACATTTGGAACGCTCTCAGGACTGCGGTGAAAAAGGAAATATCTTCCAATAAAAGCTAGATAGAAGCAATGTCAGAAACTTTTTCATGATGTATCTACTCAGCTAACAGAGTTGAACCTTTCTTTTGAGAGAGCAGTTTTGAAACACTCTTTTTGTGGAATCTGCAAGTGGATATTAGTTTAGCTTTGAGGATTTCGTTGGAAACGGGATTACATATAAAAAGCAGACAGCAGCATTCCCAGTAACTTCTTTGTGATGTTTGCATTCAAGTCACAGAGTTGAACATTCCCTTTCATAGAGCAGGTTTGAAACACTTTTTTTGTAGTATCTGGATGTGGATATTTGGAGCGCTTTCAGGCCTATGGTGAAAAAGGAAATATCTTCCAATAAAAGCTACATAGAAGCAATGTCAGAAACTTTTTCATGATGTATCTACTCAGCTAACAGAGTTGAACCTTTCTTTTGAGAGAGCAGTTTTGAAACACTCTTTTTGTGTAATCTGAAAGTGGATATTTGTCTAGCTTTGAGGATTTCGTTGGAAACGGGATTACATATAAAAAGCAGACAGCAGCATTCCCAGTAACTTCTTTGTGATGTTTGCATTCAAGTCACAGAGTTGAACATTCCCTTTCATAGAGCAGGTTTGAAACACTCTTTTTGTAGTATCTGGATGTGGACATTTGGAGCGCTTTCAGGCCTATGGTGAAAAAGGAAATATCTTCCCCTAAAAACTAGACAGAAGCATTCTCAGAATCTTATTTGTGATGTGCGCCCTCAACTAACAGTGTTGAAGCTTTCTTTTGATAGAGCAGTTTTGAAACACTCTTTTTGTAAAATCTGCAAGAGGATATTTGGATAGCTTTGAGGATTTCGTTGGAAACGGGATTGTCTTCATAAAAACTCTAGACAGAAGCATTCTCAGAAGCTTCATTGGGATGTTTCAATTGAAGTCACGGTGTTGAACAGTCCCTTTCATAGAGCAGGTTTGAAACACTCTTTTTGTAGTATCTGGAAGTGGACATTTCGAGCAGTCCTCAGGACTACGGTGAAAAGGGAATTATCTTCCAATAAAAGCTAGATAGAAGCAATGTCAGAAAATTTTTCATGATGTATCTACTCAGCTAAAAGAGTTGAACCTTTCTTTTGAGAGAGCAGTTTTGAAACACTCTTTTTGTGGAATCTGCAAGTGGATATTTGTCTAGCTTTGAGGATTGCGTTGGAAACGGGATTACATATAAAAAGCAGACAGCAGCATTCCCAGAAACTTCTTTGTGATGTTTGCATTCAAGTCACAGAGTTGAACATTCCCTTTCATAGAGCAGGTTTGAAACACTCTTTTTGTAGTATCTGGATGCGGACATTTGGAGCGCTTTCAGGCCTATGGTGAAAAAGGAAATATCTTCCCCTGAAAACTAGACAGAAGCATTCTCAGAAACTTATTTGTGATGTGCGCCCTCAACTAACAGTGTTGAACTTTTCTTTTGATAGAGCAGTTTTGAAACACTCTTTTTGAAAAATCTGCAAGAGGATATTTGGATAGCTTTGAGGATTTCGTTGGAAACGGGATTGTCTTCATATAAAATCTAGACAGAAGCATTCTCAGAAGCTTCATTGGTATGTTTCAATTGAAGTCACAGTGTTGAACAGTCCCTTTCATAGAGCATGTTTGAAACAATCTTTTTGTAGTATCTGGAAGTGGACATTTGGAGCGTTCTCAGGACTACGGTGAAAAAGGAAATATCTTCCAAATAAAGCTAGATAGAAGCAATGTCAGAAACTTTTTCATGATGTATCTACTCAGCTAAAAGAGTTGAACCTTTCTTTTGAGAGAGCAGTTTTGAAACACTCTTTTTGTGGAGTCTGCAAGTGGATATTTGTCTAGCTTTGAGGATTTCTTTGGAAACGGGATTACATATAAAAAGCAGACAGCAGCATTCCCAGAAACATCTTTGTGATGTTTGCATTCAAGTCACAGAGCTGAACATTCCCTTTCATAGAGCAGGTTTGAAACACTCTTTTTGTAGTATCTGGATGTGGACATTTGGAGCGCTTTCAGGCCTATGGTGAAAAAGGAAATATCTTCCCCTGAAAACTAGACAGAAGCATTCTCAGAATCTTATTTGTGATGTGCGCCCTCAACTAACAGTGTTGAAGCTTTCTTTTGATAGAGCAGTTTTGAAACACTCTTTTTGTAAAATCTGCAAGAGGATATTTGGATAGCTTTGAGGATTTCGTTGGAAACGGGATTGTCTTCATATAAACTCTAGACAGAAGCATTCTCAGAAGCTTCATTGGGATGTTTCAATTGAAGTCACAGTGTTGAACAGTCCCTTTCATAGAGCAGGTTTGAAACACTCTTTTTGTAGTATCTGGAAGTGGACATTTGGAGAGATCTCAGGACTACGGTGAAAAAGGAAATATCTTCCAATAAAAGCTAGATAGAAGCAATGTCAGGAAACATTTTCATGATGTATCTACTCAGCTAACAGAGTTGAACCTTTCTTTTGAGAGAGCAGTTTTGAAACACTCTTTTTGTGGAATCTGCAAGTGGATATTTGTCTAGCTTTGAGGATTTCGTTGGAAACGGGATTACATATAAAAAGCAGACAGCAGCATTCCCAGAAACTTCTTTGTGAAGTTTGCATTCAAGTCACAGTGTTGAACATTCCCTTTCATAGAGCAGGTTTGAAACACTCTTTTTGTAGTATCTGTATGTGGACATTTGGAGCGCTTTCAGGCCTATGGTGAAAAAGGAAATATCTTCCCCTGAAAACTAGACAGAAGCATTCTCAGAATCTTATTTGTGATGTGCGCCCTCAACTAACAGTGTTGAACCTTTCTTTTGATAGAGCAGTTTTGAAACACTCTTTTTCTAAAATCTGCAAGAGGATATTTGGATAGCTTTGAAGATTTCGTTGGAAACGGGATTGTCTTCATATAAACTCTAGACAGAAGCATTCTCAGAAGCTTCATTGGGATGTTTCAATTGAAGTCACAGTGTTGAACAGTCCCTTTCATAGAGGAGGTTTGAAACACTCTTTATGTAGTATCTGGAAGTGGACATTTGGAGTGATCTCAGGAATACGGTGATAAAGGAAATATCTTCCAATAAAAGCTAGATAGAAGCAATGTCAGAAACTTTTTCATGATGTATCTACTCAGCTAACAGAGTTGAACCTTTCCTTTGAGGGAGCAGTTTTGAAACACTCTTGTTGTGGAATCTGCAAGTGGATATTTTTCTAGCTTTGAGGATTGCGTTGGAAACGGGATTACATATAAAAAGCAGACAGCAGCATTCCCAGTAACTTCTTTGTGATGTTTGCATTCAAGTCACAGAGTTGAACATTCCCTTTCATAGAGCAGGTTTGAAACACTCTTTTTGTAGTATCTGGATGTGGACATTTGGAGCGCTTTCAGGCCTATGGTGAAAAAGGAAATATCTTCCCCTGAAAACTAGACAGAAGAATTCTCAGAATCTTATTTGTGATGTGCGCCCTCAACTAACAGTGTTGAAGCTTTCTTTTGATAGAGCAGTTTTGAAACACTCTTTTTGTAAAATCTGCAAGAGGATATTTGGATAGCTTTGAGGATTTCGTTGGAAACGGGATTGTCTTCATATAAACTCTAGACAGAAGCATTCTCAGAAGCGTCATTGGGATGTTTCAATTGAAGTCACAGTGTTGAACAGTCCCTTTCATAGAGCAGGTTTGAAACACTCTTTTTGTAGTATCTGGATGTGGACATTTGGAGCGCTTTCAGGCCTATGGTTTAAAAGGAAATATCTTCCCCTGAAAACTAGACAGAAGCATTCTCAGAAACTTATTTGTGATGTGCGCCTTCAACTAACAGTGTTGAAGCATTCTTTTGATAGAGCAGTTTTGAAACACTCTTTTTGTGGAATCTGCAAGTGGATATTTGTCTAGCTTTGAGGATTTCGTTGGAAACGGGATTACATATAAAAAGCAGACAGCAGCATTCCCAGAAATTTCTTTGTGATGTTTGCATTCAAGTCACAGAGTTGAACATTCCCTTTCAGAGAGCAGGTTTGAAACACTCTTTTTGTAGTATCTGGATGTGGACATTTGGAGCGCTTTCAGCCCTATGGTGAAAAAGGAAATATCTTCCCCTGAAAACTAGACAGAAGCATTCTCAGAATCTTATTTGTGATGTGCGCCCTCAACTAACAGTGTTGAAGCTTTCTTTTGATAGAGCAGTTTTGAAACACTCTTTTTGTAAAATCTGCAAGAGGATATTTGGATAGCTTTGAGGATTTCGTTGGAAACGGGATTGTCTTCATATAAACTCTAGACAGAAGCATTCTCAGAAGCTTCATTGGGATGTTTCAATTGAAGTCACAGTGTTGAACAGTCCCTTTCATAGAGCAGGTTTGAAACACTCTTTTTGTAGTATCTGGAAGTGGACATTTGGAGCGCTCTCAGGACTACGGTGAAAAAGGAAATATCTTCCAATAAAAGCTACATAGAAGCAATGTCAGAAACTTTTTCATGATGTATCTACTCAGCTAACAGAGTTGAACCTTTCTTTTGAGAGAGCAGTTTTGAAACACTCTGTTTGTGGAATCTGCAAGTGGATATTTGTCTAGCTTTGAGGATTTCGTTGGAAACAGGATTACATATAAAAGGCAGACAGCAGCATTCCCAGAAACTTCTTTGTGATGTTTGCATTCAAGTCACAGTGTTGAACATTCCCTTTCATAGAGCAGGTTTGAAACACTCTTTTTGTAGTATCTGGATGTGGACATTTGGAGCGCTTTCAGGCCTATGGTGAAAAAGGAAATATCTTCCCCTGAAAACTAGACAGAAGCATTCTCAGAAACTTATTTGTGATGTGCGCCCTCAACTAACAGTGTTGAAGCTTTCTTTTGATAGAGCAGTTTTCAAACACTCTTTTTGTAAAATCTGCAAGAGGATATTTGGATAGCTTTGAGGATTTCGTTGGAAACGGGATTGTCTTCATATAAACTCTAGACAGAAGCATTCTCAGAAGCTTCATTGGGATGTTTCAATTGAAGTCACAGTGTTGAACAGTCCCTTTCATAGAGCAGGTTTGAAACACTCTTTTTGTAGTATCTGGAAGTGGACATTTGGAGAGATCTCAGGAATACGGTGATAAAGGAAATATCTTCCAATAAAAGCTAGATAGAAGCAATGTCAGAAACTTTTTCATGATGTATCTACTCAGCTAACAGAGTTGAACCTTTCTTTTGAGAGAGCAGTTTTGAAACACTCTTTTTGTGGAATCTGGAAGTGGATATTTGTCTAGGTTTGAGGATTTCGTTGGAAACGGGATTACATATAAAAAGCAGACAGCCAGCATTCCCAGAAACTTCTTTGTGATGTTTGCATTCAAGTCACAGAGTTGAACATTCCCTTTCATAGAGCAGGTTTGAAACACTCTTTTTGTAGTATCTGGATGTGGACATTTGGAGCGCTTTCAGGCCTATGGTGAAAAAGGAAATATCTTCCCCTGAAAACTAGACAGAGCATTCTCAGAAACTTATTTGTGATGTGCGCCCTCAACTAACAGTGTTGAAGCTTTCTTTTGATAGAGCAGTTTTGAAACACTCTTTTTGTAATATCTGCAAGAGGATATTTGGATAGCTTTGAGGATTTCGTTGGAAACGGGATTGTCTTCATATAAACTCTAGACAGAAGCATTCTCAGAAGCTTCATTGGGATGTTTCAATTGAAGTCACAGTGTTGAACATTCCCTTTCATAGAGCAGGTTTGAAACACTCTTTTTGTAGTATCTGGAAGTGGACATTTGGAGCGTTCTCAGGACTACGGTGAAAAAGGAAATATCTTCCAATAAAAGCTAGATAGAAGCAATGTCAGAAACTTTTTCATGATGTATCTACTCAGCTAACAGAGTTGAACATTTTTTTTGAGAGAGCAGTTTTGAAACACGCTTTTTGAGGAATCTACAGGTGGATATTTGTCTAGCTTTGAGGATTTCGTTGGAAACGGGATTACATATAAAAAGCAGACAGCAGCATTCCCAGAAACTTCTTTGTGATGTTTGCATTCAAGTCACACAGTTGAACATTCCCTTTCATAGAGCAGGTTTGAAACACCCTTTTTTAGTATCTGGATGTGGACATTTGGAGCACTTTCAGGCCTATGGTGAAAAAGGAAATATCTTCCCCTGAAAACTAGACAGAAGCATTCTCAGAATCTTATTTGTGATGTGCGCCCTCAACTAACAGTGTTGAAGCTTTCTTTTCATAGAGCAGTTTTGAAACACTCTTTTTGTAAAATCTGCAAGAGGATATTTGGATAGCTTTGAGGATTTCGTTGGAAACGGGATTGTCTTCATATAAACTCTAGACAGAAGCATTCTCAGAAGCTTCATTGGGATGTTTCAATTGAAGTCACAGTGTTGAACAGTCCCTTTCATAGAGCAGGTTTGAAACACTCTTTTTGAAGTATCTGGATGTGGACATTTGGAGCGCTTTCAGGCCTATGGTTTAAAAGGAAATATCTTCCCCTGAAAACTAGACAGAAGCATTCTCAGAAACTTATTTGTGATGTGCCCCCTCAACTAACAGTGTTGAAGCTTTCTTTTGATAGAGCAGTTTTGAAACACTCTTTTTGTGGTATCTGCAAGTGGATATTTGTCTAGCTTTGAGGATTTCGTTGGAAACGGGATTACATATAAGAAGCAGACAGCAGCATTCTCAGAAACTTATTTGTGATGTGCGCCCTCAACTAACAGTGTTGAAGCTTTCTTTTGATAGAGCAGTTTTGAAACACTCTTTTTGTAATATCTGCAAGAGGATATTTGGATAGCTTTGAGGATTTCGTTGGAAACGGGATTAATTATACAAAGCAGACAGCAGCATTCTCAGAAGCTTCATTGGGATGTTTCAATTGAAGTCACAGTGTTGAAAAGTCCCTTTCATAGAGCAGGTTTGAAACACTCTTTTTATAGTAGCTGGAAGTGGACATTTGGAGAGATCTCAGGAATAGAGTGATAAAGGAAATATCTTCCAATAAAAGCTAGATAGAAGCAATGTCAGAAAGTTTTTCATGATGTATCTACTCAGCTAACAGAGTTGAACCTTTCTTTTGAGAGAGCAGTTTTGAAACACTCTTTTTGTGGAATCTGCAAGTGGATATTTGTCTAGCTTTGAGGATTGCGTTGGAAACGGGATTACATATAAAAAGCAGACAGCAGCATTCCCAGAAACTTCTTTGTGATGTTTGCATTCAAGTCACAGAGTTGAACATTCCCTTTCATAGAGCAGGTTTGAAACACTCTTTTTGTAGTATCTGGATGTGGACATTTGGAGTGCTTTCAAGCCTATGGTGAAAAAGGAAATATCTTCCCCTGAAAACTAGACAGAAGCATTCTCAGAAACTTATTTGTGATGTGCGCCCTCAACTAACAGTGTTGAACCTTTCTTTTGATAGAGCAGTTTTGAAACACTCTTTTTGTAATATCTGCAAGAGGATATTTGGATAGCTTTGAGGATTTCGTTGGAAACGGGATTGTCTTCATATAAAATCTAGACAGAAGCATTCTCAGAAGCTTCATTGGGATGTTTCAATTGAAGTCACAGTGTTGAACAGTCCCTTTCATAGAGCAGGTTTGAAACACTCTTTTTGTAGTATCTGGAAGTGGACATTTGTAGAGATCTCAGGAATACGGTGATAAAGGAAATATCTTCCAATAAAAGCTAGATAGAAGCAATGTCAGAAACTTTTTCATGATGTATCTACTCAGCTAACAAAGTTGAACCTTCATTTGAGAGAGCAGTTTTGAAACACTCGTTTTGTGGAATCTGCAAGTGGATATTTGTCTAGCTTTGAGGATTTCGTTGGAAACGGGATTACATATAAAAAGCAGACAGCAGCATTCCCAGAAACTTCTTTGTGATGTTTGCATTCAAGTCACAGAGTTGAACATTCCCTTTCATAGAGCAGGTTTGAAACACTCTTTTTGTAGTATCTGGAAGTGGACATTTGGAGAGATCTCAGGAATACGGTGATAAAGGAAATATCTTCCAATAAAAGCTAGATAGAAGCAATCTCAGAAAATTTTTCATGATGTATCTACTCAGCTAACAGAGTTGCACCTTTCTTTTGAGAGAGCAGTTTTGAAACACTCTTTTTGTGGAATCTGCAAGTGGATATTTGTCTAGCTTTGAGGATTGCGTTGGAAACGGGATTACATATAAAAAGCAGACAGCAGCATTCCCAGTAACTTCTTTGTGATGTTTGCATTCAAGTCACAGAGTTGAACATTCCCTTTCATAGAGCAGGTTTGAAACACTTTTTTTGTAGTATCTGGATGTGGACATTTGGAGCGCTTTCAGGCCTATGGTGAAAAAGGAAATATCTTCCAATAAAAGCTACATAAAAGCAATGTCAGAAACTTTTTCATGATGTATCTACTCAGCTAACAGAGTTGAACCTTTCTTTTGAGAGAGCACTTTTGAAACACTCTTTTTGTGGAATCTGGAAGTGGATATTTGTCTAGTTTTGAGGATTTCGTTGGAAACGGGATTACATATAAAAAGCAGACAGCAGCATTCCCAGTAACTTCTTTGTGACGTTTGCATTCAAGTCACAGAGTTGAACATTCCCTTTCATAGAGCAGGTTTGAAACACTCTTTTTGTAGTATCTGGATGTGGACATTTGCAGCGCTTTCAGGCCTATGGTGAAAAAGGAAATATCTTCCCCTGAAAACTAGACAGAAGCATTCTCAGAAACTTATTTGTGATGTGCGCCCTCAACTAACAGTGTTGAAGCTTTCTTTTGATAGAGCAGTTTTGAAACACTCTTTTTGTAAAATCTGCAAGAGGATATTTGGATAGCTTTGAGGATTTCGTTGGAAACGGGATTGTCTTCATATAAACTCTAGACAGAAGCATTCTCAGAAGCTTCATTGGGATGTTTCAATTGAAGTCACAGTGTTGAACAGTCCCTTTCATAGAGCAGGTTTGAAACACTCTTTTTGTAGTATCTGGAAGTGGACATTTGGAGTTCTCTCAGGACTGCGGTGAAAAAGGAAATATCTTCCAATAAAAGCTAGATAGAAGCAATGTCAGAAACTTTTTCATGATGTATCTACTCAGCTAACAGAGTAGAACCTTCCTTTGAGAGAGCAGTTTTGAAACACTCTTTTTGTGGAATCTGCAAGTGGATATTTGTCTAGCTTTGAGGATTTCGTTGGAAACGGGATTACATATAAAAAGCAGACAGCAGCATTCCCAGAAACTTCTTTGTGAAGTTTGCATTCAAGTCACAGAGTTGAACATTCCCTTTCATAGAGCAGGTTTGAAACACTCTTTTTGTAGTATCTGTATGTGGACATTTGGAGCGCTTTCAGGCCTATGGTGAAAAAGGAAATATCTTCCCCTGAAAACTAGACAGAAGCATTCTCAGAAACTTATTTGTGATGTGCGCCCTCAACTAACAGTGTTGAACCTTTCTTTTGATAGAGCAGTTTTGAAACACTCTTTTTGTAATATCTGCAAGAGGATATTTGGATAGCTTTGAGGATTTCGTTGGAAACGGGATTACATATAAAAAGCAGACAGCAGCATTCCCAGAATCTTGTTTGTGATGTTTGCATTCAAGTCACAGAGTTGAACATTCCCTTTCAGAGAGCAGGTTTGAAACACTCTTTTTATAGTATCTGGATGTGGACATTTGGAGCGCTTTCAGGCCTATGGTGAAAAAGGAAATATCTTCTCCTGAAAACTAGACAGAAGCATTCTCAGAATCTTATTTGTGATGTGCGCCCTCAACTAACAGTGTTGAAGCTTTGTTTTGATAGAGCAGTTTTGAGACACACTTTTCGTAAAATCTGCAAGAGGATATTTTGATAGCTTTGAGGATTTCGTTGAAAACGGGATTGTCTTCATATAAACTCTAGACAGAAGCATTCTCAGAAGCTTCATTGGGATGTTTCAATTGAAGTCACAGTGTTGAACAGTCCCTTTCATAGAGCAGGTTTGAAACACTCTTTTTGTAGTATCTGGAAGTGGACATTTGGAGAGATCTCAGGAATACGGTGATAAAGGAAATATCTTCCAATAAAAGCTAGATAGAAGCAATGTCAGAAACTTTTTCATGATGTATCTACTCAGCTAACAGAGTTGAACCTTTCTTTTGAGAGAGCAGTTTTGAAACACTCTTTTTGTGTAATCTGAAAGTGGATATTTGTCTAGCTTTGAGGATTTCGTTGGAAACGGGATTACATATAAAAAGCAGACAGCAGCATTCCCAGTAACTTCTTTGTGATGTTTCCATTCAAGTCAGAGAGTTGAACATTCCCTTTCATAGAGCAGGTTTGAAACACTCTTTTTGAAGTATCTGGATGTGGACATTTGGAGCGCTTTCAGGCCTATGGTGAAAAAGGAAATATCTTCCCCTGAAAACTAGACAGAGGCATTCTCAGAATCTTATTTGCGATGTGCACCCTCAACTAACAGTGTTGAAGCTTTCTTTTGCTAGAGCAGTTTTTAAACACTCTTTTTGTAAAATCTGCAAGACGATATTTGGATAGCTTTGAGGATTTCGTTGGAAACGGGAATGTCTTCATATAAACTCTAGACAGAAGCATTCTCAGAAGCTTCATTGGGATGTTTCAATTGAAGTCACAGTGTTGAACAGTCCCTTTCATAGAGCAGGTTTGAAACACTCTTTTTGTAGTATCTGGAAGTGGACATTTGGAGCGCTCTCAGGACTGCGGTGAAAAAGGAAATATCTTCCAATAAAAGCTAGATAGAAGCAATGTCAGAAACTTTTTCATGATGTATCTACTCAGCTAACAGAGTTGAACCTTTCCTTTGAGAGAGCAGTTTTGAAACACTCTTTTTGTGGAATCTGCAAGTGGATATTTGTCTAGCTTTGAGGATTTCGTTGGAAACGGGATTACATATAAAAAGCAGACAGCAGCATTCCCAGAAACTTCTTTGTGATATTTGCATTCAAGTCACAGACTTGAACATTCCCTTTCATAGAGCAGGTTTGAAACACTCTTTTTGTAGTATCTGGATGTGGACATTTGGAGCGCTTTCAGGCCTATGGTGAAAAAGGAAATATCTTCCCCTGAAAACTAGACAGAAGCATTCTCAGAAACGTATTTGTGATGTGCGCCCTCAACTAACAGTGTTGAAGCTTTCTTTTGATAGAGCAGTTTTGAAACACTCTTTTTGTAAAATCTGCAAGAGGATATTTGGATAGCTTTGAGGATTTCGTTGGAAACGGGATTGTCTTCATATACAATCTAGACAGAAGCATTCTCAGAAGCTTCATTGGGATGTTTCAATTGAAGTCACAGTGTTGAACAGTCCCTTTCGTAGAGCAGGTTTGAAACACTCTTTTTGTAATATCTGGAAGTGGAGATTTGGAGCGCTCTCAGGACTACGGTGAAAAAGGAAATATCTTCCAATAAAAGCTAGATAGAAGCAATGTCAGAAACTTTTTCATGACGTATCTACTCAGCTAACAGAGTTGAACCTTTTTTTTGAGAGAGCAGTTTTGAAACACTCTTTTTGTTGGATCTGCAGGTGGATATTTGTATAGCTTTGAGGATTTCGTTGGAAACGGGATTACATATAAAAAGCAGACAGCAAGCATTCCCAGTAACTTCTTTGTGATGTTTGCATTCAAGTCACAGAGTTGAACATTCCCTTTCATAGAGGAGGTTTGAAACACTCTTTTTGTAGTATCTGGATGTGGACATTTGGAGCGCTTTCAGGCCTATGGTGAAAAAGGAAATATCTTCCCCAGAAAACTAGACAGAAGCTTTCTCAGAATCTTATTTGTGATGTGCGCCCTCAACTAACAGTGTTGAAGCTTTCTTTTGATAGAGCAGTTTTGAAACACTCTTTTCGTAAAATCTGCAAGAGGATATTTTGATAGCTTTGAGGATTTCGTTGGAAACGGGATTGTCTTCATATAAACTCTAGACAGAAGCATTCTCAGAAGCTTCATTGGGAAGTTTCAATTGAAGTCACAGTGTTGAACAGTTCCTTTCATAGAACAGGTTTCAAACACTCTTTTTGTAGTATCTGGAAGTGGACATTTGGAGCGCTCTCAGGACTGCGGTGAAAAAGGAAATATCTTCCAATAAAAGCTAGATAGAAGCAATGTCAGAAACTTTTTCATGATGTATCTACTCAGCTAACAGAGTTGAACCTTCATTTGAGAGAGCAGTTTTGAAACACTCGTTTTGTGGAATCTGCAAGTGGATATTTGTCTAGCTTTGAGGATTTCGTTGGAAACGGGATTACATATAAAAAGCAGACAGCAGCATTCCCAGAAACTTCTTTGTGATGTTTGCATTCAAGTCACAGAGTTGAACATTCCCTTTCATAGAGCAGGTTTGAAACACTCTTTTTGTAGTATCTGGATGTGGACTTTTGCAGCGCTTTCAGGCCTAAGGTGAAAAAGGAAATATCTTCCCCTGAAAACTAGACAGAAGCATTCTCAGAAACTTATTTGTGATGTGCGCCCTCAACTAACGGTGTTGAACCTTTCTTTTGATAGAGCAGTTTTGAAACACTCTTTTTGTAATATCTGCAAGAGGATATTTGGATAGCTTTGATGATTTCGTTGGAAACGGGATTAATTATAAAAAGCCGACAGCAGCATTCCCAGAATCTTGTTTGTGATATTTGCATTCAAGTCACAGAGTTGAACATTCCCTTTCAGAGAGCAGGTTTGAAACACTCTTTTTATAGTATCTGGATGTGGACATTTGGAGCGCTTTCAGGCCTATGGTGAAAAAGGAAATATCTTCTCCTGAAAACTAGACAGAAGCTTTCTCAGAATCTTATTTGTGATGTGCGCCCTCAACTAACAGTGTTGAAGCTTTCTTTTGATAGAGCAGTTTTGAAACACTCTTTTCGTAAAATCTGCAAGAGGATATTTTGATAGCTTTGAGGATTTCGTTGGAAACGGGATTGTCTTCATATAAACTCTAGACAGAAGCATTCTCAGAAGCTTCATTGGGAAGTTTCAATTGAAGTCACAGTGTTGAACAGTTCCTTTCATAGAACAGGTTTCAAACACTCTTTTTGTAGTATCTGGAAGTGGACATTTGGAGCGCTCTCAGGACTGCGGTGAAAAAGGAAATATCTTCCAATAAAAGCTAGATAGAAGCAATGTCAGAAACTTTTTCATGATGTATCTACTCAGCTAACAGAGTTGAACCTTTCCTTTGAGAGAGCAGTTTTGAAACACTCTTTTTGTGGAATCTGCAAGTGGATATTTGTCTAGCTTTGAGGATTTCTTTGGAAACGGGATTACATATAAAAAGCAGACAGCAGCATTCCCAGAAACTTCTTTGTGATATTTGCATTCAAGTCACAGACTTGAACTTTCCCTTCCATAGAGCGGGTTTGAAACACTCTTTTTGTAGTATCTGGATGTGGACATTTGGAGCGCTTTCAGGCCTATGGTGAAAAAGGAAATATCTTCCCCTGAAAGCTAGACAGAAGCATTCTCAGAATCTTATTTGTGATGTGCGCCCTCAACTAACAGTGTTGAAGCTTTCTTTTGATAGAGCAGTTTTGAAACACTCTTTTTGTAAAATCTGCAAGAGGATATTTGGATAGCTTTGAGGATTTCGTTGGAAACGGGATTGTCTTCATATAAACTCTAGACAGAAGCATTCTCAGAAGCTTCATTGGGATGTTTCAATTGAAGTCACAGTGTTGAACAGTCCCTTTCATAGAGCAGGTTTGAAACACTCTTTTTGTAGTATCTGGAAGTGGACATTTGGAGAGATCTCAGGAATACGGTGATAAAGGAAATATCTTCCAATAAAAGCTAGATAGAAGCAATGTCAGAAACTTTTTCATGACGTATCTACTCAGCTAACAGAGTTGAACCTTTCTTTTGAGAGAGCAGTTTTGAAACACTCTTTTTGTGGAATCTGCAAGTGGATATTTGTCTAGCTTTGAGGATTTCGTTTGAAACGGGATTACATATAAAAAGCAGACAGCAGCATTCCCAGAAACTTCTTTGTGAAGTTTGCATTGAAGTCACAGAGTTGAACATTCCCTTTCATAGAGCAGGTTTGAAACACTCTTTTTGTAGTATCTGTATGTGGACATTTGGAGCGCTTTCAGGCCTATGGTGAAAAAGGAAATATCTTCCCCTGAAAACTAGACAGAAGCATTCTCAGAAACTTATTTGTGATGTGCGCCCTCAACTAACAGTGTTGAAGCTTTCTTTTGATAGAGCAGTTTTGAAACACTCTTTTTGTAATATCTGCAAGAGGATATTTGGATAGCTTTGAGGATTTCGTTGGAAACGGGATTGTCTTCATATAAACTCTAGGCAGAAGCATTCTCAGAAGCTTCATTGGGATGTTTCAATTGAAGTCACAGTGTTGAACAGTCCCTTTCATAGAGCAGGTTTGAAACACTCTTTTTGTAGTATCTGGAAGTGGACATTTGGAACGCTCTCAGGACTGCGGTGAAAAAGGAAATATCTTCCAATAAAAGCTAGATAGAAGCAATGTCAGAAACTTTTTCATGATGTATCTACTCAGCTAACAGAGTTGAACCTTCCTTTGAGAGAGCAGTTTTGAAACACTCGTTTTGTGGAATCTGCAAGTGGATATTTGTCTAGCTTTGAGGATTTCGTTGGAAACGGGATTACATATAAAAAGCAGACAGCAGCATTCCCAGAAACTTCTTTGTGATGTTTGCATTCAAGTCACAGAGTTGAACATTCCCTTTCATAGAGCAGGTTTGAAACACTCTTTTTGTAGTATCTGGATGTGGACATTTGCAGCGCTTTCAGGCCTAAGGTGAAAAAGGAAATATCTTCCCCTGAAAACTAGACAGAAGCATTCTCAGAAACTTATTTGTGATGTGCGCCCTCAACTAACAGTGTTGAAGCTTTCTTTTGATAGAGCAGTTTTGAAACACTCTTTTTGTAATATCTGCAAGAGGATATTTGGATAGCTTTGAGGATTTCGTTGGAAACGGGATTGTCTTCATATAAACTCTAGACAGAAGCATTCTCAGAAGCTTCATTGGGATGTTTCAATTGAAGTCACAGTGTTGAACAGTTCCTTTCATAGAACAGGTTTGAAACACTCTTTTTGTAGTATCTGGAAGTGGACATTTGGAGCGCTCTCAGGACTATGGTGAAAAAGGAAATATCTTCCAATAAAAGCTACATAGAAGCAATGTCAGAAACTTTTTCATGATGTATCTACTCAGCTAACAGAGTTGAACCTTTCTTTTGATAGAGCAGTTTTGAAACACTCTTTTTGTAATATCTGCAAGAGGATATTTGGATAGCTTTGAGGATTTCGTTGGAAACGGGATTACATATAAAAAGCAGACAGCAGCATTCCCAGAATCTTGTTTGCGATGTTTGCATTCAAGTCACAGAGTTGAACATTCCCTTTCAGAGAGCAGGTTTGAAACACTCTTTTTATAGTATCTGGATGTGGACATTTGGAGCGCTTTCAGGCCTATGGTGAAAAAGGGAATATCTTCTCCTGTAAACTAGACAGAAGCATTCTCAGAATCTTATTTGTGATGTGCGCCCTCAACTAACAGTGTTGAAGCTTTCTTTTGATAGAGCAGTTTTGAAACACTCTTTTTGTAAAATCTGCAAGAGGATATTTGGATAGCTTTGAGGATTTCGGTGGAAACAGGATTGTCTTCATATAAACTCTAGACAGAAGCATTCTCAGAAGCTTCATTGGGATGTTTCAATTGAAGTCACAGTGTTGAACAGTCCCTTTCATAGAGCAGGTTTGAAACACTCTTTTTGTAGTATCTGGAAGTGGACATTTGGAGCGCTCTCAGGACTGCGGTGAAAAAGGAAATATCTTCCAATAAAAGCTAGATAGAAGCAATGTCAGAAACTTTTTCATGACGTATCTACTCAGCTAACAGTGTTGAACCTTTCTTTTCAGAGAGCCGTTTTGAAACACTCTTTTTGTGGAATCTGCAAGTGGATATTTGTCTAGCTTTGAGGATTTCGTTGGAAACGGGATTACTATAAAAAGCAGACAGCAGCATTCCCAGAAACTTCTTTGTGATGTTTGCATTCAAGTCACAGAGTTGAACATTCCCTTTCATAGAGCAGGTTTGAAACACTCTTTTTGTAGTATCTGGATGTGGACATTTGGAGCGCTTTCAGGCCTATGGTGAAAAAGGAAGTATCTTCCCCTGAAAACTAGAGAGAAGCATTCTGAGAATCTTATTTGTGATGTGCGCCCTCAACTAACAGTGTTGAAGCTTTCTTTTGATAGAGCAGTTTTGAAACACTCTTTTTGTAAAATCTGCAAGAGGATATTTGGATAGCTTTGAGGATTTCGTTGGAAACGGGATTGTCTTCATATAAACTCTAGACAGAAGCATTCTCAGAAGCGTCATTGGGATGTTTCAATTGAAGTCACAGTGTTGAACAGTCCCTTTCATAGAGCAGGTTTGAAACACTCTTTTTGTAGTATCTGGATGTGGACATTTGGAGCGCTTTCAGGCCTATGGTTTAAAAGGAAATATCTTCCCCTGAAAACTAGACAGAAGCATTCTCAGAAACTTATTTGTGATGTGCGCCCTCAACTAACAGTGTTGAAGCTTTCTTTTGATAGAGCAGTTTTGAAACACTCTTTTTGTGGAATCTGCAAGTGGATATTTGTCTAGCTTTGAGGATTTCGTTGGAAACGGGATTACATATAAAAAGCAGACAGCAGCGTTCCCAGAATCTTCTTTGTGATGTTTGCATTCAAGTCACAGAGTTGAACATTCCCTTTCATAGAGCAGGTTTGAAACACTCTTTTTATAGTATCTGGATGTGGACATTTGGAGCGCTTTCAGGCCTATGGTGAAAAAGGAAATATCTTCTCCTGAAAACTAGACAGAAGCATTCTCAGAATCTTATCTGTGATGTGCGCCCTCAACTAACAGTGTTGAAGCTTTCTTTTGATAGAGCAGTTCTGAAACACTCTTTTTGTAATATCTGCAAGAGGATATTTGGATAGCTTTGAGGATTTCGTTGGAAATGGGATTGTCTTCATATAAACTCTAGACAGAAGCATTCTCAGAAGCTTCATTGGGATGTTTCAATTGAAGTCACAGTGTTGAACAGTCCCTTTCATAGAGCAGGTTTGAAACACTCTTTTTGTAGTATCTGGAAGTGGACATTTGGAGAGATCTCAGGAATACGGTGATAAAGGAAATATCTTCCAATAAAAGCTAGATAGAAGCAATGTCAGAAACTTTTTCATGATGTATCTACTCAGCTAACAGAGTTGAACCTTTCTTTTGAGAGAGCAGTTTTGAAACACTCTTTTTGTGGAATCTGCAAGTGGATATTGGTCTAGCTTTGGGGATTTCGTTGGAAACGGGATTACATATAAAAAGCAGACAGCAGCATTCCCAGAAACTTCTTTGTGAAGTTTGCATTCAAGTCACAGAGTTGAACATTCCCTTTCATAGAGCAGGTTTGAAACACTCTTTTTGTAGTATCTGGATGTGGACATTTGGAGCGCTTTCAGGCCTATGGTGAAAAAGGAAATATCTTCCCCTGAAAACTAGACAGAAGCATTCTCAGAATCTTATTTGTGATGTGCGCCCTCAAATAACAGTGTTGAAGCTTTCTTTTGATAGAGCAGTTTTGAAACACTCTTTTCGTAAAATCTGCAAGAGGATATTTTGATAGCTTTGAGGATTTCGTTGGAAACGGGATTGTCTTCATATAAACTCTAGACAGAAGCATTCTCAGAAGCTTCATTGGGATGTTTCAATTGAAGTCACAGTGTTGAACAGTCCCTTTCATAGAGCAGGTTTGAAACACTCTTTTTGTAGTATCTGGATGTGGACATTTCGAGCGCTTTCAGGCCTATGGTGAAAAAGGAAATATCTTCCCCTGAAAACTAGACAGAAGCATTCTCAGAAACTTATTTGTGATGTGCGCCCTCAACTAACAGTGTTGAAGCTTTCTCTTGATAGAGCAGTTTTGAAACACTCTTTTTGTGGAATCTGCACGTGGATATTTGTCTAGCTTTGAGGATTTCGTTGGAAACGGGATTACATATAAAAAGCAGACAGCAGCATTCCCAGAAACTTCTTTGTGAAGTTTGCATTCAAGTCACAGAGTTGAACATTCCCTTTCATAGAGCAGGTTTGAAACACTCTTTTTGTAGTATCTGTATGTGGACATTTGGAGCGCTTTCAGGCCTATGGTGAAAAAGGAAATATCTTCCCCTGAAAACTAGACAGAAGCATTCTCAGAATCTTATTTGTGATGTGCGCCCTCAACTAACAGTGTTGAAGCTTTCTTTTGATAGAGCAGTTTTGAAACACTCTTTTTGTAAAATCTGCAAGAGGATATTTGGATAGCTTTGAGGATTTCGTTGGAAACGGGATTGTCTTCATATAAACTCTAGACAGAAGCATTCTCAGAAGCTTCATTGGGATGTTTCAATTGAAGTCACAGTGTTGAACAGTCCCTTTCATAGAGCAGGTTTGAAACACTCTTTTTGTAGTATCTGGAAGTGGACATTTGGAACGCTCTCAGGACTGCGGTGAAAAAGGAAATATCTTCCAATAAAAGCTAGATAGAAGCAATGTCAGAAACTTTTTCATGATGTATCTACTCAGCTAACAGAGTTGAACCTTTCTTTTGAGAGAGCAGTTTTGAAACACTCTTTTTGTAAAATCTGCAAGAGGATATTTGGATAGCTTTGAGGATTTCGTAGGAAACGGGATTGTCTTCATATAAACTCTAGACAGAAGCATTCCCAGAAACTTCTTTGTGATGTTTGCATTCAAGTCACAGAGTTGAACATTCCCTTTCATAGAGCAGGTTTGAAACACTCTTTTTGTAGTATCTGTATGTGGACATTTGGAGCGCTTTCAGGCCTATGGTGAAAAAGGAAATATCTTCCCCTGAAAACTAGACAGAAGCATTCTCAGAAACTTATTTGTGATGTGCGCCCTCAACTAACAGTGTTGAACCTTTCTTTTGATAGAGCAGTTTTGAAACACTCTTTTTGTAATATCTGCAAGAGGATATTTGGATAGCTTTGAGGATTTCGTTGGAAACGGGATTGTCTTCATATAAACTCTAGACAGAAGCATTCTCAGAAGCTTCATTGGGATGTTTCAATTGAAGTCACAGTGTTGAACAGTCCCTTTCATACAGCAGGTTTGAAACACTCTTTTTGTAGTATCTGGAAGTGGATATTTGGAGAGATCTCAGGAGTACGGTGATAAAGGAAATATCTTCCAATAAAAGCTAGATAGAAGCAATGTCAGAAACTTTTTCATGATGTATCTACTCACCTAACAGAGTTGAACCTTTCTTTTGAGAGAGCAGTTTTGAAACATTCTTTTTGTGGAATCTGCAAGTGGATATTTGTCTAGCTTTGAGGATTTCGTTGGAAACGGGATTACATATAAAAAGCAGACAGCAGCATTCCCAGAAACTTCTTTGTGATGTTTGCATTCAAGTCACAGAGTTGAACATTCCCTTTCATAGAGCAGGTTTGAAACACTCTTTTTGTAGTATCTGTATGTGGACATTTGGAGCGCTTTCAGGCCTATGGTGAAAAAGGAAATATCTTCCCCTGAAAACTAGACAGAAGCATTCTCAGAATCTTATTTGTGATGTGCGCCCTCAACTAACAGTGTTGAACCTTTCTTTTGATATAGCAGTTTTGAAACACTCTTTTTGTAAAATCTGCAAGAGGATATTTGGATAGCTTTGAGGATTTCGTTGGAAACGGGATTGTCTTCATATAACCTCTAGACAGAAGCATTCTCAGAAGCTTCATTGGGATGTTTCAATTGAAGTCACAGTGTTGAACAGTCCCTTTCGTAGAGCAGGTTTGAAACACTCTTTTTGTAATATGTTCAAGTGGAGATTTGGAGCGCTCTCAGGACTACGGTGAAAAAGGAAATATCTTCCAATAAAAGCTAGATAGAAGCAATGTCAGAAACTTTTTCATGATGTATCTACTCAGCTAACAGAGTTGAACCTTTTTTTTGAGAGAGCAGTTTTGAAACACTCTTTTTGTTGGATCTGCAGGTGGATATTTGTCTAGCTTTGAGGATTTCGTTGGAAACGGGATTACATATAAAAAGCAGACAGCAGCATTCCCAGAAACTTCTTTGTGATATTTGCATTCAAGTCACAGACTTGAACATTCCCTTTCATAGAGCAGGTTTGAAACACTCTTTTTGTAGTATCTGGATGTGGACATTTGGAGCGCTTTCAGGCCTACGGTGAAAAAGGAAATATCTTCCCCTGAAAACTAGACAGAAGCATTCTCAGAAACTTATTTGTGATGTGCGCCCTCAACTAACAGTGTTGAAGCTTTCTTTTGATAGAGCAGTTTTGAAACACTCTTTTTGTAAAATCTGCAAGAGGATATTTGGATAGCTTTGAGGATTTCGTTGGAAACGGGATTGTCTTCATATACAATCTAGACAGAAGCATTCTCAGAAGCTTCATTGGGATGTTTCAATTGAAGTCACAGTGTTGAACAGTCCCTTTCGTAGAGCAGGTTTGAAACACTCTTTTTGTAATATCTGGAAGTGGACATTTGGAGCGTTCTCAGGACTATGGTGAAAAAGGAAATATCTTCCAATAAAAGCTAGATAGAAGCAATGTCAGAAACTTTTTCATGATGTATCTACTCAGCTAAAAGAGTTGAACCTTTCTTTTGAGAGAGCAGTTTTGAAACACTATTTTTGTGGAATCTGCAAGTGGATATTTGTCTAGCTTTGAGGATTTCGTTGGAAACGGGATTACATATAAAAAGCAGACAGCAGCATTCCCAGAAAGTTCTTTGTGAAATTTGCATTCAAGTCACAGACTTGAACATTCCCTTTCATAGAGCAGGTTTGAAACACACTTTTTGTAGTTTCTGGATGTGGACATTTGGAGCGCTTTCAGGCCTATGGTGAAAAAGGAAATATCTTCCCCTGTAAATTAGACAGAAGCATTCTCAGAATCTTATTTGTGATGTGCGCCCTCAACTAACAGTGTTGAAGCTTTCTTTTGATAGAGCAGTTTTGAAACACTCTTTTTGTAAAATCTGCAAGAGGATATTTGGATAGCTTTGAGGATTTCGTTGGAAACGGGATTGTCTTCATATAGAATCTAGACAGAAGCATTCTCAGAAGCTTCATTGGGATGTTTCAATTGAAGTCACAGTGTTGAACAGTCCCTTTCATAGAGCAGGTTTGAAACACTCTTTTTGTAGTATCTGGAAGTGGACATTTGGAGCGCTCTCAGGACTACGGTGAAAAAGGAAATATCTTCCAATAAAAGCTAGATAGAAGCAATGTCAGAAACTTTTTCATGATGTATCTACTCAGCTAAAAGAGTTGAACCTTTCTTTTCTGAGAGCAGTTTTGAAACACTATTTTTGTGGAATCTGCAAGTGGATATTTGTCTAGCTTTGAGGATTCCGTTGGAAACGGGATTACATATAAAAAGCAGACAGCAGCATTCCCAGAAACTTCTTTGTGAAATTTGCATTCAAGTCACAGACTTGAACATTCCCTTTCATAGAGCAGGTTTGAAACACTCTTTTTGTAGTATCTGGATGTGGACGTTTGGAGCGCTTTCAGGCCTATGGTGAAAAAGGAAATATCTTCCCCTGAAAACTAGACAGAAGCATTCTCAGAAACTTATTTGTGATGTGCGCCCTCAACTAACAGTGTTGAAGCTTTCTTTTGATAGAGTAGTTTTGAAACACTCTTTTTGTAAAATCTGCAAGAGGATATTTGGATAGCTTTGAGGATTTCGTTGGAAACGGGATTGTCTTCATATAAACTCTAGACAGTAGCATTCTGAGAAGCTTCATTGGGATGTTTCAATTGAAGTCACAGTGTTGAACAGTCCCTTTCATAGAGCAGGTTTGAAACACTCTTTTTGTAGCATCTGGAAGTGGACATTTGGAGCGCTCTCAGGACTACGGTGAAAAAGGAAATATCTTCCAATAAAAGCTAGATAGAAGCAATGTCAGAAACTTTTTCATGATGTATCTACTCAGCTAACAGAGTTGAACCTTTCTTTTGAGACAGCAGTTTTGAAACACTCTTTTTGTGGAATCTGCAAGTGGATATTTGTCTAGCTTTGAGGATTTCGTTGGAAACGGGATTACATATAAAAAGCAGACAGCAGCATTCCCAGTAACTTCTTTGTGATGTGTCCATTCAAGTCACAGAGTTGAACATTCCCTTTCATAGAGCAGGTTTGAAACACTTTTTTTGTAGTATCTGGATGTGGACATTTGGAGCGCTTTCAGGCCTATGGTGAAAAAGGAAATATATTCCAATAAAAGCTAGATAGAAGAATTCTCAGAATCTTATTTGTGATGTGCGCCCTCAACTAACAGTGTTGAAGCTTTCTTTTGATAGAGCAGTTTTGAAACACTCTTTTTGTAAAATCTGCAAGAGGATATTTGGATAGCTTTGAGGATTTCGTTGGAAACGGGATTGTCTTCATATAAACTGTAGACAGAAGCATTCTCAGAAGCTTCATTGGGATGTTTCAATTGAAGTCACAGTGTTGAACAGTCCCTTTCATAGAGCAGGTTTGAAACACTCTTTTTGTAGTATCTGGATGTGGACATTTCGAGCGCTTTCAGGCCTATGGTGAAAAAGGAAATATCTTCCCCTGAAAACTAGACAGAAGCATTCTCAGAAACTTATTTGTGATGTGCGCCCTCAACTAACAGTGTTGAAGCTTTCTTTTGATAGAGCAGTTTTGAAACACTCTTTTTGTAATATCTGCAAGAGGATATTTGGATAGCTTTGAGGATTTCGTTGGAAACGGGATTGTCTTCATATAAACTCTAGACAGAAGCATTCTCAGAAGCTTCATTGGGATGTTTCAATTGAAGTCACAGTGTTGAACAGTCCCTTTCATAGAGCAGGTTTGAAACACTCTTTTTGTAGTATCTGGAAGTGGACATTTGGAGAGATCTCAGGAATACGGTGATAAAGGAAATATCTTCCAATAAAAGCTAGATAGAAGCAATGTCAGAAACTTTTTCATGATGTATCTACTCAGCTAACAGAGTTGAACCTTTCTTTTGAGAGAGCAGTTTTGAAACACTCTTTTTGTGTAATCTGAAAGTGGATATTTGTCTAGCTTTGAGGATTTCGTTGGAAACGGGATTACATATAAAAAGCAGACAGCAGCATTCCCAGTAACTTCTTTGTGATGTTTGCATTCAAGTCACAGAGTTGAACATTCCCTTTCATAGAGCAGGTTTGAAACACTCTTTTTGTAGTATCTGGATGTGGACATTTGGAGCGCTTTCAGGCCTATGGTGAAAAAGGAAATATCTTCCCCTGAAAACTAGACAGAAGCATTCTCAGAATCTTATTTGTGATGTGCGCCCTCAACTAACAGAGTTGAAGCTTTCTTTTGATAGAGCAGTTTTGAAACACTCTTTTTGTAAAATCTGCAAGAGGATATTTGGATAGCTTTGAGGATTTCGTTGGAAACGGGATTGTCTTCATATAAACTCTAGACAGAAGCATTCTCAGAAGCTTCATTGGGATGTTTCAATTGAAGTCACAGTGTTGAACAGTCCCTTTCATAGAGCAGGTTTGAAACACTCTTTTTGTAGTATCTGGAAGTGGACATTTGGAGAGATCTCAGGAATACGGTGATAAAGGAAATATCTTCCAATAAACGCTACATAGAAGCAATGTCAGAAACTTTTTCATGATGTATCTACTCAGCTAACAGAGTTGAACCTTTCCTTTGAGAGAGCAGTTTTGAAACACTCTTTTTGTGGAATCTGCAAGTGGATATTTGTCTAGCTTTGAGGATTTCGTTGGAAACGGGATTACATATAAAAAGCAGACAGCAGCATTCCCAGTAACTTCTTTGTGATGTTTGCATTCAAGTCACAGAGTTGAACATTCCCTTTCATAGAGCAGGTTTGAAACACTTTTTTTGTAGTATCTGGATGTGGACATTTGGAGCGCTTTCAGGCCTATGGTGAAAAAGGAAATATCTTCCAATAAAAGCTACATAGAAGCAATGTCAGAGAATTTTTCATGATGTATCTACTCAGCTAACAGAGTTCAACCTTTCTTTTGAGAGAGCCGTTTTGAAACACTCTTTTTGTGGAATCTGCAAGTGGATATTTGTCTAGATTTGAGGATTTCGTTGGAAACGGGATTACATATAAAAAGCAGACAGCAGCATTCCCAGAAACTTCTTTGTGATGTTTGCATTCAAGTCACAGATTTGAACATTCCCTTTCATAGAGCAGGTTTGAAACACACTTTTTGTAGTATCTGTATGTGAACATTTGGAGCGCTTTCAGGCCTATGGTGAAAAAGGAAATATCTTCCCCTTAAAACTAGACAGAAGCATTCTCAGAATCTTATTTGTGATGTGCGCCCTCAACTAACAGTGTTGAAGCTTTCTTTTGATAGAGCAGTTTTGAAACACTCTTTTTGTAAAATCTGCAAGAGGATATTTGGATAGCTTTGAGGATTTCGTTGGAAACGGGATTGTCTTCATATAAACTCTAGACAGAAGCATTCTCAGAAGCTTCATTGGGATGTTTCAATTGAAGTCACAGTGTTGAACAGTCCCTTTCATAGAGCAGGTTTGAAACACTCTTTTTGTAGTATCTGGAAGTGGACATTTGGAGAGATCTCAGGAATACGGTGATAAAGGAAATATCTTCCAATAAAAGCTAGATAGAAGCAATGTCAGAAACTTTTTCATGATGTATCTACTCAGCTAACAGAGTTGAACCTTTCTTTTGATAGAGCAGTTTTGAAACACTCTTTTTGTGGAATCTGCAAGTGGATATTTGTCTAGCTTTGAGGATTTCGTTGGAAATGGGATTACATATAAAAAGCAGACAGCAGCATTCCCAGAAACTTCTTTGTGATGTTTGCATTCAAGTGACAGAGTTGAACATTCCCTTTCATAGAGCAGGTTTGAAACACTCTTTTTGTAGTATCTGGATTTGTACATTTGGAGCGGTTTCAGGCCTATGGTGAAAAAGGAAATATCTTCCACTGAAAACTAGACAGAAGCATTCTCAGAAACTTATTTGTTATGTGCGCCCTCAACTAACAGTGTTGAAGCTTTCTTTTGATAGAGCAGTTTTGAAACACTCTTTTTGTAAAATCTGCAAGAGGATATTTGGATAGCTTTGAGGATTTCGTTGGAAACGGGATTGTCTTCATATAAACTCTAGACAGAAGCATTCTCAGAAGCTTCATTGGGATGTTTCAATTGAAGTCACAGTGTTGAACAGTCCCTTTCATACAGCAGGTTTGAAACACTCTTTTTGTAGTATCTGGATGTGGACATTTAGAGCGCTTTCAGGCCTATGGTGAAAAAGGAAATATCTTCTCCTGAAATCTAGACAGAAGCATTCTCAGAAACTTATTTGTGATGTGCCGCCCTCAACTAACAGTGTTGAACCTTTCTTTTGATAGAGCAGTTTTGAAACACTCTTTTTGTAATATCTGCAAGAGGATATTTGGATAGCTTTGAGGATTTCGTTGGAAACGGGATTAATTATAAAAAGCAGACAGCAGCATTCTCAGTAAACTTATTTGTGATGTGCGCCCTCAACTAACAGTGTTGAACCTTTCTTTTGATAGAGCAGTTTTGAAACACTCTTTTTGTAATATCTGCAAGAGGATATTTGGATAGCTTTGAGGATTTCGTTGGAAACGGGATTGTCTTCATATAAACTCTAGACAGAAGCATTCTCAGAAGCTTCATTGGGATGTTTCAATTGAAGTCACAGTGTTGAACAGTCCCTTTCATAGAGCAGGTTTGAAACACTCTTTTTGTAGTATCTGGAAGTGGACATTTGGAGCGCTCTCAGGACTGCGGTGAAAAAGGAAATATCTTCCAATAAAAGCTACATAGAAGCAATGTCAGAAACTTTTTCATGATGTATCTACTCAGCTAACAGAGTTGAACCTTCCTTTGAGAGAGCAGTTTTGAAACACTCTTTTTGTGGAATCTGCAAGTGGATATTTGTCTAGCTTTGAGGATTTCGTTGGAAACGGGATTACATATAAAAAGCAGACAGCAGCATTCCCAGAAACTTCTTTGAGATGTTTGCATTCAAGTCACAGAGTTGAACATTCCCTTTCATAGAGCAGGTTTGAAACACTCTTTTTGTAGTATCTGGATGTGCAAATTTGCAGCGCTTTCAGGCCTAAGGTGAAAAAGGAAATATCTTCCCCTGAAAACTAGACAGAAGCAATGTCAGAAACTTTTTCATGATGTATCTACTCAGCTAACAGAGTTGAACCTTTCTTTTGAGAGAGCAGTTTTGAAACACTCTTTTTGTGGAATCTGCAAGTGGATATTTGTCTAGCTTTGTGGATTTCGTTGGAAACGGGATTACATATAAAAAGCAGACAGCAGCATTCCCAGAATCTTCTTTGTGATGTTTGCATTCAAGTCACAGAGTTGAACATTCCCTTTCATAGAGCAGGTTTGAAACACTCTTTTTGTAGTATCTGGATGTGGACATTTGGAGCGCTTTCAGGCCTATGGTGAAAAAGGAAATATCTTCCCCTGAAAACTAGACAGAAGCATTCTCAGAATCTTATTTGTGATGTGCGCCCTCAACTAACAGTGTTGAAGCTTTCTTTTGATAGAGCAGTTTTGAAACTCTCTTTTTGTAAAATCTGCAAGAGGATATTTGGATAGCTTTGAGGATTTTGTTGGAAACGGGATTGTCTTCATGTAAACTCTAGACAGAAGCATTCTCAGAAGCTTCATTGGGATGTTTCAATTGAAGTCACAGTGTTGAACAGTCCCTTTCATAGAGCAGGTTTGAAACACTCTTTTTGTAGTATCTGGAAGTGGACATTTGGAGAGATCTCAGGAATACGGTGATAAAGGAAATATCTTCCAATAAAAGCTAGATAGAAGCAATGTCAGAAACTTTTTCATGATGTATCTACTCAGCTAACAGAGTTGAACCTTTCTTTTGAGAGAGCAGTTTTGAAACACTCTTTTTGTGGAATCTGCAAGTGGATATTTGTCTAGCATTGAGGATTTCGTTGGAAACGGGATTACATATAAAAAGCAGACAGCAGCATTCCCAGAATCTTCTTTGTGATGTTTGCATTCAAGTCACAGAGTTGAACATTACCTTTCAGAGAGCAGGTTTGAAACACTCTTTTTAGAGTATCTGGATGTGGACATTTGGAGCGCTTTCAGGCCTATGGTGAAAAGGGAAATATCTTCTCCTGAAAACTAGACAGAAGCATTCTCAGAATCTTATTTGTGATGTGCGCCCTCAACTAACAGTGTTGAAGCTTTCTTTTGATAGAGCAGTTTTGAAACACTCTTTTTGTAAAATCTGCAAGAGGATATTTGGATAGCTTTGAGGATTTCGTTGGAAACGGGATTGTCTTCATATAAACTCTAGACAGAAGCATTCTCAGAAGCGTCATTGGGATGTTTCAATTGAAGTCACAGTGTTGAACAGTCCCTTTCATAGAGCAGGTTTGAAACACTCTTTTTGTAGTATCTGGATGTGGACATTTGGAGCGCTTTCAGGCCTATGGTTTAAAAGGAAATATCTTCCCCTGAAAACTAGACAGAAGCATTCTCAGAAACTTATTTGTGATGTGCGCCCTCAACTAACAGTGTTGAAGCATTCTTTTGATAGAGCAGTTTTGAAATACTCTTTTTGTGGAATCTGCAAGTAGATATTTGTCTAGCTTTGAGGATTTCGTTGGAAACGGGATTACACATAAAAAGCAGACAGCAGCATTCTCAGAAACTTATTTGTGATGTGCGCCCTCAACTAACAGTGTTGAAGCTTTCTTTTGATAGAGCAGTTTTGAAACACTCTTTTTGTAATATCTGCAAGAGGATATTTGGATAGCTTTGAGGATTTCGTTGGAAACGGGATTAATTATACAAAGCAGACAGCAGCATTCTCAGAAGCTTCATTGGGATGTTTCAATTGAAGTCACAGTGTTGAACAGTCCCTTTCATAGAGCAGGTTTGAAACACTCTTTTTGTAGTATCTGGAAGTGGACATTTGGAGTGCTCTCAGGACTGCGGTGAAAAAGGAAGTATCTTCCAATAAAAGCTACATAGAAGCAATGTCAGAAACTTTTTCATGATGTATCTACTCAGCTAACAGAGTTGAACCTTTTTTTTGAGAGAGCAGTTTTGAAACACTCTTTTTGTTCGATCTGCAGGTGGATATTTGTCTAGGTTTGAGGATTTCGTTGGAAACGGGATTACATATAAAAAACAGACAGTAGCATTCCCAGAAACTTCTTTGTGATGTTTGCATTCAAGTCACAGAGTTGAACATTCCCTTTCATAGAGCAGGTTTGAAACACTCTTTTTGTAGTATCTGGATGTGGACATTTGGAGCGCTCTCAGGCCTATGGTGAAAAAGGAAATATCTTCCCCTGCAAACTAGACAGAAGCATTCTCAGAAACTTATTTGTGATGTGCGCCCTCAACTAACAATGTTGAACCTTTCTGTTGATAGAGTAGTTTTGAAACACTCTTCTTGTAAAATCTGCAAGAGGATATTTGGATAGCTTTGAGGATTTCGTTGGAAACGGGATTGTCTTCATATTAACCCTAGACAGTAGCATTCTCAGAAGGTTCATTGGGATGTTTCAATTGAAGTCACAGTGTTGAACAGTCACTTTCATAGAGCAGGTTTGAAACACTCTTTTTGTAGCATCTGGAAGTGGACATTTGGAGCGCTCTCAGGACTACGGTGAAAAAGGAAATATCTTCCAATAAAAGCTAGATAGAAAGCAATGTCAGAAACTTTTTCATGATGTATCTACTCAGCTAACAGAGTTGAACCTTTCTTTTGAGAGAGCAGTTTTGAAACACTCTTTTTGTGGAATCTGCAAGTGGATATTTGTCTAGCTTTGAGGATTTCGTTGGAAACGGGATTACATATAAAAAGCAGACAGAGCATTCCCAGAAACTTCTTTGTGATATTTGCATTCAAGTCACAGACTTGAACATTCCCTTTCATAGAGCAGGTTTGAAACACTCTTTTTGTAGTATCTGGATGTGGACATTTGGAGCGCTTTCAGGCCTATGGTGAAAAAGGAAATATCTTCCCCTGAAAACTAGACAGAAGCATTCTCAGAAACTTATTTGTGATGTGCGCCCTCAACTAACAGTGTTGAAGCTTTCTTTTGATAGAGCAGTTTTGAAACACTCTTTTTGTAAAATCTGCAAGAGGATATTTGGATAGCTTTGAGGATTTCGTTAGAAACGGGATTGTCTTCATATACAATCTAGACAGAAGCATTCTCAGAAGCTTCATTGGGATGTTTCAATTGAAGTCACAGTGTTGAACAGTCCCTTTCGTAGAGCAGGTTTGAAACACTCTTTTTGTAATATCTGGAAGTGGACATTTGGAGCGTTCTCAGGACTATGGTGAAAAAGGAAATATCTTCCAATAAAAGCTAGATAGAAGCAATGTCAGAAACTTTTTCATGATGTATCTACTCAGCTAACAGAGTTGGACCTTCCTTTGAGAAAGCAGTTTTGAAACACTCTTTTTGTTGAATCTGCAAGTGGATATTTGTCTAGCTTTGAGGATTTCGTTGGAAACGGGATTACATATAAAAAGCAGACAGCAGCATTCCCAGAAACTTCTTTGTGATGTTTGCATTCAAGTCACAGAGTTGAACATTCCCTTTCAGAGAGCAGTTTGGAAACACTCTTTTTGTAGTATCTGGATTTGGACATTTGGAGCGCTTTCAGCCCTATGGTGAAAAAGGAAATATCTTCCCCTGAAAACTAGACAGAAGCATTCTCAGAATCTTATTTGTGATGTGCGCCCTCAACTAACAGAGTTGAAGCTTTCTTTTGATAGAGCAGTTTTGAAACACTCTTTTTGTAAAATCTGCAAGAGGATATTTGGATAGCTTTGAGGATTTCGTTGGAAACGGGATTGTCTTCATATAAACTCTAGACAGAAGCATTCTCAGAAGCTTCATTGGGATGTTTCAATTGAAGTCACAGTGTTGAACAGTCCCTTTCATAGAGCAGGTTTGAAACACTCTTTTTGTAGTATCTTGAAGTGGACATTTGGAACGCTCTCAGGACTGCGGTGAAAAAGGAAATATCTTCCAATAAAACCTAGATAGAAGCAATGTCAGAAACTTTTTCATGATGTATCTACTCAGCTAACAGAGTTGAACCTTCATTTGAGAGAGCAGTTTTGAAACACTCGTTTTGTGGAATCTGCAAGTGGATATTTGTCTAGCTTTGAGGATTTCGTTGGAAACGGGATTACATATAAAAAGCAGACAGCAGCAATCCCAGAAACTTCTTTGTGATGTTTGCATTCAAGTCACAGAGTTGAACATTCCCTTTCATAGAGCAGGTTTGAAACACTCTTTTTGTAGTATCTGGATGTGGACATTTGCAGCGCTTTCAGGCATAAGGTGAAAAAGGAAATATCTTCCCCTGAAAACTAGACAGAAGCATTCTCAGAATCTTATTTGTGATGTGCGCCCTCAACTAACAGTGTTGAACCTTTCTTTTGATAGAGCAGTTTTGAAACACTCTTTTTGTAAAATCTGCAAGAGGATATTTGGATAGCTTTGAGGATTTCGTTGGAAACGGGATTGTCTTCATATAAACTCCAGACAGAAGCATTCTCAGAAGCCTCATTGGGATGTTTCAATTGAAGTCACAGTGTTGAACAGTCCCTTTCATACAGCAGGTTTGAAACACTCTTTTTGTAGTATCTGGATGTGGACATTTGGAGCGCTTTCAGGCCTATGGTGAAAAAGGAAATATCTTCCTCTGAAAACTAGACAGAAGCATTCTCAGAAACTTATTTGTGATGTGCGCCCTCAACTAACAGTGTTGAAGCATTCTTTTGATAGAGCAGTATTGAAACACTCTTTTTGTGGAATCTGCAAGTGGATATTTGTCTAGCTTTGAGGATTTCGTTGGAAAAGGAATTACATATAAAAAGCAGACAGCAGCATTCCCAGAATCTTCTTTGTGATGTTTGCATTCAAGTCACAGAGTTGAACATTCCCTTTCATAGAGCAGGTTTGAAACACTCTTTTTGTAGTATCTCGATGTGGACATTTGGAGCGCTTTCAGGCCTATGGTGAAAAAGGAAATATCTTCTCCTGAAAACTAGACAGAAGCATTCTCAGAATCTTATTTGTGATGTGCGCCCTCAACTAACAGTGTTGAAGCTTTCTTTTGATAGAGCAGTTTTGAAACACTCTTTTTGTAAAATCTGCAAGAGGATATTTGGATAGCTTTGAGGATTTCGTTGGAAACGGGATTGTCTTCATATAAACTCTAGACAGAAGCATTCTCAGAAGCGTCATTGGGATGTTTGAATTGAAGTCACAGTGTTGAACAGTCCCTTTCATAGAGCAGGTTTGAAACACTCTTTTTGTAGTATCTGGATGTGGACATTTGGAGCGCTTTCAGGCCTATGGTTTAAAAGGAAATATCTTCCCCTGAAAACTAGACAGAAGCATTCTCAGAAACTTATTTGTGATGTGCGCCCTCAACTAACAGTGTTGAAGCATTCTTTTGATAGAGCAGTATTGAAACACTCTTTTTGTGGAATCTGCAAGTGGATATTTGTCTAGCTTTGAGGATTTCGTTGGAAACGGGATTACATATAAAAAGCAGACAGCAGCATTCCCAGAAACTTCTTTGTGATGTTTGCATTCAAGTCACAGAGTTGAACATTCCCTTTCATAGAGCAGGTTTGAAACACTCTTTTTGTACTATCTGGATGTGGACATTTGGAGCGCTTTCAGGCCTATGGTGAAAAAGGAAATATCTTCCCCTGAAAACTAGACAGAAGCATTCTCAGAAACTTATTTGTGATGTGCGCCCTCAACTAACAGTGTTGAAGCTTTCTTTTGATAGAGCAGTTTTGAAACACTCTTTTTGTAATATCTGCAAGAGGATATTTGGATAGCTTTGAGGATTTCGTTGGAAACGGGATTGTCTTCATATAAAGTCTAGACAGAAGCATTCTCAGAAGCTTCATTGGGATGTTTCAATTGAAGTCACAGTGTTGAACAGTTCCTTTCATAGAACAGGTTTGAAACACACTTTTTGTAGTATCTGGAAGTGGACATTTGGAGGGCTCTCAGGACTATGGTGAAAAATTAAATATCTTCCAATAAAAGCTACATAGAAGCAATGTCAGAAACTTTTTCATGATGTATCTACTCAGCTAACAGAGGTGAACCTTTCCTTTGAGAGAGCAGTTTTGAAACACTCTTTTTGTGGAATCTGCAAGTGGATATTTGTCTAGCTTTGAGGATTTCGTTGGAAACGGGATTACATATAAAAAGCAGACAGCAGCATTCCCAGTAACTTCTTTGTGATGTTTGCATTCAAGTCACAGAGTTGAACATTCCCTTTCATAGAGCAGGTTTGAAACACTCTTTTTGTAGTATCTGGATGTGGACATTTGGAGCGCTTTCAGGCCTATGGTGAAAAAGGAAATATCTTCCCCTGAAAACTAGACAGAAGAATTCTCAGAATCTTATTTGTGATGTGCGCCCTCAACTAACAGTGTTGAAGCTTTCTTTTGATAGAGCAGTTTTGAAACACTCTTTTTGTAAAATCTGCAAGAGGATATTTGGATAGCTTTGAGGATTTCGTTGGAAACGGGATTGTCTTCATATAAACTCTACACAGAAGCATTCTCAGAAGCGTCATTGGGATGTTTCAATTGAAGTCACAGTGTTGAACAGTCCCTTTCATAGAGCAGGTTTGAAACACTCTTTTTCTAGTATCTGGATGTGGACATTTGGAGCGCTTTCAGGCCTATGGTTTAAAAGGAAATATCTTCCCCTGAAAACTAGACAGAAGCATTCTCAGAAACTTATTTGTGATGTGCGCCTTCAACTAACAGTGTTGAAGCATTCTTTTGATAGAGCAGTTTTGAAACACTCTTTTTGTGGAATCTGCAAGTGGATATTTGTCTAGCTTTGAGGATTTCGTTGGAAACGGGATTACATATAAAAAGCAGACAGCTAAGCATTCTCCGAAACTTATTTGTGATGGGCGCCCTCAACTAACAGTGTTGAAGCTTTCTTTTGATAGAGCAGTTTTGAAACACTCTTTTTGTAATATCTGCAAGAGGATATTTGGATAGCTTTCAGGATTTCGTTGGAAACGGGATTGTCTTCATATAAACTCTAGACATAAGCATTCTCAGAAGCTTCATTGGGATGTTTCAATTGAAGTCACAGTGTTGAACAGTCCCTTTCATAGAGCAGGTTTGAAACACTCTTTTTGTAGTATCTGGAAGTGGACATTTGGAGCGCTCTCAGGACTACGGTGAAAAAGGAAATATCTTCCAATAAAAGCTAGACAGAAGCAATGTCAGAAACTTTTTCATGATGTATCTACTCAGCTAACAGAGTTGAACCTTCCTTTGAGAGAGCAGTTTTGAAACACTCTTTTTGTGGAATCTGCAAGTGGATATTTGTCTAGCTTTGAGGATTTCGTTGGAAACGGGATTACATATAAAAAGCAGACAGCAGCATTCCCAGAAACTTCTTTGTGATGTTTGCATTCAAGTCACAGAGTTGAACATTCCCTTTCATAGAGCAGGTTTGAAACACTCTTTTTGAAGTATCTGGATGTGGACATTTGCAGCGCTTTCAGGCCTAAGGTGAAAAAGGAAATATCTTCCCCTGAAAACTAGACAGAAGCATTCTCAGAAACTTATTTGTGATGTGCGCCCTCAACTAACAGTGTTGAACCTTTCTTTTGATAGAGCAGTTTTGAAACACTCTTTTTGTAAAATCTGCAAGAGGATATTTGGATAGCTTTGAGGATTTCGTTGGAAACGGGATTGTCTTCATATAAACTCTAGACAGAAGCATTCTCAGAAGCTTCATTGGGATGTTTCAATTGAAGTCACAGTGTTGAACAGTCCCTTTCATAGAGCAGGTTTGAAACACTCTTTTTGTAGTATCTGGATGTGGACATTTGGAGCGCTTTCAGGCCTATGGTGAAAAAGGAAATATCTTCCCCTGAAAACTAGACAGAAGCATTCTCAGAAACTTATTTGTGATGTGCGCCTTCAACTAACAGTGTTGAAGCATTCTTTTGATAGAGCAGTTTTGAAACACTCTTTTTGTGGAATCTGCAAGTGGATATTTGTCTAGCTTTGAGGATTTCGTTGGAAACGGGATTACATATAAAAAGCAGACAGCAGCATTCTCAGTAAACTTATTTGTGATGTGCGCCCTCAACTAACAGTGTTGAACCTTTCTTTTGATAGAGCAGTTTTGAAACACTCTTTTTGTAATATCTGCAAGAGGATATTTGGATAGCTTTGAGGATTTCGTTGGAAACGGGATTGTCTTCATATAAACTCTAGACAGAAGCATTCTCAGAAGCTTCACTGCGATGTTTCAATTGAAGTCACAGTGTTGAACAGTCCCTTTCATAGAGCAGGTTTGAAACACTCTTTTTGTAGTATCTGGAAGTGGACATTTGGAGCGCTCTCAGGACTACGGTGAAAAAGGTAATATCTTCCAATAAAAGCTAGATAGAAGCAATCTCAGAAACTTTTTCATGATGTATCTACTCAGCTAAAAGAGTTGAACCTTTCTTTTGGGAGAGCAGTTTTGAAACACTCTTTTTGTGGAATCTGCAAGTGGATATTTGTCTAGCTTTGAGGATTTCGTTGGAAACGGCATTACATATAAAAAGCAGACAGCAGCATTCCCAGTAACTTCTTTGTGATGTTTGCATTCAAGTCACAGAGTTGAACATTCCCTTTCATAGAGCAGGTTTGAAACACTCTTTTTGTAGTATCTGGATGTGGACATTTGCAGCGCTTTCAGGCCTAAGGTGAAAAAGGAAATATCTTCCCCTGAAAACCAGACAGAAGCATTCTCAGAAACTTATTTGTGATGTGCGCCCTCAACTAACAGTGTTGAAGCTTTCTTTTGATAGAGCAGCTTTGAAACACTCTTTTTGTGGAATCTGCAAGTGGATATTTGTCTAGCTTTGAGGATTTCGTTGGAAACGGGATTACATATAAAAAGCAGACAGCAGCATTCCCAGAATCTTGTTTGTGATGTTTGCCTTCAAGTCACAGAGTTGAACATTCCCTTTCAGAGAGCAGGTTTGAAACACTCTTTTTATAGTATCTGGATGTGGACATTTGGAGCGCTTTCAGGCCTATGGTGAAAAAGGAAATATCTTCTCCTGAAAACTAGACAGAAGCATTCTCAGAAGCTTCATTGGGATGTTTCAATTGAAGTCACAGTGTTGAACAGTCCCTTTCATAGAGCAGGTTTGAAACACTCTTTTTGTAGTATCTGGAAGTGGACATTTGGAGAGATCTCAGGAATACGGTGATAAAGGAAATATCTTCCAATAAAAGCTAGATAGAAGCAATGTCAGAAACTTTTTCATGATGTATCTACTCAGCTAACAGAGTTGAACCTTTCCTTTGAGAGAGCAGTTTTGAAACACTCTTTTTGTGGAATCTGCAAGTGGATATTTGTCTAGCTTTGAGGATTTCGTTGGAAACGGGATTACATATAAAAAGCAGACAGCAGCATTCCCAGTAACTTCTTTGTGATGTTTGCATTCAAGTCACAGAGTTGAACATTCCCTTTCATAGAGCAGGTTTGAAACACTCTTTTTGCAGTATCTGGATGTGGACATTTGGAGCGCTTTCAGGCCTATGGTGAAAAAGGAAATATCTTCCCCTGAAAACTAGACAGAAGCATTCTCAGAAACTTATTTGTGATGTGCGCCCTCAACTAACAGTGTTGAACCTTTCTTTTGATAGAGCAGTTTTGAAACACTCTTTTTGTAAAATCTGCAAGAGGATATTTGGATAGCTTTGAGGATTTCGTTGGAAACGGGATTGTCTTCATATAAACTCTAGACAGAAGCATTCTCAGAAGCTTCATTGGGATGTTTCAATTGAAGTCACAGTGTTGAACAGTCCCTTTCATAGAGCAGGTTTGAAACACTCTTTTTGTAGTATCTGGATGTGGACATTTGGAGCGCTTTCAGGCCTATGGTTTAAAAGGAAATATCTTCCCCTGAAAACTAGACAGAAGCATTCCCAGAAAGTTCTTTGTGAAATTTGCATTCAAGTCACAGACTTGAACATTCCCTTTCATAGAGCAGGTTTGAAACACTCTTTTTGTAGTATCTGGATGTGGACGTTTGGAGCGCTTTCAGGCCTATGGTGAAAAAGGAAATATCTTCCCCTGAAAACTAGACAGAAGCATTCTCAGAAACTTATTTGTGATGTGCGCCCTCAACTAACAGTGTTGAAGCTTTCTTTTGATAGAGCAGTTTTGAAACACTCTTTTTGTAAAATCTGCAAGAGGATATTTGGATAGCTTTGAGGATTTCGTTGGAAACGGGATTGTCTTCATATAGAATCTAGACAGAAGCATTCTCAGAAGCTTCATTCGGATGTTTCAATTGAAGTCACAGTGTTGAACAGTCCCTTTCATAGAGCATGTTTGAAACACTCTTTTTGTAGTATCTGGAAGTGGATATTTGGAGCGTTCTCAGGACGACAGTGAAAAAGGAAATATCTTCCAACAAAAGCTAGATAGAAGAAATGTCAGAAAATTTTTCATGATGTATCTACTCAGCTAACAGAGTTGAACCTTTCTTTGGAGAGAGTAGTTTTGAAACACTCTTTTTGTGGAATCTGCAAGTGGATATTTGTCTAGTTTTGAGGATTGCGTTGGAAACGGTATTACATATAAAAAGCAGACAGCAGCATTCCCAGAAACTTCTTTGTGATATTTGCATTGAAGTCACAGACTTGAACATTCCGTTTCATAGAGCAGGTTTGAAACACTCTTTTTGTAGTATCTGGATGTGGACATTTGGAGCGCTTTCAGGCCTATGGTGAAAAAGGAAATATCTTCCCCTGAAAACTAGACAGAAGCATTCTCAGAAACTTATTTGTCATGTGCGCCCTCAACTAACAGTGTTGAAGCTTTCTTTTGATAGAGCAGTTTTGATACACTCTTTTTGTAAAATCCGCAAGAGGATATTTGGATAGCTTTGAGGATTTCGTTGGAAACGGGATTGTCTTCATATAGAATCTAGACAGAAGCATTCTCAGAAGCGTCATTGGGATGTTTCAATTGAAGTCACAGTGTTGAACATTCCCTTTCATAGAGCAGGTTTGAAACACTCTTTTTGTAGTATCTGGATGTGGACATTTGGAGCGCTTTCAGGCCTATGGTTTAAAAGGAAATATCTTCCCCTGAAAACTAGACAGAAGCATTCTCAGAAACTTATTTGTGATGTGCGCCCTCAACTAACAGTGTTGAAGCATTCTTTTGATAGAGCAGTTTTGAAACACTCTTTTTGTGGAATCTGCAAGTGGATATTTGTCTAGCTTTGAGGATTTCGTTGGAAACGGGATTACATATAAAAAGCAGACAGCAGCATTCCCAGTAACTTCTTTGTGATGTTTGCATTCAAGCCAGAGAGTTGAACATTCCCTTTCATAGAGCAGGTTTGAAACACTCTTTTTGAAGTATCTGGTTGTGGACATTTGGAGCGCTTTCAGGCCTATGGTGAAAAAGGAAATATCTTCCCCTGAAAACTAGACAGAAGCATTCTCAGAAACTTATTTGTGATGTGCGCCCTCAACTAACAGTGTTAAACCTTTCTTTTGATAGAGTAGTTTTGAAACACTCTTTTTGTAAAATCTGCAAGAGGATATTTGGATAGCTTTGAGGATTTCGTTGGAAACGGGATTGTCTTCATATAAAATCTAGACAGAAGTATTCTCAGAAGCTTCATTGGGATGTTTCAATTGAAGTCACAGTGTTGAACAGTCCCTTTCATAGAGCAGGTTTGAAACACTCTTTTTGTAGTATCTGGATGTGGACATTTAGAGCGTTTGCAGGCCTATGGTTTAAAAGGAAATATCTTCCCCTGAAAACTAGACAGAAGCATTCTCAGAAACTTATTTGTGATGTGCGCCCTCAACTAACAGTGTTGAAGCATTCTTTTGATAGAGCAGTTTTGAAAAACTCTTTTTGTGGAATCTGCAAGTGGATATTTGTCTAGCTTTGAGGATTTCGTTGGAAACGGGATTACATATAAAAAGCAGACAGCAGCATTCCCAGTAACTTCTTTGTGATGTTTGCATTCAAGTCACAGAGTTGAACATTCCTTTTCATAGAGCAGGTTTGAAACACTTTTTTTGTACTATCTGGATGTGGACATTTGGAGCGCTTTCAGGCCTATGGTGAAAAAGGAAATATCTTCCAATAAAAGCTACATAAAAAGCATTCTCAGCAAACTTATTTGTGATGTGCGCCCTCAACTAACAGTGTTGAAGCTTTCTTTTGATAGAGCAGTTTTGAAACACTCTTTTTGTAAAATCTGCAAGAGGATATTTGGATAGCTTTGAGGATTTCGTTGGAAACGGTATTGTCTTCATATACAATCTTGACAGAGCATTCTCAGAAGCTTCATTGGGATGTTTCAATTGAAGTCACAGTGTTGAACAGTCCCTTTCATAGAGCAGGTTTGAAACACTCTTTTTATAGTATCTGGAAGTGGACATTTGGAGAAATCTCAGGAATACGGTGATAAAGGAAATATCTTCCAATAAAAGCTAGATAGAAGCAATGTCAGAAACTTTTTCATGATGTATCTACTCACCTAACAGAGTTGAACCTTTCTTTTGAGAGAGCAGTTTTGAAACACTCTTTTTGTGGAATCTGCAAGAGGATATTTGTCTAGCTTTGAGGATTTCGTTGGAAACGGGATTACATATAAAAAGCAGACAGCAGCATTCCCAGTAACTTCTTTGTGAGGTTTGCATTCAAGTGACAGAGTTGAACATTCCCTTTCATAGAGCAGGTTTGAAACACTCTTTTTGTAGTATCTGGATGTGGACATTTGGAGCGCTTTCAGGCCTATGGTGAAAAAGGAAATATCTTCCAATAAAAGCTACATAGAAGCATTCTCAGAATCTTATTTGTGATGTGCGCCCTCAACTAACAGAGTTGAAGCTTTCTTTTGATAGAGCAGTTTTGAAACACTCTTTTTGTAAAATCTGCAAGAGGATATTTGGATAGCTTTGAGGATTTCGTTGGAAACGGGATTGTCTTCATATAAACTCTAGACAGAAGCATTCTCAGAAGCTTCATTGGGATGTTTCAATTGAAGTCACAGTGTTGAACAGTCCCTTTCATAGAGCAGGTTTGAAACACTCTTTTTGTAGTATCTGGAAGTGGACATTTGGAGCGCTCTCAGGACTGCGGTGAAAAAGGAACTATCTTCCAATAAAAGCTAGATAGAAGCAATGTCAGAAACCTTTTCATGATGTATCTACTCAGCTAACAGAGTTGAACCTTCCTTTGAGAGAGCAGTTTTGAAACACTCTTTTTGTGGAATCTGCAAGTGGATATTTGTCTAGCTTTGAGGGTTTCGTTGGAAACGGGATTACATATAAAAAGCAGACAGCAGCATTCCCAGAAACTTCTTTGTGATGTTTGCATTCAAGTCACAGAGTTGAACATTCCCTTTCATAGAGCAGGTTTGAAACACTCTTTTTGTAGTATCTGGATGTGGACATTTGCAGCGCTTTCAGGCCTAAGGTGAAAAAGGAAATATCTTCCCCTGAAAACTAGACAGAAGCATTCTCAGAAACTTATTTGTGATGTGAGCCCTCAACTAACAGTGTTGAACCTTTCTTTTGATAGAGCAGTTTTGAAACACTCTTTTTGTAATATCTGCAAGAGGATATTTGGATAGCTTTGAGGATTTCGTTGGAAACGGGATTACATATAAAAAGCAGACAGCTAAGCATTCTCCGAAACTTATTTGTGATGGGCGCCCTCAACTAACAGTGTTGAAGCTTTCTTTTGATAGAGCAGTTTTGAAACACTCTTTTTGTAATATCTGCAAGAGGATATTTGGATAGCTTTCAGGATTTCGTTGGAAACGGGATTGTCTTCATATAAACTCTAGACATAAGCATTCTCAGAAGCTTCATTGGGATGTTTCAATTGAAGTCACAGTGTTGAACAGTCCCTTTCATAGAGCAGGTTTGAAACACTCTTTTTGTAGTATCTGGAAGTGGACATTTGGAGCGCTCTCAGGACTACGGTGAAAAAGGAAATATCTTCCAATAAAAGCTAGATAGAAGCAATGTCAGAAACTTTTTCATGATGTATCTAGTCAGCTAACAGAGTTGAACCTTTCTTTTGAGAGAGCAGTTTTGAAACACTCCTTTTGTGGAATATGCAAGTGGATATTTGTCTAGCTTTGAAGATTTCGTTGGAAACGGGATTACATATAAAAAGCAGACAGCAGCATTCCCAGAAACTTCTTTGTGATGTTTGCATTCAAGTCACAGAGTTGAACATTCCCTTTCATAGAGCAGGTTGGAAACACTCTTTTTGTAGTATCTGGATGTGGACATTTGGAGCTCTTTCAGGCCTATGGTGAAAAAGGAAATATCTTCCCCTGAAAACTAGACAGAAGCATTCTCAGAAACTTATTTGTGATGTGCGCCCTCAACTAACAGTGTTGAACTTTTCTTTTGATAGAGCAGTTTTGAAACACTCTTTTTGTAAAATCTGCAAGAGGATATTTGGATAGCTTTGAGGATTTCGTTGGAAACGGGATTGTCTTCATATAAAATCTAGACAGAAGCATTCTCAGAAGCTTCATTGGGATGTTTCAATTGAAGTCACAGTGTTGAACAGTCCCTTTCATAGAGCAGGTTTGAAACACTCTTTTTGTAGTATCTGGAAGTTGACATTTGGAGCGTTTTCAAGACTACGGTGAAAAAGGAAATATCTTCCAAATAAAGCTAGATAGAAGCAATGTCAGAAACTTTTTCATGATGTATCTACTCAGCAAACAGAGTTGAACCTTTCTTTTGAGAGAGCAGTTTTGAAACACTCTTTTTGTGGAATCTGCAAGTCGATATTTGTCTAGCTTTGAGGATTTCGTTGGAAACGGGATTACATATAAAAAGCAGACAGCAGCATTCCCAGAAACTTCTTTGTGATATTTGCATTCAAGTCACAGAGTTGAACATTCCCTTTCATAGAGCAGGTTTGAAACACTCTTTTTGTAGTATCTGTATGTGGACATTTGGAGCGCTTTCAGGCCTATGGTGAAAACGGAAATATCTTCCCCTGAAAACTAGACAGAAGCATTCCCAGAATCTTATTTGTGATGTGCGCACTCAACTAACAGTGTTGAAGCTTTCTTTTGATAGAGCAGTTTTGAAACACTCTTTTTGTAAAATCTGCAAGAGGATATTTGGATAGCTTTGAGGATTTCGTTGGAAACGGGATTGTCTTCATATAAACTCTAGACAGAAGCATTCTCAGAAGCTTCATTGGGATGTTTCAATTGAAGTCACAGTGTTGAACAGTCCCTTTCATAGAGCATGTTTGAAACAATCTTTTTGTAGTATCTGGAAGTGGACATTTGGAGCGTTCTCAGGACGACAGTGAAAAAGGAAATATCTTCCAATAAAAGCTAGATAGAAGAAATGTCAGAAAATTTTTCATGATGTATCTACTCAGCTAACAGAGTTGAACCTTTCTTTGGAGAGAGTAGTTTTGAAACACTCTTTTTGTGGAATCTGCAAGTGGATATTTGTCTAGTTTTGAGGATTGCGTTGTAAATGGTATTACATATAAAAAGCAGACAGCAGCATTCCCAGAAACTTCTTTGTGATATTTGCATTGAAGTCACAGACTTGAACAGTCCGTTTCATAGAGCAGGTTTGAAACACTCTTTTTGTAGTATCTGGATGTGGACATTTGGAGCGCTTTCAGGCCTATGGTGAAAAAGGAAATATCTTCCCCTGAAAACTAGACAGAAGCATTCTCAGAAACTTATTTGTCATGTGCGCCCTCAACTAACAGTGTTGAACCTTTCTTTTGATAGAGCAGTTTTGATACACTCTTTTTGTAAAATCCGCAAGAGGATATTTGGATAGCTTTGAGGATTTCGTTGGAAACGGGATTGTCTTCATATAGAATCTAGACAGAATCATTCTCAGAAGCTTCATTGGGATGTTTCAATTGAAGTCACAGTGTTGAACAGTCCCTTTCATAGAGCAGATTTGAAACACTCTTTTTGTAGTATCTGGAAGTGGACATTTGGAGCGCTCTCAGGACTACAGTGAAAAAGGAAATATCTTCCAATAAAAGCTAGATAGAAGCAATGTCAGAAAATTTTTCATGATGTATCTACTCAGCTAACAGGGTTGAACCTTTCTTTTGAGAGAGCAGTTTTGAAACACTCTTTTTGTGGAATCTGCAAGTGGATATTTGTCTAGCTTTGAGGATTGCGTTGGAAACGGGATTACATATAAAAAGCAGACAGCAGCATTCCCAGAAACTTCTTTGTGATATTTGCATTCAAGTCACAGACTTGAACATTCCCTTCCATAGAGCGGGTTTGAAACACTCTTTTTGTAGTAGCTGGATGTGGACATTTGGAGCGCTTTCTGGCCTATGGTGAAAAAGGAAATATCTTCCCCTGAAAACTAGACAGAAGCATTCTCAGAAACTTATTTGTGATGTGCGCCCTCAACTAACAGTGTTGAAGCTTTCTTTTGATAGAGCAGTTTTGAAACACTCTTTTTGTAATATCTGCAAGAGGATATTTGGATAGCTTTGAGGATTTCGTTGGAAACGGGATTGTCTTCATATAAACTCTAGACAGAAGCATTCTCAGAAGCTTCATTGGGATGTTTCAATTGAAGTCACAGTGTTGAACAGTCCCTTTCATAGAGCAGGTTTGAAACACTCTTTTTGTAGTATCTGGAAGTGGACATTTGGAGCGCTCTCAGGACTGCGGTGAAAAAGGAAATATCTTCCAATAAAAGCTAGATAGAAGCAATGTCAGAAACTTTTTCATGATGTATCTACTCAGCTAACAGAGTTGAACCTTCCTTTGAGAGAGCAGTTTTGAAACACTCTTTTTGTGGAATCTGCAAGTGGATATTTGTCTAGCTTTGAGGATTTCGTTGGAAACGGGTTACATATAAAAAGCAGACAGCAGCATTCCCAGAAACTTCTTTGTGTTGTTTGCATTCAAGTCACAGAGTTGAAGATTCCCTTTCATAGAGCAGGTTTGAAACACTCTTTTTGTAGTATCTGGATGTGGACATTTGCAGCGCTTTCAGGCCTAAGGTGAAAAAGGAAATATCTTCCCCTGAAAACTAGACAGAAGCATTCTCAGAAACTTATTTGTGATGTGCGCCCTCAACTAACAGTGTTGAAGCTTTCTTTTGATAGAGCAGTTTTGAAACACTCTTTTTGTAATATCTGCAAGAGGATATTTGGATAGCTTTGAGGATTTCGTTGGAAACGGGATTGTCTTCATATAAACTCTAGACAGAAGCATTCTCAGAAGCTTCATTGGGATGTTTCAATTGAAGTCACAGTGTTGAACAGTCCCTTTCATAGAGCAGGTTTGAAACACTCTTTTTGTAGTATCTGGAAGTGGACATTTGGAACGCTCTCAGGACTGCGTTGAAAAAGGAAATATCTTCCAATAAAAGCTAGATAGAAGCAATGTCAGAAACTTTTTCATGATGTATCTACTCAGCTAACAGAGTTGAACCTTTCCTTTGAGAGAGCAGTTTTGAAACACTCTTTTTGTGGAATCTGCAAGTGGATATTTGTCTAGCTTTGAGGATTTCGTTGGAAACGGGCTTACATATAAAAAGCAGACAGCAGCATTCCCAGTAACTTCTTTGTGATGTTTGCATTCAAGTCAGAGAGTTGAACATTCCCTTTCATAGAGCAGGTTTGAAACACTCTTTTTGAAGTATCTGGATGTGGACATTTGGAGCGCTTTCAGGCCTATGGTGAAAAAGGAAATATCTTCCCCTGAAAACTAGACAGAAGCATTCTCAGAAACTTATTTGTGATGTGCGCCCTCAACTAACAGTGTTGAACCTTTCTTTTGATAGAGCAGTTTTGAAACACTCTTTTTGTAAAATCTGCAAGAGGATATTTGGATAGCTTTGAGGATTTCGTTGGAAACGGGATTGTCTTCATATAAACTCTAGACAGAAGCATTATCAGAAGCTTCATTGGGATGTTTCAATTGAAGTCACAGTGTTGAACAGTCCCTTTCATAGAGCAGGTTTGAAACACTCTTTTTGTAGTATCTGGAAGTGGACATTTTGAGAGATCTCAGGAATACGGTGATAAAGGAAATATCTTCCAATAAAAGCTAGATAGAAGCATTCTCAGAAACTTATTTGTGATGTGCCCCCTAAACTAACAGTGTTGAAGCTTTCTTTTGATAGAGCAGTTTTGAAACACTCTTTTTGTGGAATCTGCAAGTGGATATTTGTCTAGCTTTGAGGATTTCGTTGGAAACGGGATTACATATAAAAAGCAGACAGCAGCATTCCCAGAATCTTCTTTGTGATGTTTGCATTCAAGTCACAGAGTTGAACATTCCCTTTCATAGAGCAGGTTTGAAACACTCTTTTTGTAGTATCTCGATGTGGACATTTGGAGCGCTTTCAGGCCTATGGTGAAAAAGGAAATATCTTCTCCTGAAAACTAGACAGAAGCATTCTCAGAATCTTATTTGTGATGTGCGCCCTCAACTAACAGTGTTGAAGCTTTCTTTTGATAGAGCAGATTTGAAACACTCTTTTTGTAAAATCTGCAAGAGGATATTTGCATAGCTTTGAGGATTTCATTGGAAACGGGATTGTCTTCAAATAAACTCTAGACAGAAGCATTCTCAGAAGCTTCATTGGGATGTTTCAATTGAAGTCACAGTGTTGAACAGTCCCTTTCATAGAGCAGGTTTCAAACACTCTTTTTGTAGTATCTGGAAGTGGACATTTGGAGCGCTCTCAGGACTACGATGATAAAGGAAATATCTTCCAATAAAAGCTAGATAGAAGCAATGTCAGAAACTTTTTCATGATGTATCTACTCAGCTAACAGAGTTGAACCTTTCTTTTGAGAGAGCAGTTTTGAAACACTCTTTTTGTGGAATCTGCAAGTGGATATTTGTCTAGCTTTGAGGATTTCGTTGGAAACGGGATTACATATAAAAAGCAGACAGCAGCATTCCCAGTAACTTCTTTGTGATGTTTGCATTCAAGTCACAGAGTTGAACATTCCCTTTCATAGAGCAGCTTTGAAACACTCTTTTTGTAGTATCTGCATGCGGACATTTGGAGCGCTTTCAGGCCTATGGTGAAAAAGGAAATATCTTCCCCAGAAAACTAGACAGAAGCATTCTCAGAAACTTATTTGTGATGTGCGCCCTCAACTAACAGTGTTGAACCTTTCTTTTGATAGAGCAGTTTTGAAACACTCTTTTTGTAAAATCTGCAAGAGGATATTTGGATAGCTTTGAGGATTTCGTTGGAAACGGGATTGTCTTCATATAGAATCTAGACAGAAGCATTCTCAGAAGCTTCATTGGGATGTTTCAATTGAAGTCACAGTGTTGAACAGTCCCTTTCATAGAGCAGGTTTGAAACACTCTTTTTGTAGTATCTGGAAGTGGACATTTGGAGCGTTCTCAGGACTACGGTGAAAAAGGAAATATCTTCCAATAAAAGCTAGATAGAAGCAATGTCAGAAAATTTTTCATGATGTATCTACTCAGCTAACAGAGTTGAACCTTTCTTTTGAGAGAGCAGTTTGGAAACCCTCTTTTTGTGGAATCTGCAAGTGGATATTTGTCTAGCTTTGAGGATTGCGTTTGAAACGGGGTTATATATAAAAAGCAGACAGCAGCATTCCCAGTAACTTCTTTGTGATGTTTGCATTCAAGTCACAGAGTTGAACATTCCCTTTCATAGAGCAGGTTTGAAACACTCTTTTTGTAGTATCTGGATGTGGACATTTGGAGCGCTTTCAGGCCTATGGTGAAAAAGGAAATATCTTCCCCTGAAAACTAGACAGAAGCATTCTCAGAAACTAATTTGTGATGTGCGCCCTCAACTAACAGTGTTGAAGCTTTCTTTTGATAGAGCAGTTTTGAAACACTCTTTTTGTAATATCTGCAAGAGGATATTTGGATATCTTTGAGGATTTCGTTGGAAACGGGATTGTCTTCATATAAACTCTAGACAAAAGCATTCTCAGAAGCTTCATTGGGATGTTTCAATTGAAGTCACAGTGTTGAACAGTCCCTTTCATAGAGCAGGTTTGAAACACTCTTTTTGTAGTATCTGGAAGTGGACATTTGGAGAGATCTCAGGAATACGGGGATAAAGGAAATATCTTCCAATAAAAGCTAGATAGAAGCAATGTCAGAAACTTTTTCATGATGTATCTACTCAGCTAACAGAGTTGAAACTTTATTTTGAGAGAGCAGTTTTGAAACACTCTTTTTGTGGAATCTGGAAGTGGATATTTGTCTAGCTTTGAGGATTTCGTTGGAAACGGGATTACATATAAAAAGCAGACAGCAGCATTCCCAGAAACTTCTTTGTGATGTTTGCATTCAAGTCACAGAGTTGAACATTCCCTTTCATAGAGCAGGTTTGAAACACTCTTTTTGTAGTATCTGTATGTGGACATTTGGAGCGCTTTCAGGCCTATGGAGAAAAAGGAAATATCTTCCCCTGAAAACTAGACAGAAGAATTTTCAGAATCTTATTTGTGATGTGCGCCCGCCCTCAACTAACAGTGTTGAAGCTTTCTTTTGATAGAGCAGTTTTGAAACACTCTTTTTGTAAAATCTGCAAGAGGATATTTGGATAGCCTTGAGGATTTCGTTGGAAACGGGATTGTCTTCACATAAACTCTAGACAGAAGCATTCTCAGAAGCTTCATTGGGATGTTTCAATTGAAGTCACAGTGTTGAACAGTCCCTTTCATAGAGCAAGTTTGAAACACTCTTTTTTTATTATCTGGAAGTGGACATTTGGAGTCCTCTCAGGACTACGGTGAAAAAGGAAATATCTTCCAATAAAAGCTAGATAGAAGGAATGTCAGAAACTTTTTCATGATGTATCTACTCAGCTAACAGAGTTGAACCTTTCTTTTGAGAGAGCAGTTTTGAAACACTCTTTTTGTGGAATCTGCAAGTGGATATTTGTCTAGCTTTGAGGATTTCGTTGGAAACGGGATTACATATAAAAAGCAGACAGCAGCATTCCCAGAAACTTCTTTGTGATGTTTGCATTCAAGTCACAGAGTTGAACATTCCCTTTCATAGCGCAGGTTTGAAACACTCTTTTTGTAGTATCTGTATGTGGACATTTGGAGCGCTTTCAGGCCTATGGTGAAAAAGGAAATATCTTCCGCTGAAAACTAGACAGAAGCATTCTCAGAAACTTATTTGTGATGTGCGCCCTCAACTAACAGTGTTGAACCTTTCTTTTGATAGAGCAGTTTTGAAACACTCTTTTTGTAATATCTGCAAGAGGATATTTGGATAGCTTTGAGGATTTCGTTGGAAACGGGATTGTCTTCATATAAACTCTAGACAGAAGCATTCTCAGAAGCTTCATTGGGATGTTTCAATTGAAGTCACAGTGTTGAACAGTTCCTTTCATAGAACAGGTTTGAAACACTCTTTTTGTAGTATCTGGAAGTGGACATTTGGAGCGCTCCCAGGACTATGGTGAAAAAGGAAATATCTTCCAATAAAAGCTACATAGAAGCAATGTCAGAAACTTTTTCATGATGTATCTACTCAGCTAACAGAGTTGAACCTTTCCTTTGAGAGAGCAGTTTTGAAACACTCTTTTTGTGGAATCTGCAAGTGGATATTTGTCTAGCTTTGAGGATTTCGTTGGAAACGGGATTACATATAAAAAGCAGACAGCAGCATTCCCAGAATCTTGTTTGTGACGTTTGCATTCAAGTCACAGAGTTGAACATTCCCTTTCAGAGAGCAGCTTTGAAACACTCTTTTTATAGTATCTGGATGTGGACATTTGGAGCGCTTTCAGGCCTATGGTGAAAAAGGAAATATCTTCTCCTGAAAACTAGACAGAAGCATTCTCAGAATCTTATTTGTGATGTGCGCCCTCAACTAACAGTGTTGAAGCTTTCTTTTGATAGAGCAGTTTTGAAACACTCTTTTTGTAAAATCTGCAAGAGGATATTTGGATAGCTTTGAGGATTTCGTTGGAAACGGGATTGTCTTCATATAAACTCTAGACAGAAGCATTCTCAGAAGCTTCATTGGGATGTTTCAGTTGAAGTCACAGTGTTGAACAGTCCCTTTCATAGAGCAGGTTTGAAACACTCTTTTTGTAGTATCTGGAAGTGGACATTTGGAGCGCTCTCAGGACTGCGGTGAAAAAGGAAATATCTTCCAATAAAAGCTAGATAGAAGCAATGTCAGAAACTTTTTCATGATGTATCTACTCAGCTAACAGAGTTGAACCTTCCTTTGAGAGAGCAGTTTTGAAACACTCTTTTTGTGGAATCTGCAAGTGGATATTTGTCTAGCTTTGAGGATTTCGTTGGAAACGGGATTACATATAAAAAGCAGACAGCGGCATTCCCAGAAACTTCTTTGTGATGTTTGCATTCAAGTCACAGAGTTGAACATTCCCTTTCATAGAGCAGGTTTGAAACACTCTTTTTGTAGTATCTGGATGTGGACATTTACAGCGCTTTCAGGCCTAAGGTGAAAAAGGAAATATCTTCCCCTGAAAACTAGACAGAAGCATTCTCAGAAACTTATTTGTGATGTGCGCCCTCAACTAACAGTGTTGAAGCTTTCTTTTGATAGAGCAGTTTTGAAAAACTCTTTTTGTGGAATCTGCAAGTGGATATTTGTCTAGCTTTGAGGATTTCGTTGGAAACGGGATTACATATAAAAAGCAGACAGCAGCATTCCCAGAATCTTGTTTGTGATGTTTGCATTCAAGTCACAGAGTTGAACATTCCCTTTCATAGAGCAGGTTTGAAACACTCTTTTTGTAGTATCTGGATGTGGACATTTGGAGCGCTTTCAGGCCTATGGTGAAAAAGGAAATATCTTCCCCTGAAAACTAGACAGAAGCATTCTCAGAATCTTATTTGTGATGTGCGCCCTCAACTAACAGAGTTGAAGCTTTCTTTTGATAGAGCAGTTTTGAAACACTCTTTTTGTAAAATCTGCAAGAGGATATTTGGATAGCTTTGAGGATTTCGTTGGAAACGGGATTGTCTTCATATAAACTCTAGACAGAAGCATTCTCAGAAGCTTCATTGGGATGTTTCAATTGAAGTCACAGTGTTGAACAGTCCCTTTCATAGAGCAGGTTTGAAACACTCTTTTTGTAGTATCTGGAAGTGGACATTTGGAGCGCTCTCAGGACTACGGTGAAAAAGGAAGTATCTTCCAATAAAAGCTAGATAGAAGCAATGTCAGAAACTTTTTCATGATGTATCTACTCAGCAAACAGAGTTGAACCTTTCTTTTGAGAGAGCAGTTTTGAAACACTCTTTTTGTGGAATCTGCAAGTGGATATTTGTCTAGCTTTGAGGATTTCGTTTGAAACGGGATTACATATAAAAAGCAGACAGCAGCATTCCCAGTAACTTCTTTGTGATGTTTGCATTCAAGTCACAGAGTTGAACATTCCCTTTCATAGAGCAGGTTTGAAACACTCTTTTTGTAGTATCTGGATGTGGACATTTGGAGCGCTTTCAGGCCTATGCTGAAAAAGGAAATATCTTCTCCTGAAAACTAGACAGAAGCATTCTCAGAAACTTATTTGTGATGTGCGCCCTCAACTAACAGTGTTGAACCTTTCTTTTGATAGAGCAGTTTTGAAACACTCTTTTTGTAAAATCTGCAAGAGGATATTTGGATAGCTTTGAGGATTTCGTTGGAAACGGGATTGTCTTCATATAAACTCTAGACAGAAGAATTCTCAGAAGCTTCATTGGGATGTTTCAATTGAAGTCACAGTGTTGAACAGTCCCTTTCATAGAGCAGGTTTGAAACACTCTTTTTGTAGTATCTGGATGTGGACATTTGGAGCGTTTGCAGGCCTATGGTTTAAAAGGAAATATCTTCCCCTGAAAACTAGACAGAAGCATTCTCAGAAACTTATTTGTGATGTGCGCCCTCAACTAACAGTGTTGAAGCATTCTTTTGATAGAGCAGTTTTGAAAAACTCTTTTTGTGGAATCTGCAAGTGGATATTTGTCTAGCTTTGAGGATTTCGTTGGAAACGGGATTACATATAAAAAGCAGACAGCAGCATTCCCAGAATCTTGTTTGTGATGTTTGCATTCAAGTCACAGAGTTGAACATTCCCTTTCAGAGAGCAGGTTTGAAACACTCTTTTTATAGTATCTGGATGTGGACATTTGGAGCGCTTTCAGGCCTATGGTGAAAAAGGAAATATCTTCTCCTGAAATCTAGACAGAAGCATTCTCAGAATCTTATTTGTGATGTGCACCCTCAACTAACAGTGTTGAAGCTTTCTTTTGATAGAGCAGTTTTGAAACACTCTTTTCGTAAAATCTGCAAGAGGATATTTGGATAGCTTTGAGGATTTCGTTGGAAACGGGATTGACTTCATATAAACTCTAGACAGAAGCATTCTCAGAAGCTTCATTGGGATGTTTCAACTGAAGTCACAGTGTTGAACAGTCCCTTTCATAGAGCAGGTTTGAAACACTCTTTTTGTAGTATCTGGAAGTGGACATTTGGAGCACTCTCAGGACTGCGGTGAAAAAGGAAATATCTTCCAATAAAAGCTAGATAGAAGCAATGTCAGAAACTTTTTCATGATGTATCTACTCAGCTAACAGAGTTGAACCTTCCTTTGAGAGAGCAGTTTTGAAACACTCTTTTTGTGGAATCTGCAAGTGGATATTTGTCTAGCTTTGAGGATTTCGTTGGAAACGGGATTACATATAAAAAGCAGACAGCAGCATTCCCAGAAACTTCTTTGTGATGTTTGCATTCAAGTCACAGAGTTGAACATTCCCTTTCATAGAGCAGGTTTGAAACACTCTTTTTGGAGTATCTGGATGTGGACATTTGGAGCGCTTTCAGGCCTATGGTGAAAAAGGAAATATCTTCCCCTGAAAACTAGACAGAAGCATTCTCAGAAACTTATTTGTGATGTGCGCCCTCAACTAACAGTGTTGAACCTTTCTTTTGATAGAGCAGTTTTGAAACACTCTTTTTGTAAAATCTGCAAGAGGATATTTGGATAGCTTTGAGGATTTCGTTGGAAACGGGATTGTCTTCATATAATCTCTAGACAGAAGCATTCTCAGAAGCTTCATTGGGATGTTTCAATTGAAGTCACAGTGTTGAACAGTCCCTTTCATAGAGCAGGTTTGAAACACTCTTTTTGTAGTATCTGGATGTGGACATTTGGAGCGCTTTCAGGCCTATGGTGAAAAAGGAAATATCTTCCCCTGAAAACTAGACAGAAGCATTCTCAGAAACTTATTTGTGATGTGCGCCTTCAACTAACAGTGTTGAAGCATTCTTTTGATAGAGCAGTTTTGAAACACTCTTTTTGTGGAATCTGCAAGTGGATATTTGTCTAGCTTTGAGGATTTCGTTGGAAACGGGATTACATATAAAAAGCAGACAGCTAAGCATTCTCCGAAACTTATTTGTGATGGGCGCCCTCAACTAACAGTGTTGAAGCTTTCTTTTGATAGAGCAGTTTTGAAACACTCTTTTTGTAATATCTGCAAGAGGATATTTGGATAGCTTTCAGGATTTCGTTGGAAACGGGATTGTCTTCATATAAACTCTAGACATAAGCATTCTCAGAAGCTTCATTGGGATGTTTCAATTGAAGTCACAGTGTTGAACAGTCCCTTTCATAGAGCAGGTTTGAAACACTCCTTTTGTAGTATCTGGAAGTGTACATTTGGAGCGCTCTCAGGACTGCGGTGAAAAAGGAAATATCTTCCAATAAAAGCTAGATAGAAGCAATGTCAGAAACTTTTTCATGATGTATCTACTCAGCTAAAAGAGTTGAACCTTCCTTTGAGAGAGCAGTTTTGAAACACTCTTTTTGTGGAATCTGCAAGTGGATATTTGTCTAGCTTTGAGGATTTCGTTGGAAACGGGATTACATATAAAAAGCAGACAGCAGCATTCCCAGAAACTTCTTTGTGATGTTTGCATTCAAGTCACAGAGTTGAACATTCCCTTTCATAGAGCAGGTTTGAAACACTCTTTTTGTAGTATCTGGATGTGGACATTTGCAGCGCTTTCAGGCCTAAGGTGAAAAAGGAAATATCTTCCCCTGAAAACTAGACAGAAGCATTCTCAGAAACTTATTTGTGATGTGCGCCCTCAACTAACAGTGTTGAAGCTTTCTTTTGATAGAGCAGTTTTGAAACACTCTTTTTGTAATATCTGCAAGAGGATATTTGGATAGCTTTGAGGATTTCGTTGGAAACGGGATTAATTATAAAAAGCAGACAGCAGCATTCCCAGAATCTTATTTGTGATGTTTGCATTCAAGTCACAGAGTTGAACATTCCCTTTCAGAGAGCAGGTTTGAAACACTCTTTTTATAGTATCTGGATGTGGACATTTGGAGCGCTTTCAGGCCTATGGTGAAAAAGGAAATATCTTCTCCTGAAAACTAGAGAGAAGAATTCTCAGAATCTTATTTGTGATGTGCGCCCTCAACTAACAGTGTTGAAGCTTTCTTTTGATAGAGCAGTTTTGAAACACTCTTTTTGTAAAATCTGCAAGAGGATATTTGGATAGCTTTGAGGATTTCGTTGGAAACGGGATTGTCTTCATACAATCTCTAGACCGAAGCATTCTCAGAAGCTTCATTGGGATGTTTCAATTGAAGTCACAGTGTTGAACAGTCCCTTTCATAGAGCAGGTTTGAAACACTCTTTTTGTAGTATCTGGAAGTGGACATTTGGAGCGCTCTCAGGACTACGGTGAAAAAGGAAATATCTTCTCCTGAAAACTAGACAGAAGCATTCTCAGAAACTTATTTGTGATGTGCGCCCTCAACTAACAGTGTTGAAGCATTCTTTTGATAGAGCAGTTTTGAAACACTCTTTTTGTGGAATCTGCAAGTGGATATTTGTCTAGCTTTGAGGATTTCGTTGGAAACGGGATTACATATAAAAAGCAGACAGCAGCATTCCCAGAAACTTCTTTGTGATGTTTGCATTCAAGTCACAGAGTTGAACATTCCCTTTCAGAGAGCAGGTTTGAAACACTCTTTTTGTAGTATCTGGATGTGGACATTTGGAGCGCTTTCAGGCCTATGGTGAAAAAGGAAATATCTTCCCCTGAAAACTAGACAGAAGCATTCTCAGAAACTTATTTGTGATGTGCCCCCTCAACTAACAGTGTTGAAGCTTTCTTTTGATAGAGCAGTTTTGAAACACTCTTTTTGTAATATCTGCAAGAGGATATTTGGATAGCTTTGAGGATTTCGTTGGAAACGGGATTGTCTTCATATAAACTCTAGACAGAAGCATTCTCAGAAGCTTCATTGGGATGTTTCAATTGAAGTCACAGTGTTGAACAGTCCCTTTCATAGAGCAGGTTTGAAACACTCTTTTTGTAGTATCTGGATGTGGACATTTGGAGCGCTTTCAGGCCTATGGTGAAAAAGGAAATATCTTCCCCTGAAAACTAGACAGAAGCATTCTCAGAAACTTATTTGTGATGTGCGCCCTCAACTAACAGTGTTGAAGCATTCTTTTGATAGAGCAGTTTTGAAACACTCTTTTTGTGGAATCTGCAAGTGGATATTTGTCTAGCTTTGAGGATTTCGTTGGAAACGGGATTACATATAAAAAGCAGACAGCAGCATTCCCAGTAACTTCTTTGTGATGTTTTCATTCAAGTCACAGAGTTGAACATTCCCTTTCATAGAGCAGGTTTGAAACACTCTTTTTGTACTATCTGGATGTGGACATTTGGAGCGCTTTCAGGCCTATGGTGAAAAAGGAAATATCTTCCCCTGAAAACTAGACAGAAGCATTCTCAGAAACTTATTTGTGATGTGCGCCCTCAACTAACAGTGTTGAACCTTTCTTTTGATAGAGCAGTTTTGAAACACTCTTTTTGTAATATCTGCAAGAGGATATTTGGATAGCTTTGAGGATTTCGTTGGAAACGGGATTGTCTTCATATAAACTCTAGACAGAAGCATTCTCAGAAGCTTCATTGGGATGTTTCAATTGAAGTCACAGTGTTGAACAGTTCCTTTCATAGAACAGGTTTGAAACACTCTTTTTGTAGTATCTGGAAGTGGACATTTGGAGCGCTCTCAGGACTATGGTGAAAAAGGAAATATCTTCCTATAAAAGCTACATAGAAGCTATGTCACAAACTTTTTCATGATGTATCTACTCAGCTAACAGAGTTGAACCTTTCCTTTGAGAGAGCAGTTTTGAAACACTCTTTTTGTGGAATCTGCAAGTGGATATTTGTCTAGCTTTGAGGATTTCGTTGGAAACGGGATTACATATAAAAAGCAGACAGCAGCATTCCCAGAATCTTGTTTGTGATGTTTGCATTCAAGTCACAGAGTTGAACATTCCCTTTCAGAGAGCAGGTTTGAAACACTCTTTTTATAGTATCTGGATGTGGACATTTGGAGCGCTTTCAGGCCTATGGTGAAAAAGGAAATATCTTCTCCTGAAAACTAGACAGAAGCATTCTCAGAATCTTATTGGTGATGTGCGCCCTCAACTAACAGTGTTGAAGCTTTCTTTTGATAGAGCAGTTTTGAAACACTCTTTTCGTAAAATCTGCAAGAGGATATTTGGATAGCTTTGAGGATTTCGTTGGAAACGGGATTGTCTTCATATAAACTCTAGACAGAAGCATTCTCAGAAGCTTCATTGGGATGTTTCAATTGAAGTCACAGTGTTGAACAGTCCCTTTCATAGAGCAGGTTTGAAACACTCTTTTTGTAGTATCTGGAAGTGGACATTTGGAGCGCTCTCAGGACTGCGGTGAAAAAGGAAGTATCTTCCAATAAAAGCTAGATAGAAGCAATGTCAGAAACTTTTTCATGATGTATCTACTCAGCTAACAGAGTTGAACCTTCATTTGAGAGAGCAGTTTTGAAACACTCGTTTTGTGGAATCTGCAAGTGGATATTTGTCTAGCTTTGAGGATTTCGTTGGAAACGGGATTACATATAAAAAGCAGACAGCAGCATTCCCAGAAACTTCTTTGTGATGTTTGCATTCTAGTCACAGAGTTGAACATTCCCTTTCATAGAGCAGGTTTGAAACACTCTTTTTGTAGTATCTGGATGTGGACATTTGCAGCGCTTTCAGGCCTAAGGTGAAAAAGGAAATATCTTCCCCTGAAAACTAGACAGAAGCATTCTCAGAATCTTATTTGTGATGTGCGCCCTCAACTAACAGTGTTGAAGCTTTCTTTTGATAGAGCAGTTTTGAAACACTCTTTTTGTAAAATCTGCAAGAGGATATTTGGATAGCTTTGAGGATTTCGTTGGAAACGGGATTGTCTTCATATAAACTCTAGACAGAAGCATTCTCAGAAGCTTCATTGGGATGTTTCAATTGAAGTCACAGTGTTGAACAGTCCCTTTCATAGAGCAGGTTTGAAACACTCTTTTTGTAGTATCTGGAAGTGGACATTTGGAGAGATCTCAGGAATACGGTGATAAAGGAAATATCTTCCAATAAAAGCTAGATAGAAGCAATGTCAGAAACTTTTTCATGATGTACCTACTCAGCTAACAGAGTTGAACCTTTCTTTTGAGAGAGCAGTTTTGAAACACTCTTTTTGTGGAATCTGCAAGTGGATATTTGTCTAGTTTTGAGGATTTCGTTGGAAACGGGATTACATATAAAAAGCAGACAGCAGCATTCCCAGTAACTTCTTTGTGATGTTTGCATTCAAGTCACAGAGGTTGAACATTCCCTTTCATAGAGCAGGTTTGAAACACTCTTTTTGTAGTATCTGGATGTGGACATTTGGAGCGCTTTCAGGCCTATGGTGAAAAAGGAAATATCTTCCCCTGAAAACTAGACAGAAGCATTCTCAGAAACTTATATGTGATGTGCGCCCTCAACTAACAGTGTTGAACCTTTCTTTTGATAGGGCAGTTTTGAAGCACTCTTTGTGTAAAATCTGCAAGAGGATATTTGGATAGCTTTGAGGATTTCGTTGGAAACGAGATTGTCTTCATATAAACTCTAGACAGAAGCATTCTCAGAAGCTTCATTGGGATGTTTCAATTGAAGTCACAGTGTTGAACAGTCCCTTTGATAGAGCAGGTTTGAAACACTCTTTTTGTAGTATCTGGATGTGGACATTTGCAGCGCTTTCAGGCATAAGGTGAAAAAGGAAATATCTTCCCCTGAAAACTAGACAGAAGCATTCTCAGAAACTTATTTGTGATGTGCGCCCTCAACTAACAGTGTTGAAGCTTTCTTTTGATAGAGCAGTTTTGAAACACTCTTTTTGTGGAATCTGCAAGTGGATATTTGTCTAGCTTTGAGGATTTCGTTGGAAACGGGATTACATATAAAAAGCAGACAGCAGCATTCCCAGAAACTTCTTTGTGAAGTTTGCATTCAAGTCACAGAGTTGAACATTCCCTTTCATAGAGCAGGTTTGAAACACTCTTTTTGTAGTATCTGTATGTGGACATTTGGAGCGCTTTCAGGCCTATGGTGAAAAAGGAAATATCTTCCCCTGAAAACTAGACAGAATCATTCTCAGAAACTTATTTGTGATGTGCGCCCTCAACTAAAAGTGTTGAACCTTTCTTTTGATAGAGCAGTTTTGAAACACTCTTTTTGTAATATTTGCAAGAGGATATTTGGATAGCTTTAAGGATTTCGTTGGAAACGGGATAGTCTTCATATAAACTCTAGACAGAAGCATTCTCAGAAGCTTCATTGGGATGTTTCAATTGAAGTCACAGTGTTGAACAGTTCCTTTCATAGAACAGGTTTGAAACACTCTTTTTGTAGTATCTGGAAGTGGACATTTTGAGCGCTCTCAGGACTATGGTGAAAAAGGAAATATCTTCCAATAAAAGCTACATAGAAGCAGTGTCAGAAACTTTTTCATGATGTATCTACTCAGCTAACAGAGTTGAACCTTTCCTTTTAGAGAGCAGTTTTGAAACACTCTTTTTGTGGAATCTGCAAGTGGATATTTGTCTAGCTTTGAGGATTTCGTTGGAAACGGGATTACATATGAAAAGCAGACAGCAGCATTCCCAGAAACTTCTTTGTGATATTTGCATTCAAGTCACAGACTTGAACATTCCCTTCCATAGAGCGGGTTTGAAACACTCTTTTTGTAGTATCTGGATGTGGACATTTGGAGCGCTTTCAGGCCTATGGTGAAAAAGGAAATATCTTCCCCTGAAAACTAGACAGTAGCATTCTCAGAAACTTATTTGTGACGTGCGCCCTCAACTAACAGTGTTAAACCTTTCTTTTGATAGAGTAGTTTTGAAACACACTTTTTGTAAAATCTGCAAGAGGATATTTGGATAGCTTTGAAGATTTCGTTGGAAACGGGATTGTCTTCATATAAACTGTAGACAGTAGCATTCTCAGAAGCGTCATTGGGATGTTTCAATTGAAGTCACAGTGTTGAACATTCCCTTTCATAGAGCAGGTTTGAAACACTCTTTTTGTAGTATCTGGATGTGGACATTTGGAGCGCTTTCAGGCCTATGGTTTAAAAGGAAATATCTTCCCCTGAAAACTAGACAGAAGCATTCTCAGAAACTTATTTGTGATGTGCGACCTCAACTAACAGTGTTGAAGCTTTCTTTTGATAGAGTAGTTTTGAAACACTCTTTTTGTGGAATCTGCAAGTGGATATTTGTCTAGCTTTGAGGATTTCGTTGGAAACGGGATTACATATAAAAAGCAGACAGCAGCATTCTCAGTAAACTTATTTGTGATGTGCGCCCTCAACTAACAGTGTTGAACCTTTCTTTTGATAGAGCAGTTTTGAAACACTCTTTTTGTAATATCTGCAAGAGGATATTTGGATAGCTTTGAGGATTTCGTTGGAAACGGGATTGTCTTCATATAAACTCTAGACAGAAGCATTCTCAGAAGCTTCATTGGGATGTTTCAATTGAAGTCACAGTGTTGAACAGTCCCTTTCATAGAGCAGGTTTGAAACACTCTTTTTGTAGTATCTGGAAGTGGACATTTGGAGCGCTCTCAGGACTAAGGTGATAAAGGAAATATCTTCCAATAAAAGCTAGATAGAAGCAATGTCAGAAACTTTTTCATGATGTATCTACTCAGCTAACAGAGTTGAACCTTCTTTTGAGAGAGCAGTTTTGAAACACTCGTTTTGTGGAATCTGCAAGTGGATATTTGTCTAGCTTTGAGGATTTCGTTGGAAACGGGATTACATATAAAAAGCAGACAGCAGCATTCCCAGAAACTTCTTTGTGATGTTTGCATTCAAGTCACAGAGTTGAACATTCCGTTTCATAGAGCAGGTTTGAAACACTCTTTTTGTAGTATCTGGATGTGGACATTTGCAGCGCTTTCAGGCATAAGGTGAAAAAGGAAATATCTTCCCCTGAAAACTAGACAGAAGCATTCTCAGAAACTTATTTGTAATGTGCGCCCTCAACTAACAGTGTTGAAGCTTTCTTTTGATAGAGCAGTTTTGAAACACTCTTTTTGTAATATCTGCAAGAGGATATTTGGATAGCTTTGAGGATTTCGTTGGAAACGGGATTGTCTTCATATAAACTCTAGACAGAAGCATTCCCAGAAGCTTCATTGGGATGTTTCAATTGAAGTCACAGTGTTGAACAGTTCCTTTCATAGAACAGGTTTGAAACACTCTTTTTGTAGTATCTGGAAGTGGACATTTGGAGCGCTCTCAGGACTATGGTGAAAAAGGAAATATCTTCCAATAAAAGCTACATAGAAGCAATGTCAGAAACTTTTTCATGATGTATCTACTCAGCTAACAGAGTTGAACCTTTCCTTTGAGAGAGCAGTTTTGAAACACTCTTTTTGTGGAATCTGCAAGTGGATATTTGTCTAGCTTTGAGGATTTCTTTGGAAACGGGATTACATATAAAAAGCAGACAGCAGCATTCCCAGTAACTTCTTTGTGATGTTTGCATTCAAGTCACAGAGTTGAACATTCCCTTTCATAGAGCAGGTTTGAAACACTCTTTTTGTAGTATCTGGATGTGGACATTTGGAGCGCTTTCAGGCCTAGGGTGAAAAAGGAAATATCTTCCCCTGAAAACTAGACAGAAGCATTCTCAGAAACTTATTTGTGATGTGCGCCCTCAACTAACAGTGTTGAACCTTTCTTTTGATAGAGCAGTTTTGAAACACTCTTTTTGTAATATCTGCAAGAGGATATTTGGATAGCTTTGAGGATTTCGTTGGAAACGGGATTACATATAAAAAGCAGACAGCAGCATTCCCAGAATCTTGTTTGTGATGTTTGCATTCAAGTCACAGAGTTGAACATTCCCTTTCAGAGAGCAGGTTTGAAACACTCTTTTTATAGTATCTGGATGTGGACATTTGGAGCGCTTTCAGGTCTATGGTGAAAAAGGAAATATCTTCTCCTGAAAACTAGACAGAAGCATTCTCAGAATCTTATTTGTGATGTGCGCCCTCAACTAACAGTGTTGAAGCTTTCTTTTGATAGAGCAGTTTTGAAACACTCTTTTCGTAAAATCTGCAAGAGGATATTTTGATAGCTTTGAGGATTTCGTTGGAAACGGGATTGTCTTCATATAAACTCTAGACAGAAGCATTCTCAGAAGCTTCATTGGGATGTTTCAATTGAAGTCACAGTGTTGAACAGTCCCTTTCATAGAGCAGGTTTGAAACACTCTTTTTGTAGTATCTGGAAGTGGACATTTGGAGAGATCTCAGGAATACGGTGATAAAGGAAATATCTTCCAATAAAAGCCAGATAGAAGCAATGTCAGAAACTTTTTCATGATGTATCTACTCAGCTAACAGAGTTGAACCTTTCTTTTGAGAGAGCAGTTTTGAAACACTCTTTTTGTGGAATCTGCAAGTGGATATTTGTCTAGCTTTGAGGATTTCGTTGGAAACGGGATTACATATAAAAAGCAGACAGCAGCATTCCCAGAAACTTCTTTGTGATGTTTGCATTCAAGTCACAGAGTTGAACATTCCCTTTCATAGAGCAGGTTTGAAACACTCTTTTTGTAGTATCTGGATGTGGACATTTGCAGCGCTTTCAGGCCTAAGGTGAAAAAGGAAATATCTTCCCCTGAAAACTAGACAGAAGCATTCTCAGAAACTTATTTGTGATGTGCGCCCTCAACTAACAGTGTTGAAGCTTTCTTTTGATAGAGCAGTTTTGAAACACTCTTTTTGTGGAATCTGCAAGTGGATATTTGTCTAGCTTTGAGGATTTCGTTGGAAACGGGATTACATATAAAAAGCAGACAGCAGCATTCCCAGAAACTTCTTTGTGATGTTTGCATTCAAGTCACAGAGTTGAACATTCCCTTTCATAGAGCAGGTTTGAAACAATCTTTTTGTAGTATCTGGATGTGGACATTTGGAGCGCTTTCAGGCCTATGGTGAAAAAGGAAATATCTTCCCCTGAAAACTAGACAGAAGCATTCTCAGAATCTTATTTGTGATGTGCGCCCTCAACTAACAGTGTTGAAGCTTTCTTTTGATAGAGCAGTTTTGAAACACTCTTTTTGTAAAATCTGCAAGAGGATATTTGGATAGCTTTGAGGATTTCGTTGGAAACGGGATTGTCTTCATATAAACTCTAGACAGAAGCATTCTCAGAAGCTTCATTGGGATGTTTCAATTGAAGTCACAGTGTTGAACAGTCCCTTTCGTAGAGCAGGTTTGAAACACTCTTTTTGTAATATCTGGAAGTGGACATTTGGAGCGTTCTCAGGACTATGGTGAAAAAGGAAATATCTTCCAATAAAAGCTAGATAGAAGCAATGTCAGAAACTTTTTCATGATGTATCTACTCAGCTAACAGAGTTGAACCTTTCTTTTGAGAGAGCAGTTTTGAAACAGTCTTTTTGTTGGATCTGCAGGTGGATATTTGTCTAGCTTTGAGGATTTCGTTGGAAACGGGATTACATATAAAAAGCAGACAGCAGCATTCCCAGAAAGTTCTTTGTGAAATTTGCATTCAAGTCACAGACTTGAACATTCCCTTTCATAGAGCAGGTTTGAAACACTCTTTTTGTAGTATCTGGATGTGGACATTTGGAGCGCTTTCAGGCCTATGGTGAAAAAGGAAATATCTTCCCCTGAAAACTAGACAGAAGCATTCTCAGAAACTTATTTGTGATGTGCGCCCTCAACTAACAGTGTTGAAGCTTTCTTTTGATAGAGCAGTTTTGAAACACTCTTTTTGTAATATCTGCAAGAGGATATTTGGATAGCTTTGAGGATTTCGTTGGAAACGGGATTGTCTTCATATAAACTCTAGACAGAAGCATTCTCAGAAGCTTCATTGGGATGTTTCAATTGAAGTCACAGTGTTGAACAGTCCCTTTCATAGAGCAGGTTTGAAACACTCTTTTTGTAGTATCTGGAAGTGGACATTTGGAACGCTCTCAGGACTGCGGTGAAAAAGGAAATATCTTCCAATAAAAGCTAGATAGAAGCAATGTCAGAAACTTTTTCATGATGTATCTACTCAGCTAACAGAGTTGAACCTTCCTTTGAGAGAGCAGTTTTGAAACACTCGTTTTGTGGAATCTGCAAGTGGATATTTGTCTAGCTTTGAGGATTTCGTTGGAAACGGGATTACATATAAAAAGCAGACAGCAGCATTCCCAGAAACTTCTTTGTGTTGTTTGCATTCAAGTCACAGAGTTGAACATTCCCTTTCATAGAGCAGGTTTGAAACACTCTTTTTGTAGTATCTGGATGTGGACATTTGCAGCGCTTTCAGGCCTAAGGTGAAAAAGGAAATATCTTCCCCTGAAAACTAGACAGAAGCATTCTCAGAAACTTATTTGTGATGTGCGCCCTCAACTAACAGTGTTGAAGCTTTCTTTTGATAGAGCAGTTTTGAAACACTCTTTTTGTAATATCTGCAAGAGGATATTTGGATAGCTTTGAGGATTTCGTTGGAAACGGGATTGTCTTCATATAAACTCTAGACAGAAGCATTCTCAGAAGCTTCATTGGGATGTTTCAATTGAAGTTGCAGTGTTGAACAGTCCCTTTCATAGAGCAGGTTTGAAACACTCTTTTTGTAGTATCTGGATGTGGACATTTGGAGCGCTTTCAGGCATATGGTTTAAAAGGAAATATCTTCCCCTGAAAACTAGACAGAAGCATTCTCAGAAACTTATTTGTGATGTGCGCCCTCAACTAAGAGTGTTGAAGCATTCTTTTGAGAGAGCAGTTTTGAAACACTCTTTTTGTGGAATCTGCAAGTGGATATTTGTCTAGCTTTGAGGATTTCGTTGGAAACGGGATTACATATAAAAAGCAGACAGCAGCATTCCCAGTAACTTCTTTGTGATGTTTGCATTCAAGTCACAGAGTTGAACATTCCCTTTCATAGAGCAGGTTTGAAACACTCTTTTTGTAGTATCTGGATGTGGACATTTGGAGCGCTTTCAGGCCTATGGTGAAAAAGGAAATATCTTCCCCAGAAAACTAGACAGAAGCATTCTCAGAATCTTATTTGTGATGTGCGCCCTCAACTAACAGTGTTGAAGCTTTCTTTTGATAGAGCAGTTTTGAAACACTCTTTTTGTAAAATCTGCAAGAGGATATTTGGATAGCTTTGAGGATTTCGTTGGAAACGGGATTGTCTTCATATAAACTCTAGACAGAAGCATTCTCAGAAGCTTCATTGGGATGTTTCAATTGAAGTCACAGTGTTGAACAGTCCCTTTCATAGAGCAGGTTTGAAATACTCTTTTTGTAGTATCTGGAAGTGGACATTTGGAGAGATCTCAGGAATACGGTGATAAAGGAAATATCTTCCAATAAAAGCTAGATAGAAGCAATGTCAGAAACTTTTTCATGATGTATCTACTCAGCTAACAGAGTTGAACCTTTCCTTTGAGAGAGCAGTTTTGAAACACTCTTTTTGTGGAATCTGCAAGTGGATATTTGTCTAGCTTTGAGGATTTCGTTGAGCAACGGGATTACATATAAAAAGCAGACAGCAGCATTCCCAGTAATCTTCTTTGTGATGTTTGCATTCAAGTCACAGAGTTGAACATTCCCTTTCATAGAGCAGGTTTGAAACACTCTTTTTGAAGTATCTGGATGTGGACATTTGGAGCGCTTTCAGGCCTATGGTGAAAAAGGAAATATCTTCCCCTGAAAACTAGACAGAAGCATTCTCAGAAACTTATTTGTGATGTGCGCCCTCAACTAACAGTGTTGAAGCTTTCTTTTGATAGAGCAGTTTTGAAACACTCTTTTTGTAAAATCTGCAAGAGGATATTTGGATAGCTTTGAGGATTTCGTTGGAAACGGGATTGTCTTCATATAAACTCTAGACAGAAGCATTCTCAGAAGCTTCATTGGGATGTTTCAATTGAAGTCACAGTGTTGAACAGTCCCTTTCATAGAGCAGGTTTGAAACACTCTTTTTGTAGTATCTGGAAGTGGACATTTGGAACGCTCTCAGGACTGCGGTGAAAAAGGAAATATCTTCCAATAAAAGCTAGATAGAAGCAATGTCAGAAACTTTTTCATGATGTATCTACTCAGCTAACAGAGTTGAACCTTCATTTGAGAGAGCAGTTTTGAAACACTCGTTTTGTGGAATCTGCAAGTGGATATTTGTCTAGCTTTGAGGATTTCGTTGGAAACGGGATTACATATAAAAACCAGACAGCAGCATTCCCAGAAACTTCTTTGTGATGTTTGCATTCAAGTCACAGAGTTGAACATTCCCTTTCATAGAGCAGGTTTGAAACACTCTTTTTGTAGTATCTGGATGTGGACATTTGCAGCGCTTTCAGGCCTAAGGTGAAAAAGGAAATATCTTCCCCTGAAAACTAGACAGAAGCAATGTCAGAAACTTTTTCATGATGTATCCACTCAGCTAACAGAGTTGAACCTTTCTTTTGAGAGAGCAGTTTTGAAACACTCTTTTTGTGGAATCTGCATCTGGATATTTTTCTAGCTTTGAGGATTTCGTTGGAAACGGGATTACATATAAAAAGCAGACAGCAGCATTCCCAGAATCTTGTTTGTGATGTTTGCATTCAAGTCACAGAGTTGAACATTCCCTTTCAGAGAGCAGGTTTGAAACACTCTTTTTATAGTATCTGGATGTGGACATTTGGAGCGCTTTCAGGCCTATGGTGAAAAAGGAAATATCTTCTCCTGAAAACTAGACAGAAGCATTCTCAGAATCTTATTTGTGATGTGCGCCCTCAACTAACAGTGTTGAAGCTTTCTTTTGATAGAGCAGTTCTGAAACACTCTTTTTGTAATATGTGCAAGAGGATATTTGGATAGCTTTGAGGATTTCGTTGGAAACGGGATTGTCTTCATATAAACTCTAGACAGAAGCATTCTCAGAAGCTTCATTGGGATGTTTCAATTGAAGTCACAGTGTTGAACAGTTCCTTTCATAGAACAGGTTTGAAACACTCTTTTTGTAGTATCTGGAAGTGGACATTTGGAGCGCTCTCAGGACTATGGTGAAAAAGGAAATATCTTCCAATAAAAGCTACATAGAAGCAATGTCAGAAACTTTTTCATGATGTATCTACTCAGCTAACAGAGTTGAACCTTTCCTTTGAGAGAGCAGTTTTGAAACACTCTTTTTGTGGAATCTGCAAGTGGATATTTGTCTAGCTTTGAGGATTTCGTTGGAAACGGGATTACATATAAAAAGCAGACAGCAGCATTCCCAGTAACTTCTTTGTGATGTTTTCATTCAAGTCACAGAGTTGAACATTCCCTTTCATAGAGCAGGTTTGAAACACTCTTTTTGAAGTATCTGGATGTGGACATTTGGAGCGCTTTCAGGCCTATGGTGAAAAAGGAAATATCTTCCCCTGAAAACTAGACAGAAGCATTCTCAGAATGTTATTTGTTATGTGCGCCCTCAACTAACAGTGTTGAAGCTTTCTTTTGATAGAGCAGTTTTGAAACACTCTTTTTGTAAAATCTGCAAGAGGATATTTGGATAGCTTTGAGGATTTCTTTGGAAACGGGATTGTCTTCATATAAATTCTAGACAGAAGCATTCTCAGAAGCTTCATTGGGATGTTTCAATTGAAGTCACAGTGTTGAACAGTCCCTTTCATAGAGCAGGTTTGAAACACTCTTTTTGTAGTATCTGGATGTGGACATTTAGAGCGCTTTCAGGCCTATGGTGAAAAAGGAAATATCTTCCCCTGAAAACTAGACAGAAGCATTCTCAGAAACTTATTTGTGATGTGCGCCCTCAACTAACAGTGTTGAAGCTTTCTTTTGATAGAGCAGTTTTGAAACACTCTTTTTGTGGAATCTGCAAGTGGATATTTGTCTAGCTTTGAGGATTTCGTTGGAAACGGGATTACATATAAAAAGCAGACAGCAGCATTCCCAGAAACTTCTTTGTGATGTTTGCATTCAAGTCACAGAGTTGAACATTCCCTTTCATAGAGCAGGTTTGAAACACTCTTTTTGTAGTATCTGGATGTGGACATTTGGAGCGCTTTCAGGCCTATGGTGAAAAAGGAAATATCTTCTCCTGAAAACTAGACAGAAGCATTCTCAGAATCTTATTTGTGATGTGCGCCCTCAACTAACACTGTTGAACTTTTCTTTTGATAGAGCTGTTTTGAAACACTCTTTTTGTAAAATCTGCAAGAGGATATTTGGATAGCTTTGAGGATTTCGTTTGAAACGGGATTGTCTTCATATAAACTCTAGACAGAAGCATTCTCAGAAGCTTCATTGGGATGTTTCAATTGAAGTCACTGTGTTGAACAGTCCCTTTCATAGAGTATGTTTGAAACACTCTTTTTGTAGTATCTGGAAGTTGACATTTGGAGCGTTTTCAGGACTACGGTGAAACAGGAAATATCTTCCAAATAAAGCTAGGTAGAAGCAATGTCAGAAAATTTTTCATGATGTATCTACTCAGCTAACAGAATTGAACCTTTCTTTTGAGAGAGCAGTTTTGAAACACTCTTTTTGTGGAATCTGCAAGTGGATATTTGTCTAGCTTTGAGGATTTCGTTGGAAACGGGATTACATATAAAAAGCAGACAGCAGCATTCCCAGTAACTTCTTTGTGATGTTTGCATTCAAGTCACAGAGTTGAACATTCCCTTTCATAGAGCAGGTTTGAAACACTCTTTTTGAAGTATCTGGATGTGGACATTTGGAGCGCTTTCAGGCCTATGGTGAAAAAGGAAATATCTTCCCCTGAAAACTAGACAGAAGCATTCTCAGAAACTTATTTGTGATGTGCGCCCTCAACTAACAGTGTTGAAGCTTTCTTTTGATAGAGCAGTTTTGAAACACTCTTTTTGTAATATCTGCAAGAGGATATTTGGATAGCTTTGAGGATTTCGTTGGAAACGGGATTGTCTTCATATAAACTCTAGACAGAAGCATTCTCAGAAGCTTCATTGGGATGTTTCAATTGAAGTCACAGTGTTGAACAGTCCCTTTCATAGAGCAGGTTTGAAACACTCTTTTTGTAGTATCTGGATGTGGACATTTGGAGCGCTTTCAGGCCTATGGTTTAAAAGGAAATATCTTCCCCTGAAAACTAGACAGAAGCATTCTCAGAAACTTATTTGTGATGTGTGTACTCAACTAACAGAGTTGAACCTTTCTTTTGAGAGAGCAGTTTTGAAACACTCTTTTTGTGGAATCTGCAAGTGGATATTTGTCTAGCTTTGAGGATTTCGTTGGAAACGGGATTACATATAAAAAGCAGACAGCAGCATTCTCAGAAACTTATTTGTGATGTGCGCCCTCAACTAACAGTGTTGAAGCTTTCTTTTGATAGAGCAGTTTTGAAACACTCTTTTTGTAAAATCTGCAAGAGGATATTTGGATAGCTTTGAGGATTTCGTTGGAAACGGGATTGTCTTCATATACAATCTTGACAGAAGCATTCTCAGAAGCTTCGTTGGGATGTTTCAATTGAAGTCACAGTGTTGAACAGTCCCTTTCGTAGAGCAGGTTTGAAACACTCTTTTTGTAATATCTGGAAGTGGACATTTGGAGCGTTCTCAGGACTATGGTGAAAAAGGAAATATCTTCCAATAAAAGCCAGATAGAAGCAATGTCAGAAACTTTTTCATGATGTATCTACTCAGCTAACAGAGTTGAACCTTCATTTGAGAGAGCAGTTTTGAAACACTCGTTTTGTGGAATCTGCAAGTGGATATTTGTCTACCTTTGAGGATTTCGTTGGAAACGGGATTACATATAAAAAGCAGACAGCAGCATTCCCAGTAACTTCTTTGTGATGTTTGCATTCAAGTCAGAGAGTTGAACATTCCCTTTCATAGAGCAGGTTTGAAACACTCTTTTTGAAGTATCTGGATGTGGACATTTGGAGCGCTTTCAGGCCTATGGTGAAAAAGGAAATATCTTCCCCTGAAAACTAGACAGAAGCATTCTCAGAATTTTATTTGTGATGTGCGCCCTCAACTAACAGTGTTGAAGCTTTCTTTTGATAGAGCAGTTTTGAAACACACTTTTTGTAAAATCTGCAAGAGGATATTTGGATAGCTTTGAGGATTTCTTTGGAAACGGGATTGTCTTCATATAAACTCTAGACAGAAGCATTCTCAGAAGCTTCATTGGGATGTTTCAATTGAAGTCACAGTGTTGAACAGTCCCTTTCATAGAGCAGGTTTGAAACACTCTTTTTGTAGTATCTGGATGTGGACATTTCGAGCGCTTTCAGGCCTATGGTGAAAAAGGAAATATCTTCCCCTGAAAACTAGACAGAAGCATTCTCAGAAACTTATTTGTGATGTGCGCCCTCAACTAACAGTGTTGTAGCTTTCTTTTGATAGAGCAGTTTTGAAACACTCTTTTTGTGGAATCTGCAAGTGGATATTTGTCTAGCTTTGAGGATTTCGTTGGAAACGGGATTACATATAAAAAGCAGACAGCAGCATTCCCAGAATCTTGTTTGTGATGTTTGCATTCAAGTCACAGAGTTGAACATTCCCTTTCAGAGAGCAGGTTTGAAACACTCTTTTTATAGTATCTGGATGTGGACATTTGGAGGGCTTTCAGGCCTATGGTGAAAAAGGAAATATCTTCTCCTGAAATCTAGACAGAAGCATTCTCAGAATCTTATTTGTGATGTGCACCCTCAACTAACAGTGTTGAAGCTTTCTTTTGATAGAGCAGTTTTGAAACACTCTTTTTGTAAAATCTGCAAGAGGATATTTGGTAGCTTTGAGGATTTCGTTGGAAACGGGATTGTCTTCATATAAACTCTAGACAGAAGCATTCTCAGAAGCTTCATTGGGATGTTTCAATTGAAGTCACAGTGTTGAACAGTCCCTTTCATAGAGCAGGTTTGAAACACTCTTCTTGTAGTATCTGGATGTGGACATTTGGAGCGCTTTCAGGCCTATGGTTTAAAAGGAAATATCTTCCCCTGAAAACTAGACAGAAGCAATGTCAGAAACTTTTTCATGATGTATCTACTCAGCTAACAGAGGTGAACCTTTCCTTTGAGAGAGCAGTTTTGATACACTCTTTTTGTGGAATCTGCAAGTGGATATTTGTCTAGCTTTGAGGATTTCGTTGGAAACGGGATTACATATAAAAAGCAGACAGCAGCATTCCCAGAAACTTCTTTGTGATGCTTGCATTCAAGTCACAGAGTTGAACATTCCCTTTCATAGAGCAGGTTTGAAACACTCTTTTTGTAGTATCTGGATGTGGACATTTGGAGCGCTTTCAGGCCTATGGTGAAAAAGGAAATATCTTCCCCTGAAAACTAGACAGAAGCATTCTCAGAAACTTATTTGTGATGTGCGCACTCAACTAACAGTGTTGAAGCTTTCTTTTGATAGAGCAGTTTTGAAACACTCTTTTTGTAAAACCTGCAAGAGGATATTTGGATAGCTTTGAGGATTTCGTTGGAAACGGGATTGTCTTCATATAAACTCTAGACAGAAGCATTCTCAGAAGCTTCATTGGGATGTTTCAATTGAAGTCACAGTGTTGAACAGTCCCTTTCATAGAGC